>NC_000002.12:240543788-240871736 GCF_000001405.40 Homo sapiens
TTATTTTTAACGTTCATTAGATACCTAAGTCATTTCCAATGAAGAAAAGGTTATGATATGGGGAAATATGTTTCTAAAAATTGTGGAACTGTTCTCATCTATAAAATGCTAACATCTGATAGTTTGGGATTTCTTGCTTCCTAGGGTTTCACTAAAATGTAAGGTTACTAAGAATAAAAGTTGTAGTTAATTATAATTCTGTATATAAAATATACCAAAGAAGATGTGCTGTGAGAAAAAGAATAATTTTGTCCAACTTAGACGTTATCTAAAGGTTAGTTCAAATTATAGAGTTAAAAGGTTATTCATGAAACAAAGTAGAAAGGAACCAGTAAGTAGGGGAAAGAGATGTGAAGAAAGTTATGAATATGAAGATATATATTTGTTAAGGAAGGTTATAAAGAAAAAATAATAATTTTTCATGAGAAAGAAATCTTGTGCGGTAAATTTTTGTCCTAAAATGATTGGTTACTTAAAAAAGAAAGAAAATTTAGGACAAATCAGAAAGTCCAAGCATGTCACAGATGGTCTTGTGTAAAGCATATGTAATTTTTTCCTGTTTCTCTGTGTATCTATCTTCATGCACATGCAGAGAAAATAGAAAGTTGAAAAAGTTTAGATAGTAAAATATTCTTTAAAACCTGATAGAACATTGGAGAAGTTTGGCTAATTAACATTGCTCAAAGTTAAAGGTCTTACTCTTGGGGGGGGAGGAGCCAAGATGGCTGAATAGGAACAGCTCTGGTCTACAGCTCCGAGCATAAGCGACGCAGAAGATGGGTGATTTCTGCATTTCCACCTGAGGTACCGGGTTCATCTCACTAGGGAGTGCCAGACAGTGGGCGCAGGTCAGTGGGTGCGCGCACTGTGCGCAAGCCGAAGCCGGGCGAGGCATTGCCTCACTCAGGAAGCGCAAGGGGTCAGGGAGTTCCCTTTCCTAGTCAAAGAAAGGGGTGACAGACGGCACCTGGAAAATCGGGTCACTCCCACCCGAATACTGCGCTTTTCTGACGGGCTTAAAAAACGGCGCACCAGGAGATTACATCCCGCACCTGGCTCGGAGGGTCCTACGCCCACGGAGTCTCGCTGATTGCTAGCACAGCAGTCTGAGATCAAACTGCAAGGCGGCAGCGAGGCTGGGGGAGGGGCGCCCGCCATTGCCCAGGCTTGCTTAGGTAAACAAAGCAGCCGGGAAGCTCCAACTGGGTGGAGCCCACCACAGCTCAAGGAGGCCTGCCTGCCTCTGTAGGCTCCACCTCTGGGGGCAGGGCACAGACACACAAAAAGACAACAGTAACCTCTGCAGACTTAAATGTCCCTGTCTGACAGCTTTGAAGAGAGCAGTGGTTCTCCCAGCACGCAGCTGGAGATCTGAGAACGGGCAGACTGCCTTCTCAAGTGGGTCCCTGACCTCTGACCCCCCGAGCAGCCTAACTGGGAGGCACCCCCCAGCAGGGGCAGACTGACACCTCACAGGGCCGGGTACTCCAACAGACCTGCAGCTGAGGGTCCTGTCTGTTAGAAGGAAAACTAACAAATAGAAAGGACATCCACACCAAAAACCCATCTGTACATCACCATCATCAAAGACCGAAAGTAGATAAAACCACAAAGATGGGGAAAAAGCAGAGCAGAAAAACTGGAAACTCTAAAAAGCAGAGCGCCTCTCCTCCTTCAAAGGAACGCAGTTCCTCACCAGCAACGGAACAAAGCTGGACGGAGAATGACTTTGACGAGCTGAGAGAAGAAGGCTTCAGACGATCAAATTACTCCAAGCTACGGGAGGAAATTCAAACCAAAGGCAAAGAAGTTGAAAACTTTGAAAAAACTTTAGAAGAATGTATAACTAGAATAACCAATACAGAGAAGTGCTTAAAGGAGCTGATGGAGCTGAAAACCAAGGCTCGAGAACTACGTGAAGAATGCAGAAGCCTCAGGAGCCGATGCGATCAACTGGAAGAAAGGGTATCAGCGATGGAAGATGAAGTGAATGAAATGAAGCGAGAAGGGAAGTTTAGAGAAAAAAGAATAAAAAGAAACGAGCAAAGCCTCCAAGAAATACGGGACTATGTGAAAAGACCAAATCTACGTCTGATTGGTATACCTGAAAGTGACGGGGAGAATGGAACCAAATTGGAAAACACTCTGCAGGATATCATCCAGGAGAACTTCCCCAATCTAGCAAGGCAGGCCAACATTCAGATTCAGGAAATACAGAGAACGCCACAAAGATACTCCTCAAGAAGAGCAACTCCAAGACACATAATTGTCAGATTCACCAAAGTTGAAATGAAGGAAAAAATGTTAAGGGCAGCCAGAGAGAAAGGTCGGGTTACCCTCAAAGGGAAGCTCGTCAGACTAACAGTGGATCTCTCGGCAGAAACCCTACAAGCCAGAAGAGAGTGGGGGCCAATATTCAACATTCTTAAAGAAAAGAATTTTCAACCCAGAATTTCATATCCAGCCAAACTAAGCTTCATAAGTGAAGGAGAAATAAAATACTTTACAGACAAGCAAATGCTGAGAGATTTTGTCACCACCAGGCCTGCCCTAAAAGAGCTCCTGAAGGAAGCGCTAAACATGGAAAGGAACAACTGATACCAGCCGCTGCAAAATCATGCCAAAATGTAAAGACCATTGAGACTAGGAAGAAACTGCATCAACTAACGAGCAAAATAACCAGCTAACATCATAATGACAGGATCAGATTCACACATAACAATATTAACTTTAAATGTAAATGGACTAAATGCTCCAATTAAAAGACACAGACTGGCAAACTGGATAAAGAGTCAAGACCCATCAGTGTGCTGTATTCAGGAAACCCATCCCACGTGCAGAGACACACATAGGCTCAAAATAAAAGGATGGAGGAAGATCTACCAAGCAAATGGAAAACAAAAAAAGGCAGGGGTTGCAATACTAGTCTCTGATAAAAGAGACTTTAAACCAACAAAGATCAAAAGAGACAAAGAAGGCCATTACATAATGGTAAAGGGATCAATTCGACAAGAAGAGCTAACTATCCTAAATATATATGCACCCAATACAGGAGCGCCCAGATTCATAAAGCAAGTCCTGAGTGACCTACAAAGAGACTTAGACTCCCACACATTAATAATGGGAGACTTTAACACCCCATTGTCAACATTAGACAGATCAATGAGACAGAAAGTCAACAAGGATACCCAGGAATTGAACTCAGCTCTGCACCAAGCAGACCTAATAGACACCTACAGAACTCTCCACCCCAAATCAACAGAATATACATTTTTTTCAGCACCACACCACACCTATTCCAAAATTGACCACATACTTGGAAGTAAAGCTCTCCTCAGCAAATGTAAAAGAACAGAAATTATAACAAACTATCCTCTCAGACCACAGTGCAATCAAACTAGAACTCAGTATTAAGAATCTCACTCAAAACCGCTCAACTACATGGAAACTGAACAACTTGCTCCTGAATGACTACTGGGTACATAACGAAATGAAGGCAGAAATAAAGATATTCTTTGAAACCAACGAGAACAAAGACATAACATACCAGAATCTCTGGGACGCATTCAAAGCAGCGTGTAGAGGGAAATTTATAGCACTAAATGCCCACAAGAGAAAGCAGGAAAGATCCAAAATTGACACCCTAACATCACAATTAAAAGAACTAGAAAAGCAAGAGCAAACACATTCAAAAGCTAGCAGAAGGCAAGAAATAACTAAAATCAGAGCAGAACTGAAGGAAATAGAGACACAAAAAACCCTTCAAAAAATTAATGAATCCAGGAGCTGGTTTTTTGAAAGGATCAACAAAATTGATAGACTGCTAGCAAGACTAATAAAGAAAAAAAGAGAGAAGAATCAAATAGATGCAATAAAAAATGATAAAGGGGATATCACCACCGATCCCACAGAAATACAAACTACCATCAGAGAATACTACAAACACCTCTACGCAAATAAACTAGAAAATCTAGAAGAAATGGATAAATTCCTCAACACATACACTCTCCCAAGACTAAACCAGGAAGAAGTTGAATCTCTGAATAGACCAATAACAGGAGCTGAAATTGTGGCAATAATCAATAGTTTACCAACCAAAAAGAGTCCAGGACCAGATGGATTCACAGCCGAATTCTACCAGAGGTACAAGGGGGAACTGGTACCATTCCTTCTGAAGCTATTCGAATCAATAAAAAAAGAGGGAATCCTCCCTAACTCATTTTATGAGGCCAGCATCATCCTGATACCAAAGCCGGGCAGAGACACAACCAAAAAAGAGAATTTTAGACCAATATCCTTGATGAACATTGATGCAAAAATCCTCAATAAAATACTGCCAAACCGAATCCAGCAGCACATCAAAAAGCTTATCCACCATGATCAAGTGGGCTTCATCCCTGGGATGCAAGGGTGGTTCAATATACGCAAATCAGTAAATGTAATCCAGCGTATAAACAGAACCAAAGACAAAAACCACATGATTATCTCACTAGATGCAGAAAAGACCTTTGACAAAATTCAACAACACTTCACGCTAAAAACTCTCAATAAATTAGGTATTGATGGGACGTATCTCAAAATAATAAGAGCTATCTATGACAAACCCACAGCCAGTATCATACTGAATGGGCAAAAACTGGAAGCATTCCCTTTGAAAACGGGCACAAGACAGGGATGCCCTCTCTCACCACTCCTATTCAACATAGTGTTGGAAGTTCTGGCCAGGGCAATTAGGCAGGAGAAGGAAATAAAGGGTATTCAATTAGGAAAAGAGGAAGCCAAATTGTCCCTGTTTGCAGACGACATGATTGTATATCTAGAAAACCCCATTGTCTCAGCCCAAAATCTCCTTAAGCTGATAAGCAACTTCAGCAAAGTCTCAGGATACAAAATCAATGTACAAAAATCAAAAGCATTCTTATACACCAACAACAGACAAACAGAGAGCCAAATCATGAGTGAACTCCCATTCACAATTGCTTCAAAGAGAATAAAATACCTAGGAATCCAACTTACAAGGGATGTGAAGGACCTCTTCAAGGAGAACTACAAACCACTGCTCAAGGAAATAAAAGAGGATACAAACAAATGGAAGAACATTCCATGCTCATTGGGAGGAAGAATCAATATCGTGAAAATGGCCATACTGCCCAAGGTAATTTACAGATTCAATGCCATCCCCATCAAGCTACCAATGACTTTCTTCACAAAATTGGAAAAAACTACTTTAAAGTTCATATGGAATCAAAAAAGAGCCCGCATCGCCAAGTCAATCCTAAGCCAAAAGAACAAAGCTGGAGGCATCACACTACCTGACTTCAAACTATACTACAAGGCTACAGTAACCAAAACAGCATGGGACTGGTACCAAAACAGAGATATAGATCAATGGAACAGAACAGAGCCCTCAGAAATAACGCCGCATATCTACAACTATCTGATCTTTGACAAACCTGAGAAAAACAAGCAATGGGGAAAGGATTCCCTATTTAATAAATGGTGCTGGGAAAACTGGCTAGCCATATGTAGAAAGCTGAAACTGGATCCCTTCCTTACACCTTATACAAAAATCAATTCAAGATGGATTAAAGACTTAAACGTTAGACCTAAAACCATAAAAACCCTAGAAGAAACCTAGGCATTACCATTCAGGACATAGGCATGGGCAACGACTTCATGTCTAAAACACCAAAAGCAATGGCAACAAAAGCCAAAATTGACAAATGGGATCTAATTAAATTAAAGAGCTTCTGCACAGCAAAAGAAACTACCATCAGAGTAAACAGGCAACCTACAAAATGGGAGAAAATTTTCACAACCTACTCATCTGACAAAGGGCTAATATCCAGAATCTACAATGAACTCAAAACAAATTTACAAGAAAAAAACAAACAACCCCATCAAAAAGTGGGTGAAGGACATGAACAGACACTTCTCAAAAGAAGACATTTATGCAGCCAAAAAACACATGAAAAAATGTTCACCATCACTGGCTATCAGAGAAATGCAAATCAAAACCACAATGAGATACCATCTCACACCAGTTAGAATGGCAATCATTAAAAAGTCAGGAAACAACAGGTGCTGGAGAGGATGTGGAGAAACAGGAACACTTTTACACTGTTGGTGGGACTGTAAACTAGTTCAACCATTGTGGAAGTCAGTGTGGCGATTCCTCAGGGATCTAGAACTAGAAATACCATTTGACCCAGCCATCCCATTACCGGGTATATACCCAAAGGACTATAAATCATGCTGCTATAAAGACACATGCACACGTATGTTTATTGTGGCATTATTCACAATAGCAAAGACTTGGAACCAACCCAAATGTCCAACAATGATAGACTGGATTAAGAAAATGTGGCATATATACACCATGGAATACTATGCAGCCATAAAAAATGAGTTCACATCCTTTGTAGGGACATGGATGAAATTGGAAATCATCATTCTCGGTAAACTATCGCAAGAACAAAAAACCAAACACCGCGTATTCTCACTCATAGGCGGGAATTGAACAACGAGAACACATGGACACAGGAAGGGGAACATCACACTCTGGGGACTGCTGTGGGGTGGGGGGAGGGGGGAGGGATAGCATTGGGAGATATACCTAATGCTAGATGACGAGTTAGTGGGTGCAGCATACCAGCATGGCACATGTATACATATGTAACTAACCTGCACATTGTGCACATGTACCCTGAAACTTAAAGTATAATAATAATAAATTTAAAAAAAAAGATCTTACTCTTGATGAAGGTAAATTTTTGATCTTAAATTAACTTTTTTTGGATATTAGGCTTCCTGAAGTCCAAGAAAGACATATTAGGCTTATTTGTTATATTAGAATTATACCGGAAGCATTGTAAATTGTGAGGTGGTATTTAACTTTCTTTGGGTTTTATTTATATACATGTTATTAATATGTGTTCCAGGATTTATGACATTCTTGAAATTCTAATATGTTTAAATATATGTTGTCAACAATAGTTAATGATTATTATGTTAAATTGTTGTATGACACAGAAATAACCAAATTTCCTTGTCATCTCTATCTTTTGACTATGGCTGCCTTAAGACTTTTGTCATCCACAATTGTTTTGCTTTGATCTTTCTCAAAAAAAGTGACTTGTAATCAGCTACCGTCCAGGGCTTGCTTCTTTGGGGGAGTTCCTGAAAAGGACTATTGAATTCAGGTGTCTGATAACTTTGGCGATTGTGCCACTGGATGAGAGAGAAAACTTCCACTGCACTAATTGGAAGGCTGATGTGTTCATAAACATTGCTCACCCAATATGACACAGGGCAGGAGCTGACTGCATGGACTCAGCTAACAGAACACTGGAATGCTTTTTATGTTTTTTTTTTTTTTGAAATATTGCTGATTCTTCTTTTGTCTTTCAGAGTCAGGATAATTTTTTTCTTTTGAGCTATTCATAACCTTGAAATATACTTTAAGTGTACTGAGTAGAGTATACATTTGTAAACAAAATTTGAGTCATATTTCTCTCTGCCTAATTTCTCCAGAATTTTTAAACTATTTGTGAATATTCTTAATTCATGGCAACGTGTTTGTTTGCATATGTTTAATAAGAATCTGTTTTATTTTATAATGGGACACAGCTGGGGGAACTGGTTATTTTCCCAAGGCTTTAACTGAAATGGCCTTGCGAGAGGTTCCGGCAAAGCCAGTTTAGGACAGCCTATGCGAACCACAGTTCTTGCTGTGCTTTGTGTGGGTGATCAGGGCACCAGGAAACTGAAGCTTATTTTGCAAGTAGGTTGTCCTACTGTTATTTGTCTTTGATGCAAGTGGGGGAATGGAAAGAGATTGTCTTTTAGAAGAAAACTCTATTTAGATTAACCTTTGATTCCTAAGTGACCACATGGTCACCCATGGTATGGAGCTGCCCACAACGCCCCTCCTCAGCATGGAGCAGCCAGAAAGACCCACAACCTGATTCCCCATGGTTGAGGAACTGATAAACAAAAAGGGGGGACTGAAACCAGCCCAGTAATCCTACAGAGAGTTGTTTCCAGATAAACATAGAAATTGACCCTTCTGGTCTTAAAGCTTGAAACTTAAATTTGTTTTATCTGAGTTTCTTCCTCAGGAAAGACCTTCAGGCCTCTCAAAAAGTATCAAAGAGCTGAAACTCCTCTCAGAAAGTATCAAAGAACTGAAACTCACCAGACCATGGCATTCAATGTGACTCCAGGCCCTTTGTTCACCGTGACTGCTTCCTCACCCCTCCCAAGTTCCTGCTTTCTCACACATTATTACATTTCTTCCTTGATATATAAACCCCTAGTTTTAGTCAGGGGGATGGATTTGAGATTAAGCTCCCATCTCTTCAGCTGCACCTCCAAATTACAGCCTTCTTCCTTGGCAATACTCATTGTCTCAGTGATGGGCTTTCTGTGCAGGAAGCGGAAAGATCTAGAGCGAACCCCTGGTGTTTCAGTAACAGCCACTCATATTGGCTCAGAATAAACCTCTTTAAAATATTTTGCAGAGTTTGTTTTTTTTCTGTTGACACCATTAATATGGCATTCTCACAAGGGCAAAATTCTAGGCCAAAATAGATCAGCCACAGTTTGTTGAAGGAGACATTTATTACAAAGGCCATGGCAATATTTTGAGGGTGATGGAACTGTTTGTATATCCTGACTACAGTAGTAGTTACACAACCCTGTAATTGTCAAAAATTTCAGAACTATATATTAAAATGGGTGAATTTTACTGTAAATTATACTGTAATAAAAGGGGGAAAGGCATCTGTATTTGAAAGACTAGGCATGTTCTCCATTTAAAAAGGCACATTTCAAACATTATGTGTACAGTGATCCAGTTTACATATTTAAAAATAAACACGTGCGTTTCTTAAATCTAAAGGACATGTAACAATTTGCTGGTATCCCTCTGGGGAATAAAATGCAAGGAGGCTTTTATTTTCAGTCTATATCCTTATTATTGGTACCATTTTAATCATTAAAAGTAAAAAAGCTACTTGTAGCTAAACAAATAAACTTCCCCAGGACCGAAATATCTTTTTGTCCAGTGGCTTAGACACACACAGCCACTTCGACCCCAGCTGAACACATGGCAGCCCCCTCACCTGGAAAAGCCGTGTCTTCATGTACATGGTGCCGTAGCCTTCTCGGTGGCTGAGGTAAAATGTGCCCGTGAAACTGGAGCCATCTGGCCACATGTAGGTACCCAGGCCATGGCAGTGGTCCCGGTAAAACTGCCCATGGTATGACTGTGAGATGGAGAAGTTGGTGAGAAATTGCTGCTCTTCCAGAACCTGACGGGATGCCCTTGAGGCTGAGCCACCATGCCTGGTTGGCAATGAATGGGGACCACCCAGGGCTGTGGCAGAACTCAGGGATGCCTGGCATGCGACTATTAGAGTCGGCAACTGAAGCACCCAGAGGGGTTACCAGGCAGTCAGCCTGATAGCCAGGCTCCCTCTCTGTCTTCTCCTCAGGTGGGGGACTGTGGGGAGGCTTAAAACTACCTAGACATCCTGAGTCAGGAGAGCACGGACATGCCTTCTCCCTGGTGACCTTGATCTTAGGTTTGGAGGGTCCTGTCCCCACTCAGGAGCCCCATGCTGCTGAGCTCCCTGCCAGGTTCACAGGTGACAGGCTGGCCCTGGAAGGCTGGCTGTAGGCCCCAGTAGGCACAGGGGAGGACTCTGATTTATAACTCTTCAGCACTGGTTGGACACGTGAGCTCCACAAACAACAGGAGTGAGTGTATCAGAGCCTGCCCCTTTACCAAGGCCCCCAGAGGGAAAAAGAATGTGACATTTGGCCGGGTGTGGTGGCTCACATCTGTAATTCCAGCACTTTGGGAGGCCGAGGCAGGCGGATCATCTAAGGTCAGGAGTTCAAGACCAGCCTGACCAACATGGTGAAACCCTGTCTCTACTAAAAATACAAAAATTAGCTGGGCGTGGTGGTGCATGCCTGTAATCCCAGCTACTCAGGAGGCTGAGGCAGGAGAATCACTAGAACCCTGGAGGCAGAGGTTGCAGTGAGCCGAGATTGTGCCATTTGCACTCCAGCCTGGGCAACAAGAGTGAAATTCCATCTCGAAAAAAAAAAAGAATGTGACATTCATGACAAGGGCTTCCAGCCAGGAGACCTCATGCTGAGTGCCAAGCACCACCTTTTTCTCAGAAACAGGGTGGGCCTGGAGTGCCCGCACAGCCATCCATGCTCACAGTCCACCCAGACCTGACCCCGACGTGAAGGGCATGGCAGTTTTCACAGCTTAGTGTCCCTTCCCTTTCTTCTGACAACAGATGCCCTCTCCCTACAGAGAGGATTCCCCAAGGGACCCAGCCCCAGTGCCTGGGCCAGGCCTGGCCAACCAGAGGACGCCTTACCCCTGCCCCATCTTGATGCACTTCATGCATCCCCAAGTCAGACCAGCGTCCTGCTGGGGCCTTTCTCTTTCCCAGGGGTGTTTGATGCCACCCCCAGGGGCTGGGCAGATGGAACAAGGTCAGTCTTAGAACCCCCTCGTGGAGATGGAAAGAGAGAGGACCTAGTTACATCATTAGAATCCTGGATCCAGCCAGGCCTGAGGCTACCTTACCCCTGGACTTTCCATGGCAAGCGCCAACAGAGGCCTTTTCAGTTTCAGCTGCATTGAATGTGGGCTCAGGACCTAGCCTGGGGGTGCAAAACTTGTTCTCATTTTGTCTTTTAGAACATTCGCTGCCTTCTGCTTAAGCCTAGACACAGGCAATTTCACCAAGGTAAATATACGAGTTGCTATGGCAATTCATAATTTTAAAACGTCTGCCCAGAATAAGAACTTATCTTCTTAAGTCACAGCTTCCCAAACCTCATCCTGGGACCCCAGCAAACCATGGGTGTGATTTTGGAAGTTGGGAAAGATGCTTTTCTCTGGACATTTCTCAAGGAGGAAAAACTTTAGCCTAGCACCCTTCCTGTTGATGGGCCTAAAAGTTCCCGTCCCATCACTCTTGGAAGGATAAAGGCCAGCCACCAGAGGCCCTAGGGGAGGAGGCGGAGAAAGTGTGGAAGCAGTTACCTCGCCTGTGGGCCAAGAGAATTTGCCATATCCAAGCTTCATGTTCAACCCAAACTCCCCCTGGTACATGCAACCATCCTGCCACTCCTGCACACCCTGGACGAGCTGGATGTAGGACTCCCTCAGGTCCTGCGCCCTCAGCGGGCCCTCAGCTTCCTCCTCTTCCTTCTCAGGGGCTGCTGAAACATCCCTAAAAGGACAGGAGCAGAAGGAGGGAAGAGTGAAGTGGCTGCAGTGCCTTCAGTGACTGCTGAGCACAACCCCCGAGCACAACCCAGCATCTCATTTCATCCCACAGTCCCGGGGCAGGTGCCGCTGCATCCCCACTCCACTTGGAGAGAAAACCGAGGCACAGAGGGTGCAGCGATTGCCCAAGGCCACACAGGAAGTGGAATGCACAGTAAGGCTGCCAACGGATAGGAGAGATGCTGCCAGGCTCTAGAGGCAGGACCAGTCGGCCTGTCCAGCCCGGGCCTGCTGGCGGCATCTCCTGAGATCGATGGCCCTCTGTCCCACTCCAGCTGCCTGCAGGACGTGGGTGCCCACAGCAGGGTCCTCATTCAAGGGCCAGGAGTGCCAGCCCCAAGCTGGACAGAAAACAGACTGCCCACACATGTGGACCCATGGAAGGTCGGAAGGCAGCTCGAGAGGCAGCCAGCTCATACTAGGATGGACAGGTGGATAGGTGGACAGATGGATGGATGCAGGGCTGGGGAGTATGCTGCAACAGCGGGGAGCACAAACCAGGGTGGATTTGCCGTAACTCATAGGGCGTCCACAGACAGACAGGGCATGTCAGACCCCCCACAGATGGACAGGGCGTCTCAGACCACCACAGACGGATGGGGCGTCTTAGACCATCACAGACGGACGTGGCATCTCAGACCACAAAAGGCGTGGTGCCTCAGACCTCCACAGATGGATGGGGTGTCTCAGACCCCTACAGAAGGACAGGGCATCCCAGACCAACACAGGTGGATGGGGTGCCTCAGACCATGAAAGATGGACAGGGCATCTCAGTTCCCCCCCAGACGGACAGAGCATCTGAGACCCCCACAGATGGATGGGGCGTCTCAAAGGGCCTTCCGTTCTCAGCTGTGCAGGGCGGCCGTCCCTGGCCAAGGTGCCAGCAGCGTCCCTGCCTAGGGAGGGTCCTCTTCCTGGCCTGTGGAGCCGCCTTCTCATTGGCTCCCCACATGGTAGTGAGAGAGGATGGGGGAACTCTGGGCTCTTCTGCTTCTCATAGGTACACTCATCCCATCATGGGCTCCATCTTCACCACCCCATCTAAACCCAGCCACCTCCCAAAGCCCATTGTTGGGAAAAGGGCTTGTGGGAAAAGGGCTTGTGGGGTGCCTGCATAAACAGGCCATGAAAATATGGGACAATAAGTTGTGGAAAGCCACAAGAGGCCTCTGAGGAGGAAAGCCTCCTAATTGCCATCATGTTCCCATGCCCAGAGCGAGATCCGCTCTCTTATCTGTAAACACTGTGTTCAAGGAGAAAGACTCTCCTTTGAAGCCCTGGACTGTGGACAGACATGCAGGCTCCTAGCTAAGCCCGCTCCCACCAGTTACTCTCCGATAAGTTAAAAGATATGCTGTTTGAGCACAAAGGAGATTCACTGAAACCAATATTGCTATAGATTACACCTATGACACACTGCCACCCTTTCACTGTTTCGCCCTGAACATCTGCTTCTCAGATCTAAGTGTGCTCAATAAACAGTGTGGAGACCAGAACTCTGAGCCCTTTGCAGCCTCCATTTTGCAACTGGCCCCCTGGCTCCCCACCTTTCAATTCTTAACCTGTCTCTTCTCAATCCTTTGTCCCCACTAGACTTTGGGCACTCTACGGGTGGTGTTGAGGCTGGTCCCCAACACCCATCACACTGGGCCAGGGCTGGGACTGAGTTTTGGAGGCCCACAAACAGGGACAAGCACGATGGGGTGACAGGGGGACCTCGTGAGATGCTGCAGTGAGACTCCAGGGCAGCCCCTGGCTGTGAACAACAGAGCTGTGAAGATGGAGACAGCTTGGGAGCCCCATCTCGTGAGGGAAACGTTCCCTCCCTCCACTAGGCGGCGACACGGGTGGCAGAGTGTGCAGGCAGGAAGGGACATGAGAAGGTTCCAATTACCATCTATTGTCGTTTTCCTCAGTAGGTTGCTGACACAGTGTTGAGGCTTTCAGATTTCTCCAGAAACTAGTTTCTCAGGGAGTAACACAGTTCAGGGATTTTTACTGCTTGCCTTAAGGAGAATCCCGGCTAACCCTGGGCCCCAGGTCAGGGTCGGACCTCCCCGCTGGAGGGTCCCCCGCACCTTGTGGCGAAGACAGCGTAGTTCTTCAGGGACCCCGGCTCCTCGGCAGCAGGGGTCTCGCCGCCCTTCCCCTCTAGCGGGCGTTGGCGGCTGCCAGCCCCAGAGACTTCGTCCTCTAAGCTAAGGGAGGCATGGGCCCCTTCCATGTCTGTGGTCTTCCAACCTGCAAGCGACGTCAGGACCGCACATGTGCCCCCAGGGCTCCCGCCGCGAACTCAGAGGGCGCCCGAGGCCCGGCCCGCGGCCCCTGAGCCTCAGAGAACCCAAGCCCCTCCCTGAACCGCGCCGGAGCCTGGGCCGCCACCCACAGGTCCCGGACCACCATCCCTGGGAGTCCTCAGGGAGACCTGTCGGAACCATGGGTAAACTTCACCCGCGTCCCCAGGTGTCCCTGTCCCTTCGTGGGCGGGAATCACAGCAAGGGCGGTCGCGGCCACGTGGCCAGGCCAGGCCCGCACCCACTATCGCCCAGGAGGCGCCGCTAACAGCGGGTCTCAGCCACGGGCCTCTGAAGCCAGCGCTCGAGGGTGGGCTCGGGAGACGCCGCGCCCACCTAACCCCACGCCCCCAGCCCCTCGGCCCCTCCCTGGGGTGGGGACCGCGAGCCTGGCGCCCCCCCGCACCCGCCGCCCCACGGAGCTCCGGGATCCCCCTAGCCCCGGCTCCCAGCGCTCCTGTCGCGAGACCGCACCAAGCAAGACTCGAAGAGCTCGCGCCGGACAGCAGGGAGACCGACGGGACTGCAGCCACCGCGGACGCCCGCGCTCCCGTCCCGACTGCTTGCCAGCCCTGCGCCTACGGAGAGCGTCGCGTTTCCCTGGAGACAGCCCCGCCCCATGCCCGCTGCCACTCTCCGGCTCCGCCAATCCCCCCGCCAGGACGCACCCGGCCCCGCCTCCGGGCGTGCCCGCCCTCTGTGACTTCAGGGGCTTGGGGCCGACACCCCGCGGGCCTCGGTGCCAGCCTCCCGCTTACCCGGTCAGCCCCTGGGCCGAGTACCCCTGGGAGAGAAAGCGCTAAATTCCCCCAACACTCCCGTGATGGGGGCACAGGGAGCGCCGTGGGACACCTGAGGAAACTGAGGCCCAAGTGTTAATTAACTTGCCCTGATCACCTAGCACGTGGAGCCACGACTTGCTCAAGCCCTGCCTGATTCCAGCCCCGGCCTTTGTTCATTCAGTAAATGTGGAAGGCGCAAGGGTAACTCGAGGCCTGCGGAGGGAACGAGATGAGGGAGGCCGCAAGAGTCACCGCAGAGAAGAGGGATTGGCTGTCTTGGACCCTCCGAGGGCCTCGGGGAAGGACTGCAGGAGAGCGGATTCTTGATGGGGCTTCACAGGATGCGCAGGAGCTCTCCAGGCTACAGAGCGCATTTCAGGAACTGGACTGGGATGTACAGAGGCACCATGGTGGGAAACAGCTGGGCCTTCCTGCAAAGAGGGGAGAGGCTCTTGGAGGTGCAGGGCTTGCGTTTTCTCAACCCAGACTGCCTCTGAGAACAGGGCAGGGGGTGTGAAGAGCTGATGCCCTGGCCCTCCCCACTGGCTAGCTTTCCGGGGACTAAGGACTAAGGCTGGGCCAGGATTCTGGGGTTCTAGGGGCTCTGCCTCCACACGCCAGTGCCTGTCTGTTGAGTTCACTTCTCTCTAAAATCTCATTTTACACCACGACCCAGTACAAACCACTCAGAAAAATGTTTCATTAAAAGTTCGGCATACTACATGCATGCACTCTAATATTTTCATGTAGTCTATTATTTCTCTAAAAACTAAAATGCTGATCATGACCCACAGAATTGATTTCACAACCCACATTAGTTGTGAATTACAACTTGCTAAGGAGTCAGAACCAACATGTAGAAACCCTCTGTTCTTAGCAAGCACATTCTGGTTACACTGTGGGGGACTAGCACCAAGTCCAGGAGACAGAGGCTGGCCCAGACTAAGTGTGGCAATGAGATGCAGAGACACTTAGGATGAATTGGTTCCCAATCCATTACCTCAATGGAGTGGGAGCATGATGGTTCAAGTAGCAGGCTTTGGAGCAGAAAACCCACCTCAACCATCCTCCAACCGTAAAGGGTGATGATGATTCATGAAACAGTCCAGGAGGAGGAGGGACTTCAGGTTTTGTTTGATTCATTTCAGTGGCCCAACAGTGGCATCAAGGACCTTGGCTCTCCCATCTCCTCTGCTTTCACCCAAGGCTGGCTTCCCCTTATGGCCATGAGAGAACAGAGGAGCCTTCCAAAGTGCTCTCTCCTTCATGGGTTATTAGACACCAAGCTCATTCCCAGAGCAGTCACGGGAGTGTGGCCTTCACTTTTGGCCAGAGACAGAGCCAACTCCTAGAAAGCGGAGGGAGACAGTGTCCCAACCTAATCAATGGCTCCCATGAACGCCAGGGAAAAAAAGGGAATTCCACTCCTCCATCCTAGGAAAGTTGGAGTCCTTCCTTAGGGTGGAGGAAGTGGGAAACAGATGCTGATAAGACCTCCACGGAGGTGATGTCTGGAGCTGCAACCAGGGAAGACCTGGCTGCAGACATATTTGAGTCTTTAGCTCAAGAGTGAACCCCAGGCTGCAATAAAGATCTGACAGTTACCAATGCTAGAAGGCTGATGGACAAAGCAATGACGATAACCCAGAGAGAGACTGTATGCAACTGAAACTTCAATTGCTAAATGTCTGTAGGGCTGTTGAGACAGTTGCTTTTCAGTGTATCCATTGCCTGAAAATTACCAGATGTCAGAAAAATTGAAGGAGTCTTAAATGGCAATTTCATGGACATTAAGTGATATTAAATTTTTTAAAGTTACAATGCTGACCCCAATAAATTACTTAGAAACAGCAAAAGGAATAGTGTGGTCTATGAAGAAGTGATGAAAATAGAAATTAGTTTTATTTTATGAGCCATGTGTTATAATACATAGAAAAAAATGCACCAATTACAAAGCGGGCCACAAAAAGGAATAAACGTAAAGCCGACAACGCAGTCACTAGGGAAAGGGTGAAGACACGGGAACCACGCAGCCCGCCGTCCACGTGCACCGGGTAGCCACGGGGCCCTAGCCGAACGACGCGGACGCGAAGTGGGCGGGCCCGGCCAAGCCACGCCTCCGCGCCAGACGCCGCAGTAGAGCGGGCAGGGCGCTGCGCCCAAGAGCCACAGACGCAAGCCCAGTGCCACAGGCCGCGGGGGCGGGGAGGACGGCGCCCGGGGACAGAGAACATGGGACGCAGAGCGGTCCAAGGCCCCGGCGCCCTGGTGAGGCCCAAACCTCCCGCCATGCCCCGGCCCCAACGAGACCCAAGCCCCCTGTCCCGGCCCAGCGCCCGCGGGGGACCCAAGCCCCAGCCTGGTCCACCTCGGAGGCCTCTAGGACCCGGGGGCGCCCGGCGGCCCGCCCGGCTCCCACAAATAGACTCCTGGGCGGGCGCCTGAGCCCCCAAAATAGATCCTCAGGGCCCAAAAGCAGACTCTTCGGCGGGCGCCATGGGACCGGCAGAAGCTGGGCGCCGCGGGGCCGCCTCGCCCGTACCTCCACCGTTGGTGCGCGTCGCGCCCTCACTCTTCCTCGGGAGCGCGCGAGCCGCGGGCGCGGAGGAGCAGCTGGCGCGCGCGGGAGTCACGCTGTGCGTCAACGTCTCCCGCCAGCAGCCCGGCCCGCGCGCGCCCGGCGTGGCAGAGCTGCGCGTGCCCGTGTTCGACGACCCGGCTGAGGACCTGCTGGCGCACCTGGAGCCCACGTGCGCCGCCATGGAGGCCGCGGTGCGCGCCGGCGGCGCCTGCCTAGTCTACTGCAAGAACGGCCGCAGCCGCTCGGCCGCCGTCTGCACCGCGTACCTCATGCGGCACCGCGGCCTCAGCCTGGCGAAGGCCTTCCAGGTGGGCGGGCCTTTAGGGGGGCGGTGTTTCGAGAGGGGCGTGTCTTCCGGGGACGAGTTTTCCGGGCGGGGCCGGCTTCGGGATTGGGACAGGCACTTCCGGGAGGGGCGGGTCTCTCTCGTGAGGGCGGGCTTAGGGAAGCAGAGAGGCACTTCCGGGTTGGGCGGGGCCCACTCTTACAGCTGGGCCCGCCTTGGCCCCTGCTGGCCATTAGCGCGACTTGGGGTTATTCAGTACACTTCTTGTTTGCAGATGGTGAAGAGCGCTCGCCCGGTAGCAGAACCGAACCCGGGCTTCTGGTCTCAGCTCCAGAAGTATGAGGAGGCCCTCCAGGCCCAGTCCTGCCTGCAGGGAGAGCCCCCAGCCTTAGGGTTGGGCCCTGAGGCTTGAAGCTTGAAGGCCTGCTGCCTGGAGGAAGGATGTCCCTGCACTGATACAGAAGGCTGGTCTTTACCCTTCTTCCTCACTGTCATATCGAGTTTTCCTTTGTGTGTGTGTGTGTGAAACATAGTGCTTTTAATTTTATATTTCCGGCTGAGGTGATGCACAAATTATCTTACAGACACAAAAAGAAATACATTTGGTAAAACATCGAAGACAAATTAAGAAAAAGCAAATAGGGATCCTCCATTATTTACACTCCAGAATCTTGAGTGTTTGGGGGTGCCGGCGCATTCTACCAGTCTCAGGGAAGGACATGAGTACAGACTACAGTAATCAGAATCTGAGTCATAGGTGAAATCAGGAAAAGCAACTCTTCTTGTGTTTATTTTTAGTAGTGTCATAAGAACGGACTAGTTCTTCCTGCGTGACCACGGATGCTTCTGTTTGAGAAAATGCATACCCACGTGGGACATTTAGATCAAGAAAGCTGTTGATGAAGACATTGTTGAAGGGCAACTTGGGTGATTGGGGAATTATTCTCTTCATCAGCCCCTCTGCAATACAGCTGGAGCTGTCCCATAGGAGTTCGGACAATTACGGACATCCTTTTTCTTTCTCTCTTTCTTTTTTTTTGTTTGTTTGTTTGAGACAGAGTCTCTGTTGCCCAGGCTGGAGTGCAGTGGCGCAATCCCGGCTCACTGCAACCTCCGCCTCCCTGGTTCAAGTGATTCTCCTGCCTCAGCCTCCTGAGTAGCTGGGACTACAGGTGTGTGACACCAGACCCGGCTAATTTTTTGTATTTTTAGTAGAGATGGGGGGTTTCACCATGTTAGCCAGGATGGTCTCAAACTCCTGACCTCGTGATCCACCCACCTCAGCCTCCCAAAGTGCTGGGATTACAGGCGTGAGCCACCGTGCCCAGCCTCCTTTTTCTATTACTAGAGAACTCCAGGACATTAAGAATTTCAAAAGTGATTTTTTCACCCATGGCTTCTACGGTGACAGAGTATGGTGTTCCTGTAGGGAAACAAAGCCAAGTTTTTTTGCTCCTTTCACTAAAGCTGCTTCATCCGGGGAGGAAGCCTGGTAGATTATAATATTTCCAGGGATAACAGTGTGGCACACAGATAACAGGGTAAGAAATTGGTCTATATAGTTTTCTGTGGGATGGCCATTCTCAATGTTCTCCAATAAACTGGGGTAATTAAAATATCAGGGCTCGGATGGAAGGTGTTGCACCATAAATGACACCTGCAGTGGTACTTGTTAAATGTCTTAACATTGCAAGTGAGGGTTCCCATTTTATCAGAAAATAGAAATTTTACCTGCCCAAGTTCTTCACTGAGATTGAATGTGCTGGCCATGGTGTGGACACTATTTACTTTATAATGCACATCTTGATCCCAGTTTATAAACTGGGCCTGAATATATTTCACAATTTCCATAGTGACCAGCAGACTAATGGGGATGAGGTACTGTTATAAGATGATGAACACCAGTATGTCAAACACAATGCTGTGAGCTGGAATCCTCTTTCAGGTACCAAATGTCACCATACTTTTTATTCCATAGCACGGCTCCCACGCAGCTCACTACAGACATGACCAGAGCAGCAGGAACCAAAGGGAGACCCGCCCATTGTCACTTTCTTAATCTCTGATCTCTTGAGGTGATTTGACAGAATTCTGCAGGAATTTGGTTTCAAAGCCAGTGTAAACAACTATGCCAGTGATCCACTGAGCATTTCTTTTTTTTTTTTCTTGAGACGGAGTCTCACTCTGGTGCCCAGGCTGGAGTGGGCGCCATCTTGGCTCACTGCAAGCTCCGCCTCCCGGCTTCATGCCATTCTCGTCCTTCAGCCTCCTGAGTGGCTGGGATTACAGGCGCCCGCCACCACGCCTAGCTAATTTCTTTGTATTTTTGGTAGAGACGGGGTTTCACTGTGTTAGCCAGGATGGTCTCAATCTCCTGACCTCATGATCCTCCCGCCTCGGCCTCCCAAAGCGCTGGGATTACAGGCGTGAGCCACCTCGCCCGGCCAATCCACTGAGCATTTCTAAGCTGTGTATCTCTTAACAAGACCCAGTCAGGCCCTATTGGAACAGGGCTTTTACCACCTAGGCGGAAGCTCAGCCATTGAAATGACGATCAGGTGCTTCACGGTCTATTTTTCCAGATAGGCCTAACAGCTGGTTTTCTGTTTGCATTTCAGCTGTTTCTGGCAAAGCCTGCCGTGTCTTACATTTGTCTCTCTATCCGGATTAGATGTTGCTATATGAACACATCGGGACTGTGTCTGCAGGAAGGAGCTCCCCATTCGAGGCCTTCACAGTGTCACCCACATTCACCTCTTTCCACTTAAACGTGTCCCATGAATCTTGTCATAACAGTTTTGTGTTCCTTAACTATTTTGTCTGCCATGTCATTTATGATGTATATAACCTCTTTAATGCCTGAAATCATAAGAATAATCATCAAAGGCAAGAGGGTTGTATATTTTCCCGTTGGAGACACATCTGGAATTTGCTGCAATAAAATAATAATAAGAAAGCATTGGCAGCTTTGGTAAACTGCAGATTCAAAAATCGAGGGAGAAATGAGCACACGCTGTACTTGGCTGTACATATAATTGCTGACTGTGGGTTGCAGAAATTTCTCTCAAGCATCATCACCACTTTTGCTCAGTTATCAGTAGTAATAACAGCAATCAAAACTGAAACTGCTCCAGATGCCTGTCTAGGAAGTATGGTTTTCCATCCTTCCTACTGCTTTCTTCACAAGAGAATCCTCCACCTCAGTGGCCCTGAAGTGGCCTGAAGGGCCCGCTCTGCGGTCCTGCCACCAGTGCCCTCTGAGGTCCATGGTCCCACGGCACCACGGCCGCCCAGTGCACTCGCCTCCACACTGAGTTTTCATTTTTCCCAGTTAAGCCCCATCTTCCGGAAATGCAGCTCCAGAGGGTCTCTGTCCCCTCTTGCTGGTGGGGCAAGGGTCTGCGCATCAGACCACATGGACCCCTGCACCACCATCTGCTCCGTCCTCTCCCTCTGGTCAGCTCAGCTTATTAAACAAGCCTTGGTCAGGAAAATCTAAACCACTTAAGGAACTGGGCAGAAAGAAACTGAATGCAGGGAGAAGAAGGCTGGGGAGCCAAGGACAGGAGAGGAGACATAGGGGAGTCACAGGGACCTGCCACCCAGATCCCCACTGCCTGATGTCCTGGCTGTGGAGGGCACCTGGAGCTGCCAGCAGAGCCTCCTGCCCACCAGCTGCTGAAGCCACAGTACATCTCCTTCCTCCCACCTCCCAGACCTCTCACTGGTCTCATCTGGGCACCGAACATGGGAAGCCCCTCCTGTGACAGGCAGGGGAGAAGGAGGCTGTGCTGACAGACGGCCTGGTGAGGGAACCCGGGAGGCCTCCAGCATCTGCACCCCTCTCCTACTTTGATCTCTGTTTCACCAACATTGCACCCCAACTTAAGGTCACATAGCTACTGTCAAGCCAACAAGGTGCTGCCTCTCCCGCCGTGTGAGGGTGGAACCCCATAAGCCACCACTGGAGGCATCCAAGCATGTTGATTCCTTCTCTAGTTCAGACACCACCTCTCCTGGACATCCTGTGGCCTAAAGACTATCCTAGAATCAACACTCCTTAAATAGGAGTGGGGAAAGAAAAGGAAAATGTGTGTAATACATGTGAATCACAGATAACGTAGTCATTGGTTAATATATACAACTACGCGTATTTACATTCTGTATGCGTCAATGAGTAAAATACTGTGGTTGGTGCTTATCTGCCTTTTCCAATACTCGTTCCATGTTCTACCCTCAGCCAGTGCCTAAGCTGCTTATGGCCTTCACCTGGTGGCATGACTCGATCCTTCATTTTTAAGGCCCCAGGCCCTGCATGGCTGCCCACACAGGTGCTGTGGCCTCCGTTACCTGTACTGCACCACCAGAGAGAAGTAGGAGGCACCACTCTTCCTGGCCCCCAAGCCTCACAAAGCCTCATGCCCACCTGCCAGAGCCAGCCCTGTGTTGTCTCATGCTTCCGTGGCTGGGCCGTGTCTGAGCCACCCTCCCAGTGAGACCCGATTGTGTTCCTAAGCAAAAGCATCCCACCTGGGGACCGAACATCTCTGATGCGGCAGAGCCCAAAGCTGGGGGGATGGGAAGCACGGGTTTTGTCAGCCAAGCGTGGGGGTGGTAGTGAGAAGGGCCTTCTCCCTCCCCACGCCTTGTGTACCTGGGCCTCAAGCATAGGCCACACCTTGTTGGTCGCTGCCCCTCTATGCCGTGTCACCAGCCGGCACCACCCATCGCTGTGGACCGCGGCCCCCATCACAAGCTGGTGCCCAGGGCAGTCCCCATCTCTGTGGAGGGCTTGCCTGCCGCTGGCCTCTCTAGATAAGCTCCTCATGACTCATGCAACCTTTTCATCAACCCGGAAGGAAGCAGCCGCCGGTCGCCACTAGTGGGTGAGGAACAGTGGCTTGGAGAGGAGGGAGGACCTGGGTCTGCGGTTTCCCCCGCGGCTCAGCCCTGCTCACAACACCCTGATGAAAACCTCGGCTGCCCTTGCCTCAGGGCAGGGCACACCCTTTACCTGCTGACCTGGCCCTGGTGACAAGGGGACAAGGGCAGCAGGGCCCCGGCCAGGTTGAAGGACACCTGTGGGTCACATCAGACCTTTTTAGCCCACCAGCTCCATCTGAGAACTGGTAGCTCCCTGGTCCTCTGTCGGGGTTGGGCGCGGCCCTGTCTGAACACTGCTTCTTCCTGGAAGCTTTGCTGCCCTCCCCAGCCTGCTAAAACGCTCCATGCCCACACCCACCTCCTAGTGGGTGAAGCCAGGAACCCCTCCCTCGGGTGCATCAGGGGAAGGCTGGGGTGCAGATGCCGCGCAGCCACTTCACTGCGCTGATCACCAAAAAGCTGGAGTATGAAAACTCCTGTGGGAGAAAGCCAGGGCTGACAGTCGCGACGTCCAGGCTCCTCTGCCAGGGTTAGAGAAGTCAGAGGTGTCTGCCCAGGCCTGCATGCGGCGTAGCCTCCCGCCGCCAGGGGGCGTCAGGCCGGCGGGGGCGGGGCCTCCTCGGGCGGGGCGGGGCGGGGCGGGGCCGGCGCGAGAGGCTCCCGCGGCTCAGTTGCAGACCCCGCCCCCTCGGCTCAGCCGCGCCTCCCGCTCCATGGGGTGCAGTAGGGCAGCTCCTCACATACGTGCGCGGTGGGAGGCGCTCCCTTGGGCCCCCGGGGAGGAGGTGCCACAGCAACTCTGGACTCCTGTGTGCAGAACTGGCCGCGGAGAGGTGCCCAGGGCGAGACCCCAACCTCTGCTCCCTGAGCCCAATGCGGGGCTCTGGGTGGCAAGACCCCAAGCTCCCTGTGGTGACTTGCCCCCCGGACGGCCAGGCCCAGCTAGTGTGGCACCGCGTGTGCAGAACTGAGGTTCTTCCAGCCAGGAACATGGCCCGGTGGGCTCTGGAGAGCCCCGTAGAACTGGGGGTGCCATCGAAAACAGTCTGCCCTTGGCACTGCAGGGCCCCACCGGGCAGGGCGCTGGGGGCAGTGAGGAGGGTCCCATCTCAGCTGTCTTCCCTGTCAGCCTTGGATGCGAGGCTGATCCACACCTCTGAGTGACTGTGTAAGCCTAGGGGTTCCTGGTGAGTTTGGGATGGGTGCCCCAAGATCGTGGCCGTGTCCCTAAAGAGGGCACGTGGGGACCTGAGGTCCTACGGGAAAACTGAAATGATGCCTCAGTGCTCTGTCCCGCAAACGTGAACGCACACTCTCCCTCTCAGCCTTCCTTCCCGCCCCACGGAAGGAGGGTAGACACAGAGGGTTACACAACGAGGAGACTGAGTCCAGACACAGGAAACACTACTCAGGGCTGACGCTGAGTCGAGTGCGGTACCCGAGTCCAGCCCTGCACGGCCACACCTCAATGGAGCAGAAGAGAGAGGTGTCCTGGGTTCCTGGATAGTTCCCCAGCCCCAGAAGCCCCTTGTCCCTAGGAATTTGAATTCTTACTTGATGACAACAGCGACATCATGGTGGCCCCTGTTATTCCACAGCCTCAAAATTTAACCGCTGTGAGCTCACTAGCAGCTTCTGCCAGGCGAGCACCCCTTCCCTCGGGGCTCAGGCTCCTGGACAGGCTCAGCCTTGGGCAGCCTTCGCCAGGTCCACAGAGAATGGCGTTGGGAAGGGTGGACCTGGCGGATGGGGTGGGGACAGGCGGGCCAGACCCTCCTTCGTACCCCAGCACAGGGCTCCCAAATGAGAGGTCCCCAGCACTGCCCAGAGGAACTTCTGCGATTGTGGAAATGATTCCTGCCTGCTTTGTCCATTAGCCACTCCTCCCAGGAAGACACACACACTCACTCACTCCACCTGCCACGAAGGAACTGAACTTCTAACTGTATTTAATTCGCATCTAAATGGCCACACGTGGTTGGTGGCTGCTGTAGTTGACAGCGCTGCGTGAAGGCTCCGGCGCTTCTCGCACCGCAGGGCCCACAGCACAGACCACACCTGTAGACTTGGAGGAGTGGCAGGGGTGCCAGGAGAATCCTGCCCTGCCCGTAGCCCCGGATGAAAGGATGACATTGAGTTCGCGACGCTGCGCTCCTCGGGAACACGAACCACACCTGGAAGCAGCCTGCCCCTGTGGCCCCAAGGTTCCCGGGTCCCTTCAGCGGCTGCCCCAGGGGCCTGGCCGGCAGTGTCTGGGAGGGAGCAGCGATCCCGCCTCCTGGGATCTCCCGGGCGCCGCCCGGGGAGGAAGCGAGGGGCTGGGGGTGCTGCTCACCCGCTCCGCGCGCCTCGGCTCCCAACACAGCGCCCCGGCCCCGCGCCGCGCTCGATTCCCCGGCTCCCCGCGCCCCTGGCTCCTGGCCCTCCCCGCCCGGCGCCCCGGCCCCGCGCCCCGGCCCCGCGCACAGCGCCCCCGGCGGCGGCCGAGCGGAGCCCGAGCGGGGCGGCGCACGGCGCGGGGCCGGGCCGGGCGGCTCCCGGCGCGACTTCCTGTTGTGCCCGCGCCCCGCCGCCGCCGCCGCCCGGCGCCCCTCGCCCGCGGCCCGGCGCGGCCGCCGCCCATGGATTTCACCTAGTGCCGGCGGCCATGGCCGCGCAGTGCTGCTGCCGCCAGGCGCCCGGCGCCGAGGCCGCGCCCGTCCGCCCGCCGCCCGAGCCGCCGCCCGCCCTGGACGTGGCCTCGGCCTCCAGCGCGCAGCTCTTCCGCCTCCGCCACCTGCAGCTGGGCCTGGAGCTGCGGCCCGAGGCGCGCGAGTTGGCCGGCTGCCTGGTGCTCGAGCTGTGCGCGCTGCGGCCCGCGCCCCGCGCGCTCGTGCTCGACGCGCACCCGGCTCTGCGCCTGCACTCAGCCGCCTTCCGTCGCGCCCCCGCCGCCGCCGCCGAGACGCCCTGCGCCTTCGCCTTCTCCGCCCCCGGGCCGGGGCCCGCGCCGCCGCCCCCGCTGCCCGCCTTCCCCGAGGCGCCCGGCTCCGAGCCCGCCTGCTGTCCGCTGGCCTTCAGGGTGGACCCGTTCACCGACTACGGCTCCTCGCTCACCGTCACGCTGCCGCCCGAGCTGCAGGCGCACCAGCCCTTCCAGGTCATCCTGCGGTACACCTCGACCGACGCCCCCGCCGTGAGTCCGGGGCGGGCGCCGGGGCTGCGGGCCGGTCCGCAGGGCGCTGCTAGCGGCCTCTCGCCGCACGGCCAGGCTGAGGGACGCGAATCTGCGCCCTACAGGTGCCCCCCTCCCCCCACCCCGGTGATTCCCAGCTGTTGCCTGTGAGCCCTTAGGACCCTCGGATAGAAGCCGGAGTCCTGCGGGGACACGGGACAGCATGTCACTCCGGGAAGCCTCCCGTTCAGGTGTCTGGTCCCTGCCTGGGGACATGAGCAGCTTCTGTCACCCACCGAGGTGTACATCTGCAGGATCCTGGCACCAAGGGTTGGGCTGGAGTGTCAGCTGCGGAAGGGCCTCCATGTGACCAGTGCGTGCAGATGAGTCCAAGCCAGAGGCAGAGGAAAGGGCCATGGAGATTGTGATGCTCGGTTTGGGGCTTCCTTGGCCAGCACTGGTGGAGTGTTGAGACCAGTGGGCCCCGCGACCCCAACATAGACACACATAGGCTCTGCAGGGCTTGCACACTGGGTACCCACCACTCCAGAGACTCTGCAAGAAAGGCCAGGTGGCTGAGGCTGGCGCTGTGGCTGCAGCACCCCCTCCACCTCCACCAGTGGGGATGTGTACAGGATGGAGCAGGGCCTTTCCTGCCTACAGCATGGGGGTTCATACTGCATCCCTAGGTGGTATGGACGGCACACATGTGACACCCGACATATGCAAGACACACACAGCTGTGGAGGCGCTGGGAAGTCCAGCTGTCACTGGTCACGGCACATAAATGGACAGGGTGGTGGAGAGGTGGTCGAGAGGCTTCAGGCCACAAAGAGCCAAGGTGACATCTGGGCAGGAAGAACCCAGACCAGTGCACCCCTATGGGCTTCCTGTACATTTCCCAGGAGCCCTAAGCAGGACCTGCCACCTCACCTTTTTCCCAGAACCCCTGTGGGTGTGCAGGCCGCTGGCTAGCCGGCCCCGCCCCTGCTGTGGTATTCCAGGGCTCTGACCGGTGGCAAGTATGCCTCCCAGTATGACAGGTGAGAACTGAGGGATGGGCTTCTCCTTGGCCTTGATCCGTGTTTGGAGCCCACGTGTCTGGTCCGCCCAACACTGGCCTGCAGAGTGGCCGGACCAGGGCCCTCAGCAGGCTGCTGTGAACGGGGCCCAGTGAGCAAGGGTGGCCATTGTCTCTTGGCTTCCTATGGCCTACTGGGTGGCCCTTGGGTACTCTGGGCAGGGAGAGTGGCATAGTCCCCCAAGTCTGCGTGGTGTCAGGGTTGGCAGGCTGTGGACAGGGGGCCTAGCGTCACCTGGCCTGTGAGCCGCCCTACTTGCAGAAGGCAGAGTATTCGACTCTAACCTCAGGCATGCACCTTTGTATGTGAGCGCCATGGGGCTGGGGCCACACGTAGAGTCCCCTTCTCTTCCTGCATGTTCCAGGGACTCAGGCCCAAATCCCTAAGCCTGTCCCTGTGCCAGGGAGGATGCAGCGGAAGCTCCCTGGGAGGCCCTGCCAGTGGGCCCCAGGCCCCCAGAGGCTTTTTGGAGGTGCTGCAGATGCTTGGGCCCATTCCCGCACCCCCACCCCACCCCAGCAAGAACAGCGTTCTTCCTGCCCTGCAGCGTCTGGAGCCCTTCAGCCTTGTTCCTTTTCCACCAGCCCATCAGCACCTGTGCCCGGGTGCCCTGACGGGGATTGGTGCCCCATCTGTGGGGCAGGGCCTGTCCTGTCTGGGGGTCTGCCCCAGCCCCTCACTTCAGGGCAAGTGGGGAGCTGTGGGCCCTGCTGGTATCTGGGAAGACACCCAGGCTACTGAGGCTGTGGGGTGGACATGGGGCAGTAGGGAGAGGTGTGAGTGGGCAGAGCCTGAGAAGGGCCTCAGGAGGGTGAGGCAAGGCCACAGGAGAGGAGTAGTTGTGAGGGGGCCGTGCAGGCTGAAGGGTTGGGGAGACTCCTGCAGGGAGGTTCCTTCATACAGATTCCCAGGTCCCAGCCCCCCCCAAGGGGGAGGCTGCGTTTGTGAATGGCTCCCCAGGTGGGCCCTGAACACCCTGGCAGCCCAGGGCTCAGCAGGAATGGGAGACGCCTGTGCTACCTTGCTGCCCAGCAGGGCCAGGGCACCAACAGGAAGTTTGGAAGAGATCTGAGAATGCTGGCAGGGGTCTGGCCGGGACTGCGGGGGAGGCAGCCCTCCTGGTCTGGGATCCTCCAGGCCTCAGCTGTGGATTCCACTTGTCCAGTCTTAGAAGCATGTTGGGGGCACCTTCTACTCATGGTCATGGGAGGGCCTCTGCACGAAGAGCAATTCAGTTTGCCTTGACTATCTCATTCCGGCAGAGGGGAGGGTGGATACGACGTGCAGGGCTGACTTGGGACGAAGGTGATGTGGCTGTGGTTGGAAGAGGGTCCCCCTCCCAGACTCTGAGCTGCCCTCACTGGAGAGGTCAGAATTCCTGGAAGGAAGATGAGACGGGTGCAGCAGGATAGTGGCAGGAGGGCCCCGGGTGTGCAGGCTTCTCAGTGGGGCTGGGGCCTGGCCTCGGCATCTAGGGGTGAGGAAAGCCTCAACAGCTTTGGTGCAGATGAGAGGTTTGCCGGGGGGGTGACCTTAGGTGGGTAGCAGCTGCTGTGAGCGCACCCATTCCACAGCACTCACCGCAGCCCCCGGCCTCCAGGCAGCGGCCCCAGCCATCCTTCCCTTGGCCGCTCCTGTCCCCTGCCAGCAGGGTCCTCTGGCCTGGCCTCCACTCCCTGCTTGCTGTCCCCTGGCTTGGAGCCTGTCTCTTGCAGGGTCCCTCCAGGCGAGGCTGCCTGGGCTCAGGGTGGCTCTGGGCCCGGGCGTGCTGCCTGCTAGTGCGTAGCCATCAGGAGGCTCTGGCTTCCCAGGTTCCACATCCCAGCCTCCTTTTCCTGACCATGACCAAATCAACTGCTGGGAATTTGGACTGAGTGTGTCCCTACTGTGCCTCAGTTTCCCTATGGAAGCTAAGATAATGCAATGATGGGCTATTCCCTTTTTTCGCCTTGGCGTTAGCTGGGAGATGCCCCTATCGGCTACCTGACACAGGGCCTCCTGCCTGGGTTGGGGTCTGGCCCTGATGACACAGTGCAGGCCACACCCTGGGTCACCTGCCCTGGATGTCTCCCTGCCCAGGCAGGCAAGTGAAGGCTAAGGGGTGGCTATTGGCCCTCGAACCCAGCAAGATAATCTGGCCATTGTCCCCTCCCAGAGCCTCCTGCCTTCTCTCAGGCTGCTGCCCAGTGGCTAGGGCCCAGCACCCTAGCTGGGTGGCCGTCTGCTGATGGGCCATCCTGCCCACAGATCTGGTGGCTGGACCCAGAGCTGACCTATGGCTGCGCCAAGCCCTTCGTCTTCACCCAGGGCCACTCCGTGTGCAACCGCTCCTTCTTCCCGTGCTTCGACACACCTGCCGTGAAGTGCACCTACTCTGCCGTCGTCAAGGTCAGGGGCCGCCAGCTGCCGTCACCTTGCTCCCAGGACAGCCCAGTGGCCTGGCCACGCCGCCTCCCCCTTGCTCCTACCTGCCTGGGCTGTGGCCCCAGCTGCCAGCAGGCCACAGTGCTAGCAGGAGCCCACCCTCCCTACTCTATGGGAGGAGCCGCTTTGCAGGGAACGGGGGAAGCCGGGCTGCCTCCAACGGGCCTGAGGGGTCGGGGTCCTGGACCCGGGGTGAGTCCCCAGTGGCACTGCAGGGTCCCCAGACAAGGGGTCTCCCGACAGAGCTGCTGATCCCCAGTGGGGTCTGTGGGTCACCGGGCCCGAACTTGGCAGCACCCTCTGTGCTGGGACGAGGTTTGCAGGCTGGGAGCTAGGGGTTCCGAATGGAGGGTGGCAGTTCTTCGGAGAGAAGTTCTCTGACAGAAACGTTCCCTGATGGGGATGTAGGGTTTCCTGCTACGAATATGGGGCTGCCTGACAGGCTCCCCGGCCGGGGCTATGGGTGTGCTGACGGTGGGGCCACCCGGTCTCAGTCCGGCCTCCTTACAGGCGCCATCGGGGGTGCAGGTGCTGATGAGTGCCACCCGGAGTGCATACATGGAGGAAGAAGGCGTCTTCCACTTCCACATGGAGCACCCCGTGCCCGCCTACCTCGTGGCCCTGGTGGCCGGAGACCTCAAGCCGGCAGACATCGGGCCCAGGTAGGGCCTCCTGCTGGGGCCTTCTGGGGCTGCGCAGGCCTCGGGGAGAGCCCCACCGGGGGTCTGTGGCCTGTGTCCACGGCTGCCCTGCTGAGGACCCCCACTGGCCTCTGGGTGCTCTGGGCCAGCCCTGCCCCTGCCTTGGTGCCACCGCCAGGGCCCTGCCACCCATGTGCCCTCAGACCCGGCAGCCTGGCCCACCCAGTGCCTGCCCTGCAAACTGGTCCTTCCTGCCAAGGCCCCCGCACAGCCTGGCACCCTCATACCTTCGTTGGTCCCTTCAGCCCAGAGATAAAATGAGCTACGTGGCCCCTGGAATGCAGCTCTGCCCTGCTGTGGGAAGGGCCAGGGTGGCTGCCCATCCAGTGAGGCAGGGCGGGCTGTAGGCTGGGGTGGTCAGCCAGGCTGGGTGAGGTGTGGGTGTTACTGGAGCCCCAGGGCAGTGGGAGAGCCTGGTGGGGTGAGCGGGGCTGGGGCTGCTCGGCCTCAGCTCACCCTCTCTGCATGCACCAGGAGCCGCGTGTGGGCCGAGCCATGCCTCCTGCCCACGGCCACCAGCAAGCTGTCGGGCGCAGTGGAGCAGTGGCTGAGTGCAGCTGAGCGGCTGTATGGGCCCTACATGTGGGGCAGGTAGGCCCCGGGGACCTGTGGACCTGGCTGGCTGGAAGGAGGAGTCAGAGGGGGAGCCCCTCGTCTGACCCCTGGGGTGTCCTGTCCCCATCTCCTGGGGAGGAAGCGGAGCTCACCGCAGGGGCTGGGCTGATCCCTGCTGGGTGGAAGGTGGGGTGCGGGTGTGCAGGGTGGGAGTCTGAGCCCCGAGGTCTGCCACCCTCACCGCCCTCCCGGTGCAGGTACGACATTGTCTTCCTGCCACCCTCCTTCCCCATCGTGGCCATGGAGAACCCCTGCCTCACCTTCATCATCTCCTCCATCCTGGAGAGCGATGAGTTCCTGGTCATCGATGTCATCCACGAGGTGGCCCACAGTTGGTTCGGCAACGCTGTCACCAACGCCACGTGGGAAGAGATGTGGCTGAGCGAGGGCCTGGCCACCTATGCCCAGCGCCGTATCACCACCGAGACCTACGGTGCGGCCAGGGCCGGGGAGGGCAGCCACGGGGGGCCCTGGGCACTGGTCCAGGGGCAGAGAGCCTAGCCTGGCCCCCCTGCCATGCTGCAGGTGCCCACACCTCCTGCTTCCCCCGACGACCCCTACACCCCCTCACCTCTCCTCTGTCTCCGGACCCCATCCAGGTGCTGCCTTCACCTGCCTGGAGACTGCCTTCCGCCTGGACGCCCTGCACCGGCAGATGAAGCTTCTGGGAGAGGACAGCCCGGTCAGCAAACTGCAGGTCAAGCTGGAGCCAGGTACCTGCTCCTCAGGACCCGCTCCCACAACTGGGGATGTCACCCCTCAAGGCCTCCTTGCCTGCCCTTCGTGTGTTCTGGCTGTGGCTTCTCTGTCCTGCACTGTGCCTGGACCCCTGCCAAGGCCAAGCTGGGAGCCCCTGGCCAGGGCAAGGCCTCCCCAGGCTCCCACAGCCACCGCCGCTTCCCTGGCTCTGAGCAGCAGTCACAGTGGTGTGTGAGTCCTCAGTCTTCCCCGAGGCCCTGCCGCTGCACGCCCAGGGCATCAGTACACATCTGGACATGTGAGGGACAGTGGCGCTTGGCCCTTGCTGCTCCTCGGAGCCTGACCACTGCCCCTCCCTATTCCACGGGACACTGGTGGTTTCGGACGCCAGCCCAGGTGGGTGTTCACCTTGCAGGAGTGAATCCCAGCCACCTGATGAACCTGTTCACCTACGAGAAGGGCTACTGCTTCGTGTACTACCTGTCCCAGCTCTGCGGAGACCCACAGCGCTTTGATGACTTTCTCCGAGTGAGCAGCCCCCTGCCCGGGACGGCCCTGCTGCCATCTGCCCCCAGCCCCTCCCCGGCTCACAGGGCTGCCTGCTCTTGCGGCAGTTGGGGTGGAACTGGCAGGGGCCTGTGAGCCTGGCTGGGACCTAGTCTGCCTTTCTTTGTGGGGAGTGCCTGGGTTGCCACCTCCCCTTCTGCCACCCTGTTTGCTCCCTTGGCAGGGCCTGCGTGCCAAGTGCTGGCTCCGCAGTGCCCACTAGCTGCCCCTGTGCCCAGCACGTACCTTGGCGCACGCCCTGCAGTGCCCTGCAGGCCTCTGGTGGGGCTGCCTGTGCCCCACCCTTCCAGGCCTGCTGAGGCCCCACCTCTGCCACACAGGCCTATGTGGAGAAGTACAAGTTCACCAGCGTGGTGGCCCAGGACCTGCTGGACTCCTTCCTGAGCTTCTTCCCGGAGCTGAAGGAGCAGAGCGTGGACTGCCGGGCAGGTGAGGCTGACCCCCAACCCTGCAGCCAGGGAGCCGTGGGTATGATGGCAGGCGGGGCCTCTGCTGCCTGAGGGGCCACTCCACCTGGAGGAAAGCCCTGTCAGTTCACTGTCTGTCCTTCAGCCAACCCTTGCTGGACCATGTGGGCCCCAGGCTGGTATGCTATGAGAACAGGGCTGGGGTTGGGGGCCTCCCTGGGGCCGGTGGCACAGGCTAAGCAGGCCGAGTCAGGCACTCCCAGGAAGCGGGCCATGGAAACCAGGTGTGCAAAGGGCCTGGTGCAGGAAGGGCGGGTGACGGGGGTGTCCTGGAGCTGGAGAACAGCAGCCAGCCCTGTTTATGTGTCACTTGTAAAGGTGTCCCTGAGGGTCTGAGGGCTTGGGGCCCAGGAAGGCACTGCAGGGTTCAGACATTGAGGGAGAGGCCAGAATTGCTGGAGGGTGGTGAGGTGCCACTGGGAGGGCTGTGCATGGTGACACCAAGTTTTGGAAGGTACAGCAAGTGCATCAAGAGCTTTTTGTGGGTAGGGAATGGGCACTGCCCTTTAAGAGCAGGAATATCATCTTAAGAGCCTGTTGCCCCCATCCCGCCCCTGCTGGTTCATGGCGCAGGTGGCCTCCACCAGCACTGAGGTTGGGTTTAGACTACTTCATTGTCTTCCACCCAGGAGAGGCGTGGAGTGGGTGCGAGTCCCTTGGTCACCAACCCAAGTCTCTGCTTCCCTGTACCCCTTCACAGAAGCCCCTTCAGTGGCTTCAAGTGGCAGTGCTGGCTGGAGCTGACTCCGCCTTCCTGAACAGCCCACGTCCCTGGAACAGGCCACCTGCCTGGAACACACTCAGGGTCTGGGGTCTCCTGGGCAGATTGCTCAGGCAGCCCCTTCCTAGCCTGGGCAGGGACCCCAGGGTCACTTCTCCCCTCTAGGGCTGGAATTCGAGCGCTGGCTCAATGCCACAGGCCCGCCGCTGGCTGAGCCGGACCTGTCTCAGGGATCCAGCCTGACCCGGCCCGTGGAGGCCCTTTTCCAGCTGTGGACCGCAGAACCTCTGGACCAGGCAGCTGCCTCGGCCAGCGCCATTGACATCTCCAAGTGGAGGACCTTCCAGACAGCACTCTTCCTGGACCGGCTCCTGGATGGGTCCCCGCTGCCGCAGGGTGAGTCCCTGCAGCTGATGGGGGCGGCCCAGGGGCTGGGGTGCAACAGCGGCCCAGCCCTGACCTGCCCCCTGCGCTGCAGAGGTGGTGATGAGCCTGTCCAAGTGCTACTCCTCCCTGCTGGACTCGATGAACGCTGAGATCCGCATCCGCTGGCTGCAGATTGTGGTCCGCAACGACTACTATCCTGACCTCCACAGGGTGCGGCGCTTCCTGGAGAGCCAGGTGCGGTCACCTGCCCAGGGGGCCAGCCTGGAACGGCCTAGCCGTGCGGACTGGGAGTCCCACCCGACTCCCTAGTCTGAGCCCTTGGGGCAGGCCAGGCACATTCTGGAGAATGGGGCGGGGAAGACGTAGGGGTCTGTTGGGAGTGGGGGCATGCACCGGGTGCAGGTACCAGAGGGCAGCCTGGACTCCACCAGTTCTTGGAGAAACTGTGGAAGGGACCAGCTGGGAGCAGGAGTTTAGGGTCCAGGCCACCACAGCCTGCTGGGCCCTGGGCCTTCAGCGTCCTGGTCTGGGCAGAGGGGACGTCCCAGCTCCTCAGAGGGAGGCCAGAGCCCTCAGGCCCGTGGGCCCTGGCTGCCCTGCTCCCTGTATGTGCTCCCTCCAGCCCAGGTTCCCTGGAGATGGGGCCTCCATGGTTGGCCTGGAAGGGCAGGGTGGAGGTGGGAGGCTAATGGTAGGCCTCCTGGCCACCGGAGTCCAGGCCACAGCCCTAATGATGAAGCTGGGAAGCCAGGGGCAGGAGGGCCGCCTGGCCGGGCTGGCAGGGTGGGCTGGCTCGAGGGGCCTGGGGAGCCCACCAGTGTGACCGAGTGCCCCTCCTGCAGATGTCACGCATGTACACCATCCCGCTGTACGAGGACCTCTGCACCGGTGCCCTCAAGTCCTTCGCGCTGGAGGTCTTCTACCAGACGCAGGGCCGGCTGCACCCCAACCTGCGCAGAGCCATCCAGCAGATCCTGTCCCAGGGCCTGGGCTCCAGCACAGAGCCCGCCTCAGAGCCCAGCACGGAGCTGGGCAAGGCTGAAGCAGACACAGACTCGGACGCACAGGCCCTGCTGCTTGGGGACGAGGCCCCCAGCAGTGCCATCTCTCTCAGGGACGTCAATGTGTCTGCCTAGCCCTGTTGGCGGGCTGACCCTCGACCTCCCAGACACCACAATTGTGCCTTCTGTGGGCCAGGCCTGCCATGACTGCGTCTCGGCTCTGGCCATGAGCTCTGCCCAGGCCCACAAGCCCCTCCCCTGGGCTCTCCCAGGCAGGGAGAATGGGGAGAGGGACCTCCTTGTGTCTGGCAGAGACCTGTGGACCTGGCCTCCCCACTCCCAGCTCTCTTGCACTGCAGGCCCTGGGGCCAGCCCGCACACACCATGCCTCCTGTCTCAACACTGACAGCTGTGCCTAGCCCCGGATGCCAGCACCTGCCAGGTGCCGCCCCGGGGCAAGGGCCCCAGCAGCCCTATGGTGACCGCCACACTGTGCCTTAATGTCTGCCGGGGGCCCAGGCTGTGCTGTCCCTGCAGCACGCCTCCTTGCAGGGATCTGAGCCACCCTCCCCGCACAGCCCTGCACCCCGCCCCTGGGGTTGGCAGCCTCAGTTGGCCCCTGGCAGAGGAACAAGGACACAGACATTCCCTCAGTGTGGGGGGCAGGGGACACAGGGAGAGGATGGTTGTCCCTGGGGAGGGCCCTCTGGCCCCAGGCAACCTTAGCCCCTCAGAACAGGGAGTCCCAGGACCCAGGGAGAGTGTGGGGACAGGACAGCCTGTCTCTTGTAGCTTCCTGGGGTGGGAGGCACAGGGGCAAAGCAATACCCCAGGGAAAGTGGGAGGTGGTGCTGGTGCTCTCTCCAGGCCCACCATGCTGGGAGAGGCGGCCAGAGCCTGGGGCCTCCAGCCTGGGACTGCTGTGATGGGGTATCACGGTGATGGTCCCATTAAACTTCCACTCTGCAAACCTGATCTCCTGCGCTCTTTCTCGCGACTCTTGTCCTCTGCATCTTCCTGGCTGTGTAGGGTGGGCTGGCCTGCCGGGACTTGGGGCCTGGAGCTGGTCAGGAGCTGGGTGTGGCCCCCTCCTCTGATACATAAGCCCGAGAGCAGGCTCCCCGAATCCTGCCCAGCCCCTTGGCTGGACCCCCTGGGCCTGAGTAGCCTCTGGATGTCACAGGAAAGCCATGTGTCACCTTCACTCTGGGCCTTCACCTGTGGCTTAAGCCAAATCCCGGCCTCAGTGGTGATCCTTTCCCAAGATGGGTACAAGGTGACAGGCATGTTTTGTTTTGGAGAACTGAGATTTCCATTTTCCCAGGCGATAGGTGTCGCTGCCCTTCACAGTCCCCAAGGATGTGGCGCCACCATCTCAGTGCCACGCACACCTGGCCAACATGCCGTGGCCCAGAAGCAGCACGTCTCTTCTCCCAACCCGCTGGCCAGGCCCAGTCACAGCCCCACTCCACACATGGCAGCCAGGAAGTGGGGAGGGCAGGAGGTGCTGGGCAAATAACCCTGATACCATCACTGTCCAGTCCCCAGTCACCAAATGTCCCACTCACCCTCCTTCCTGTTCTGGATGCCCCGCCCCTCCCCTCCCCTCCCAAGGACATATGAGTCCCCTCCAGTGGCGGTGGCAACTCTGGTCTAGGGTCTGGGGCCGTCTCTACATGTGTTGCTTCATGTACCTTCTTCACATCAGGTCTGGGGGAGGCGCCACCCCATCCAGAGACCTAGGAACTAGAAGACTGCCACTGCCCCTCACACCCAGGGATAGGATGACTGCAGTAACCCCTGTGAAAGCGGGTATGGAGGGCACCTGGCAGCCCCTGCTGCATGGCCATCTAAAGTCTTGCCAGGCAGGCACAGCTAGGGCCCCTGCCTGGGAGTGGACACCCCACTCCCCCAAGTCATGTTCTCTGTGGCCTGGGGCTCCAGCCTTGGGAGGACCCCTTTCCTGTTTCTTAACCATGCTTGATGGTGTCCTCAAAGGAGCCCTGCTCAGTGGCAGAACTGCTTTCTCAGCCTCTTCCCCGCCAAGGTTGTTTTCAAGTCCCAGCAGTCACAGACTTTCATCCTGGGCTCTTCTTTCTTTTGCAATTCAGCTCTCGAAATGACTCTGTGGTCTGCGGGTGACTCCACTCCACGTGCCTACAGCCACGCCCACAGCGCCACCTCCGGACGCTGCTGAGCTGCGCACCTGTGCCTGACACCTGGCTTTGGGAAACTCAGCAGCAGTGCCCAGCGTCATGACCCTGGGGGCAGGAGGGCATCTGGATCCAGGATGGCACCCTCACCACAATCTGTCTTGGCTCTGTGCCCGCCCGTGGGGTACACAGGAGGGCTCTTTCAGCCCTAAGTCCTTGTGTTCCTGACCTTTGTTCCTCTTCCACCCAGCTTGCAAGTGCAGAATTTTTTTTTAGCTCGTCGCTTCCCTGCAGTCCCTTGTCCAATGCAGCCTCCGGCCGATACTCAGGCCAGTGTTGTTTCCCAACCTCTCCACTAGATACGCACACTTAGCTCACGGTCTGCCTCATGAGTCATCCCAGTTGAGCTTTACCAAATGTTTTGCCCCACCTAACAGCCTGCCCACATTCCAAATCCTGGCAGGTCGCACGTTTTATTAGCACAGCACCCCTCTCCTAGCGGCCAGCTTCTCTATTAGGCCACGTTATGCTCCAGCCACACAACTATGAAGCGCAGACGTCTCACACAACAAAGCTTTCTCATGCTGCAGGCCCACCTCAGGCTGGCAGGGGAAGGGGGGATTCTCTTCAATGTGACCACTCTCGGACCCGTACCGATGAACAGAGATCTCAAATGTTTCCAGGCACCTTGCCAGGGATAAGAGAGCTGTTGAGGGGCTCACACTGGCAGTGGAAGTTCTAAGGGGCCTACAACCACAGGGGCTGCAACCCCACCATATGCACAAAAGCGGGGGCAGATGGCAAACAGCACTAATGACAACGACGGAGCTGAGGCCAGAATGTGAGAGAGATCTGCATTTTGGGGATTAGGGCCTAGTCAGGCAGGTAGGAGATGATGTTCAAAAAGGGAAAAGAAGCGTGATGAAAGACTGGTTTCTACAGAGATAGATTAGAAAGCTGAAGCCTGAAAAAACAGTGAAGGAGACCCATGCAAATTTCTAGGCCCTGGAGGTCCAAATAAGGTTTTCTAAGTCCCTCAGGCCATGACAGGTTCAGTCCAGACTTGTCTCCCAGAGTGTTTCTCTGCCATCCCTACTCTAACTGGGACTTATTGGTGGTGTTTCTCTCCTAAGGCCAGATGCTTTGCACAGAACATTAGGAAACTCCAGATGTAAAGGTAAGGCACAACTGAGAATCACCTGCCCAGGGCAGCAACACAGTGTGAAGGAAAACAGGCCACTCAACCCAAACTTACACCTGAGACAGAGGCAACAGAAAAATCAGAAAAGGACTTTAGAACACATATAATCAAAATCTCAGACCTAAAGACGACTTTTGAAATAAACCATAACATATGAAGAGGCACTTATGAAACAAGAACAGGTAGTTTATAAAAAAGAACCAGTCAGAGACCCTGGAAATTTTTTAAAAAGCAATTACTAAAATAAAAAATGAAAACTCAGTCAACAGTGCTCTGGTTTGGATGTTCCCTCCAAAATTCATGTTGAAATTTAATTGCCATTGTGATGGTATTAAGAGGTGGAACCATTAAGAAGCGATTAGGCCATGAGGGTTCTGCCTTGATGAATGCATTAATGTCATTATCAGAGTGGGTTCGTTATCATGAGCATGTGTTGTAAAAATGAATTTAGCTGTCTCTTGCTGTGTGTCCTCTTGCTCTTCCATCTTCCCCCATGGAATGGTGTGGCAAGAAGGCCTTTACCAGATGCCAGCCCCTCGCCCTTGGACTTCCCAGCCTCCAGAACTATAAGAAATACATTTATTTTCATTATAAATTACCCAGTCCGTGGTATTGTTATAGGAACAGAAAATGCACTTGGGGATATTAGGTCGTGGAGAGTAAAAAAAAAAAAAAAATAAGTTCCAGTCAATCAAGGCATCCTCATTCTCAACATTGCCTGCATTCTACCCTCCAGGGGTCCCCTCCATGGCCCTTCATCTGCCCCCACCCCGCAACTCAGCCTCATTTCTTCAGCCATTTTCTCCCCCACATCTCTCTTCCCTTCCCATCAGACCTTCACATCCTGCAAGCTAAGCCACCTCAACTAGCCATGCCCTCAGGGCTCTTACTCAAGCACCCACCAAGATGTTTTTCCTAACAAAGACTGTCCTTTTACTAAGAGGAATCTGATGTCAGCTGTTAGTCTCCGCTCCCCCCCACCCCCCATCTCTCGGAATAATCACCTGGTCAGAGAGAAGCCCAAGAGCACGGACATGCCAGCTAAAGGTGGAGCTTGGCAAGGGTGTCCACAGAGTGGCCAGGCCCAGCACAGATCCGAGGGGCTTTTAACAGGCACAGGCAGAGTGCTAAGGAGATCACTACCACCCACCCACCCATCCAGCCAGGCCCAGATAAACCTCTCCTTGTTCCAAATGAATGAGCAAACAGAAAAATTCCAGTGTGGAGGGAATACAACACCCACAATGCAGAAAATAGCCCACATCCAAAATATGCTCCCCTCAGATAACTAGTCAACTGTGCAAACTATCTGCATAATCCTCACAATAAAGTTGAAGAACACAAAACCACTTCATACAAAGAGTTAGGAAAAAAATTCCTATAAGGAGGAGCATGTACCATATTTATTCCCACTCTGTTTACTAAGCATGTATTATAATGAGAAAAAAAGCTCAATCTAAAATATTGCCAACAAAGAATCCATTCCTCACGTTGCAGTAAATGAAGCGGGCTGAGGTCAGCCTCCTTTTATGCTGGCTGCCCCAACTCTAAGGAGTTGATGCGTCCTACTGTTAACAGCGGAGGATGTCCAGGTTCTTGGCGTCTTAAATAAAGAATTGGACAAAACACACACAGAGAGCAAAGAAGGAATGAAGGGATTTATTGAAAATGAAAGTACACTCCACAGTGTGGGGGTGAGCCTGAGCATAGGAGCACAAAAGCCCTGTTACAGAACTTCAGAGAGTTTAAATACCCTCTAGGTGATTCCATTGGTTACTTGGGGCACACGTTATGTAGATGGAGAGCCTGTTACAGAACTTCTGAGAGTTTAAACACCCTCTAGGTGATTCCATTGGTTACTTGGGGCACACGTTATGCAGATGGAGAGGATGAAGTTACAAAGTCATTTGCTTGGCCTATGTCCTATGGAGAAGGTATTTCCTATCATAACTGAAGTGTGAATCAGCCTATGTTCCCTGCACTCAGACCCTATTTTCCTGCCTCCTACCTACAGCTGTGTGGTCCTGAGCTGTCACCTCTTCCCTTTGAAGCTCAGGTTCCTCATCGGTAAAATGAGGCAGAAATACTCACTGCTGAGATGTGTGGGGATCGCACAAACTCAGTGTCTCAACATGTTGTACGTGTGTTTTGGCCCTCTGAGCCCTTGAGGGCTGCCCCAGGTGGAACCCTCTTCACTTTTCTTGGAGAACTGACCATGGGTTGCAGCAAAGCCTAAAATGGTTCCTGTTTCAGCCCTGCCTGGGAAGATTCAGCTGGAACCTTTAGGCTAGGAAAAGGTTCGAGAAGGACCCTACCCCCACTGTGCCCGACCTGAGACAAATCCACAGAAAAGCAATCCTTGCTAACTCTGGGCAGTATGTGGACAAGATACTAATTTTTAATCTCTGCATCTCCATGAGAATGCAAGGACCAGCACAGTGAAGTGCCCAATGATTGCCCCCTGAACAAACGGAGATGTCAAGTTCAGAAAAAATCCTGGCTGAGGAAGACAGGGAACATTCCCTTGAAAAACAAGGGCAGTCATCCAGACAGAGCAAGAGGAGTGGCAGGATAAGAGGAGGCAGACAGGGTTGATTCCACAGGGCTCCTCCTCAACACCCATGAACCTGAGAAGTGGTCAGATGCGTTTCAGGCCACTGGCCAGCAGTGGGGTCATGGCGGGAACTAGTCCCACCTGAAGGACTCTCATCTCCCTACAATCCCCAAACGCTGAGGCATGGGGATGCTCTTCCCTCCTTGAAGTGAGGGCCCCGAGGCTCTCATACTTTAATTACAGTACTTCAGACCAAGAGCCTGCAGTTGAGGAGGCCAGGGTCATGAATCAGCTGCCCCCCAAACTCCTTATCTCACCAACCCAAGCTGCTTACAACCCCTCCAGATATCCCAGGAGCCGGGGGGAATGTCATTCTTCAGGGCTGAGGGAACATCTTTGCACCCTGGGGTAGCAGATGGGACCACAGGGCATGTGGAATGTCTTAGTCTGTTTCACACTGCTATACCTGAGGTTGGGTTTGTTTTATTTATTTATTTATTTATTTAGAGACGGAGTCTCGCTCTGTCGCCCAGGCTGGAGTGCAGTGGTGCGATCTGGGCTCACTGCAAGCTCCGCCTCCCGGGTTCACACCATTCTCCTGCCTCAATCAGCCTCCCGAGTGAGGGGCTGGGACTACAGGTGCCCGCCACCACACCTGGCTAATTTTTTTGTTTCTTTTTTTTTTTCAGTAGAGATGGGGTTTCACCGTGTTAGCCAAGATGGTCTCGATCTGACCTCGTGATCCGCCCGCCTCGGCCTCCCAAAGTGCTGGGATTACAGGCGTGAGCCACTGCGCCCAGCCAAGGTGGGGGAATTTATTTTTTTAAAAAAGCAAAACAGGTTTATTTGGCTCAAAATTCTGGTGGAAATTTCAAGATTGGGCAGCTGCACCTGGTGAGGGCCTCATGCTACTTCAACTCAAGGCAGCAAGTAGAAGGGGAGAGGCATGCACAAAGAGATTACGTGGCCATATGGCGAGAGAGGAAGCAAGAGACAACCGCAGGAAGGCTGACTCTCTAACCAGCTCTCATGGGAACTCACCCCTCCACAAAGGACACTAACCTATCCATGAGGGATCCACCCCTATTACCCAAACTCCTCCTACTAGGCACCACCTCCTAACACTGCCTCATTGAGGCTCAAATTTCAATACCATTTTGGGCAGGGGCAGACCACATGCAAATCACAGCATGGGGTAATAGTGGGGGCAGGTTGACACAGGGCTGCTGCCTACCCAGCACCAGCTGTCTCTTGGCCCCTTCCAGATCCTGGCAATCTGGCTACAGGCATGGGCCCAGCCTTGGACACAGATGTGGCCACAGGAAGCTGTTAGCTCTCCAGATCTGATCAGCCTGGGAGAGCGGCACAACAAAGGCTCCCAAAGGAGAGTCGGGATCCTCAGCTAGCCTCAGCTCTGCTACCCACCCATATGTGCCCAGAACAGGAAAGATACGTGTTTCTTACTCCTCCGGGACTCCTAGGTGAAGCTGAGACCAGGCTCTTCTTGAGTCCTCTCAGCTATGGTGCAACCACCAGCCTAGCAAGGAATCAGAAACATCTTCCGGAAGAGTCAGCACCATAGAGGGTGCTGAATGGGCAATGAAGCATCCCGGAGATGAAACATCTGGGCAGTGAGGCATCCCACAGGTGTTGGGCTATGCAGTCACTCCCTTTCTCAGACCGAGGCAAGTACATAAGCACTCTGGGCCCCTAATCAGGGGCCTGGGGCCAGGTGGGATGAAAACAGCAGTGTCCTGCCACCTGAACAACTGCTACTCACGCAGGCCCCACCTGGCCTCTCAGAGGGAGGAACCTGGGACTCCTGAACCAGATTCAGTTTCTCCTTCAACAGCCGGGACTTTTCGCTCCTGACTGCAGAAAAACAGCTTCAATGTGACCATCCTTGATAGTCCGAGGCTGAGTAAAATGGCCTGAGGAGGCAAAATCTGAAAAGCTCTATTAGGTGGCAAACTGCTGTCACTAGAAGAGTTGAGGCCCCCTTCTCCTCCCCTGCCTGACCGCCTTCATTCCTGGGAATGGAACAGGTTCTTGGGGCAAGGGTGAATCCTCGAGCAGGTCCCAGGATCACTATCCTCACCTCCCCGCGGCACTGAATGGCTATAGCTGTAAATGTGCGTCCACGGGGTCACTGTCCAGCCACCAGGACCAGGTGCCTGGCCATCTGGGGAATCGGAAAACGCTCAGCGGGATGCTCTGGCCACCTCCCCTGCCCCCAGTTAAGATGTAGAGCGTTCAACCTAAAATGCCTAGAAACAAAGCCCAGGCCCGGGAAGGTCGAACGAGTGCGACGCCGCTCCCTCAAGCTCTTCCCTCGGAGCCGTCTCATTTCCCAAAACTCCCAAACACATCACAGAGAGAGGTGTTGAGCCAGGTGGTCACTCCCTTTTCCAGAACCACAGCAAGAAGTTGAGCCTGCTGGGCTCCTAACGAAGGCCCTGGGGCCCGGTGGGATGAAAAGCCCTATTAGGTAGCAAACAGCTGTCACTAGAGGGGTTGAGGCCCCCTTCTCCCCTGCCTGACGACGACGGCGGCAGGAACTCGACCGGCGCCGGACAGCTCGCAACTTGCCTTACCAAGCGTAAATCTCGGTTCCTCCCAACTACCCGCGGCCACGGCCTCCGCAGCAGAGCGCCGGAAGCAGAGACGCGTTTCGGGAGGAAGGTGCATGCTGGGAGCGGCGGCGCATGCTGGGAGCTGTAGTCTGCGACGCAACTCGGCCGAGGTGGCTCCCTGGTCCCTGAAGCTCCCAGAGCCCGCGTGTTCAGGCGGTCCCGACACCCCGGCCCGAGCCTCACCGGCTGGAGGACTGAACGCCTGCCGGCCCTCCGGGTATGAGCGGAGGCCGGGATAGCCCTGGGCTCCGCCGCCCCCGGAAGGAAAAAATACAGTGCGGTCCGCCGCCCGACCACGAAAGAGCGGAGCTCGGGAGCCCCGCCCCCTGGGCCTCCGACGTCCGTGGCGCTTTCCGTCGCGCGAGTGCGATTGGGCCGCCTGTCACGTGACCCGAGACCCCACGCCCGGTTGGCTGCCGCCTGGTTACCAATGGGAGACTAGCGGGCCGGCGTACTGGCCTGGTCCAGCACCTGCGGGGCCCTCGGGCTTGGAGGGCTGGGCCGGGCGGGGAACGGGCGGGGCGGGCCGGAGGCGGCGGCGGCTGACTCGCCTTCTCTCCGGGGCTGCGACCCCGAGGCAACCGGCTGCAGATGGGAGCCCGCGGAGCCGAGGATGCGGGCGGGCCGGGGCGCGACGCCGGCGAGGGAGCTGTTCCGGGACGCCGCCTTCCCCGCCGCGGACTCCTCGCTCTTCTGCGACTTGTCTACGCCGCTGGCCCAGTTCCGCGAGGACATCACGTGGAGGCGGCCCCAGGTGGGGCCGTGTGGGGTGCGGTGGGCGCCGTTTCTGGTTTCTGAGATCTCCGCTCCTCGCAGGGAGCGGGGCGGGGTGGGCGGCCAGGGTAGCTCCGAACGCAGGGTCCGCCGTTGTTCTCCTCAGAAGTGGGCGCCCGGCCCCCTCTTTTCGTACCTCCTTCATACCCCCGCCCAGAACGAGCAGGACTCGGCGCTACCCTAAGGACGCTAAACTAGGTCGTGGCCTCCGCCTGCGAGAGCTCCAATCCAGGAGGCTCAGAGCGCTGCGAGAGGCGTTTTAACAGAGCCCCAAACCCCGCCCCACCTGTTTGCTTTCGCCCTGAAGAGCGTTTGTGTCTGCTCCTCCCGCAGAGAGGGCCGCTCGTGCCCCTCTGAAGTGGCTAGGCCGAGCCCACAAAGCAAAGCGTGATAGAATTTCAGTTTTGGATTTTGTGCACCTGCCTTTCCAGTTGTAACACCTAGAAATGGCACCTCCAAGGGATGCCCTGGCCGAGTGCTGTGTTCATATTTTTAGAAATGGTTTATCTGCTGAATAAGACTGCCCAGGGAGCAACCTTGCCCTAAGTGGATGCGGTCTTAGCGGAGACAACTGATGGCCGCCAGTCTTCGAACAGAGCTGGAACTTCTGGGCTCTCGTGACTGAGATGGCTTTGACAGGCCACCTGGTTTCCTTGGACAACACTGAAGGGCCTGGGAGGAGGCAAGGGTCAGACCATGTAGAGCCTTGTCATTGGAATTTGGGTTTTATTTTGTTAAAAGATTGATTTTAGGTGCAGCTGGAGGCCACTAGAGGGTTTTGGTAGAGGAGTGGTTCTCTTGGATGTGTGTTTTTACAAGCTCACTCTTGCTGCTGGGTGGGAAGTGGGTTGTCGGGGCAAGAATGCAAGGGTCCATTGTAGTGGTCCTGGAGAAAGATGAAGGGGCTCAGATTAGCTTGACGACTGTTAGGATGTGGGTTTGGAGTAGATTGGTTTGAGACGTACCTTGCAGGGGGGATCGAGAGGCCATAGTGACTGATTGAAATAGAGGGTGAGGATAGTGGAGGGATCAACATGCCTTCTGGGTTTCTGGCCTGAACAGGTGGGTGGATGGTGGTCCTGGGACAGAGCCTGGGGGTGACCTAGAGTTGGGCTTTGCTCTCACGTCTTCAGGTGGAGCTGTCCTGGAGGCAGGTGGATCTGTCCTGGAGGCAGGTGGATACGGAGCAGGGATAGGCTAGAGGCATTCTTCTGGGAGGCGGAGCATATTAGATGGTTTACAGTCCACAGCCTGGGAGAGTGTCTCGGGGGAGTATCAGTAAAGAAGAAGGGGGCCTTGGGGCTGAGCCTTGAGGAACCCTAACATTTCTTGGGGTCAGGCAGGTGCCCTGACAGATAGACTTGAGAAGCAGCAGGCAGTGAGGGAGAGGACACCCGGGGAGCATGCGGCCTCACAGAAGCTGAGTGGGGACCACCTCAGGGGCAGCAGATGGCTGTTCTGCTGTTGTGAATGCTGCTGAGTAGTTGGGGAAGAGAGTTGGGACCAAGAGAAGCCCAGTGGGTTTGATAACATAGAGGTGACAGCGACATTGATCGAGGCAGTTTAGGGGCCATGATTGGCTCAGAAGCTAGAGGAGCCTGTGTGGAGAGTGAATGGGAAGCAGGTAGTGGGCATGGCAGCTCTTTCAAGAGCTGTAATGAAGAGAAGCCTGAAGGAGACTATGGTGCTGAGAGATAATGTCTTAAAGAACATGGGGGTGGGATTCTGCCCGGGGAGCTGGAAGGGAAGGAGTTGTGAGAGGAGCCCAGGCTCTGAGGGCAGGAGAGAGGGTCAGGTCCAGAAGCAGGAGGCAAGGTCGAAGCTCAGAGGGGTGGGCAAGGGCAGTGTGGATGTTTTGAGTAGACGGGGAGAAAGGGGAAGGTATATGATAGTTAGGGGGTGTGGGAAATGGAGCCTGCTAGAGAAACAGATTTCCAGCAGGATGGAGGACACATTTGAGATTTACCAGCATGAGTAAAAAGTGAAACTTTTCGAAGCCAACATTTAGCTGTTTTGAGAAGGAGCTTGCTAGAGTTTGGGATTTTTCCAGTAAGGAAGGAAGGCACCCCAGAATTAAGCTGGACAGAGGCATTTGAAGCCAGGAGCTGAAGGACACCCGCTGCAGGAAACCACCTTCCTGTCCCTTTTTGGGTAACACTGATGATCGGAAAAGCTCCACCCCAACTCCTGTCATCTAGAGCCTTGGGTTCTTAGTTTGAAGGGTTCCACAGCAGGCATGATCTAACTCTGGACAACTTTCTGTATCTCAGGAGATTTGTGCCACACCCCGGCTGTTTCCAGATGACCCACGGGAAGGGCAGGTGAAGCAGGGGCTGCTGGGGGATTGCTGGTTCCTGTGTGCCTGCGCCGCGCTGCAGAAGAGCAGGCACCTCCTGGACCAGGTGCGGGGCCCCTTCCCTGTGTTTGTCCTGGAGCCGGTTTCTTTTTGCGTTTCTCCAGCCTGCTGAGTACCAGGAGGCCTTGCGAAAGCAGAGCTGTGCCGCAGCCGGATCTCCTGCTGTGTTGGGGGAAGGCAGGAGAGTTCCAAGGCAGAGGCTGAGGACTGCACTCTGTCCCTCTGCTGCAGGGGGGGGTGCCTTGGCCTCGCCAGAAGGCTCCATCAGGGAGGTTCGCCCTGCTCTGTGCTCTCCTGACCCCCGGACTCCATGGAGTCAGATCACCACGTTTAGAATAAAGAGACAAATGTGCCAGCTCACAGGAGGACGGGGCTGGCTGGCAGCCTCTGCCTCAGATCTCTCCTCAGCTAGCTCGCTGGTTTTCTTACAGGTTTTGAATATAAGTTTGCAAAAAGTTATTAAACCTGTTTCTGTGGGTAGACAGATACTCTGGGAGGAGAAGGCCTTCTCAGGTTTTCCTTACCTGGGAGTGTTCACCGTTTTATGCTTGGCTTGTTGCTAAGTGTTGCTGATTAATGCAGCGGCGTCAACAGTGTGACCTCATTCAGAGTTTCACTCATGTCCCAGGCCCCATGGTAAGCGTGTCACAGTCACTGGCTTTCAGACACATGGTCTTACCAGCTTTGACTTTTTTTTTAAACGAGAGTGCTAAAATCACTGCCATTGTGTTTCTGGCCGTAAAGTGGCAGAGCCAGGACCGCACCAGGTGCCTGGTGCCCAGCCTGCACTCCCCCGATGCTGGGTCAGAATGCTTACCCCTGAAGGAGCCCTGCGGTGGACGCTGTGGGTGCAAGCAGCTGGCCCAGTGTCGGGGCGCCAGGCTCCCAGCAGCAGGAGGGGCTGCTGTTCCTGTGGTGACGTGTTGCTTGCAGCCAGCTCGGTCAAGAACTGGGTCACTCATGCCCTTGAATGTCACATTTGTTTTGGCTTCAGGTCAGATGCTTTTAGTGAGGGCAGCAGAGTGTGTCCCGGGATATGTGGCTCCCTCGGTGTGGTCCTCAAGTTTTGCAATGAGAGGTCTGTTAATTTCATGTGGGTGATGCAGCCCTGTGCAGGCGCCGACATCCAGGTGTGCCGAAGAGTTCTCTGCGACATCCAGGTGTGCCGTAGAGTTCTCTGCGACATCCAGGTGTGCCGTAGAGTTCTCTGCGACATCCAGGTGTGCCGTAGAGTTCTCTGCGACATCCAGGTGTGCGTTAGAGTTCTCTGCAGACCGCGGTGCCTGTGGAGCACTCAGCTGTGGCCACACCGCGGCCGGGACACTGGAGTAGCGCCGGGTGGTGCTTATATCACGCTCGCCTTTTGCTTCTCCCTGTGCATGGCAGGTCATTCCTCCGGGACAGCCGAGCTGGGCCGACCAGGAGTACCGGGGCTCCTTCACCTGTCGCATTTGGCAGTTTGGACGCTGGGTGGAGGTGACCACAGATGACCGCCTGCCGTGCCTTGCAGGGAGACTCTGTTTCTCCCGCTGCCAGAGGGAGGATGTGTTCTGGCTCCCCTTACTGGAAAAGGTCTACGCCAAGTGCGTGTGCTGGGGGCTGAAGGGCCTGGCCTGGGGCAAGTGGGAGCTGCCACTACCATGGGCTGCCCCAGGAGGGTCTCTGCTCACTCTGGGCTGCAGAGCCCCCTTCAGTTCTGAGGGTCTGGCAGCTCATTCTGTGAGTCAGGCTGACAGGCCAGGTGCAGAGATTCTTCTTTTGGGCCTGTGGATTGCCCACTCCCTGCTTTCCCTTCCCTTGTTCCAAAGCCCAGCGTGGAGTCGTTCTCCACAGAGAACATGTGTGCCGTCCTCCTTATTTTATCGGCCCCAGCAAGAAAGATGCTTCTTTATATTTGTTGTGGAGTGGTTGGGACAGGCAGACTCATTGTGTAGTCGTTGGGGAGGAATGAGGCTACCCCAGCATACCAACACTTGTGTATCACGGTGCTTGCTGGCTCAGGGGACCAGGACCCTCACCATGAGTCATAATTGAATAGCCTTCCCTCTTAGAATGCATTTGTCTTCTTGCCAAAGGCAACTGGACTGACAGGCAGGCAGGGAAGCTGGTGAACATGGGAAGGCTGGCTGGTGACATCAGTGCCCAGTGAGCCCTTCCATCCCAAGGGCTGTTTTAGGAAAAGCAGGGTTGGAGCTTGAGAGCCAAGGGATGTGGGCATCCATAGCTTCCACGCCTCCTGCCCTGCTCCTGTGCCCACACCGGATGCCAGAGAGTTTCTGTGTGTGGGCAGAGGACTGCAGGGCGCTCACGCTTGCTGTGAAGTAAGGCGTTTGAAGGTGAGGCTAAGCCTTGACTTGGTGAGGATGAGGAAGAAGGCAGAGGGGAGTAAAGAGGTGGGATTGAGGCAGCGGTTGGACGATTTGGGGTGCTACAGACCATGGGAATCAGAGAGGGGGCCATGCTCAATGCCAGAGGCTCACTCCCATGGTGATTGTGTCCCCTAGGGTCCATGGGTCCTACGAGCACCTGTGGGCCGGGCAGGTGGCGGATGCCCTGGTGGACCTGACCGGCGGCCTGGCAGAAAGATGGAACCTGAAGGGCGTAGCAGGAAGCGGAGGCCAGCAGGACAGGCCAGGCCGCTGGGAGCACAGGACTTGTCGGCAGCTGCTCCACCTGAAGGACCAGTGTCTGATCAGCTGCTGCGTGCTCAGCCCCAGAGCAGGTGAGGCACGTGGCCAGCATGGGAGGGCTGCAGCCAGCGTGCCCCCCACTGCCAGGCCTCAGGCACACTGTAGCTTTTTATGTGACTGGCTACACAGCCCTGTCAGGACTAAGTGGGAAGAAGTAAGCTTGTTCTCAAGGGTGGTGTCCTCAGTTTGTGACCTTCCCCTACTGTCCTCTTCCAGAGGGACGTGGCCCTTCTCTCCCCTGACCAGTCCTTTCCACTAGTGCGAGGCAGGAAGAGGTGGCACCGAGTCAAAGCCCACTGTCTGTGCCATCCCTGGCCCAGCTGGCAACCTGGCAAAATCAAAACCTGTTTTTTATTTTAGTGATAGATAACATTCGTTAAAAACAGTTTGTCTCCAAAAAATGAAAGGGGCCAGGTGTGGTGGCTCACACCTGTAATCCCAGAACTTTGGGAGGCTGAGGTGGGAGTATCGCTGGAGCCCAGGAGTTCAAGAGACCCGCCTGGGCAACATGGCAAGATCTCATCTCTACAAAAAATGAAGGAAAAAAATCACTTAGATGGAACCACATGTGACTTTTGAGTGCGCTCTCAGTTTTCCATGAGCACGCACGGTTTACGTGTTCCCTTCCGCACCGCTTCTCACACTGCCACACACGCGCTGTCAAATGTTCGCCCCATGAGCGGGTTTGCCACAGTCTCTTAATCATTCCCCTGATGTTGGATATTAAGATCTCTCTGGTTTTATATAATTATAAGCAGTATCAATGAACATCTTTATCATTTTTTTCATACTTAGGATTATTTTAAAAATATGGGTTAAAGAATATGAATATCACAGTAAACTGAAACAAGTTGTCATAGGCCTTGGTCTGGGTCCCCCATAAGCAGACCCTGAGATGAGGTTCAGGAGCACGTTGAGAGGTTCAGAGAGCCTGGAGGGCGTGTACTCCCCGCCAGCCCCGCTGGGGTGCCAGGAAGGACGCTGGCCTCAGAGCCTCCCACCTGGGAGTGAGGGCGCTGGTCTGGTGGGCATTAGCTCGGGGAGCTGTTGGTTTTGGGTGCTCCAGGGTGGGGTAGCGCTAAGTCCTAGCACTTCAGGCTTTAGAGGAAGCCCCCAGGCAGAGAGAGATGGCAGCTGGCACTGACTGGAGGTGCATTGGAGCCTGCTGAGGTGGCAAGGGGCCGCGGCGTGGGCGAGACTGAAGTCCTTCCAGGAGACCCTCCTCTCTAGACCGTTGCCCCGCCACAGATGTGGCCTTCCTCTCTGTTTGGCTCTTTCTTTTCTATGCCCATCTGTCTCAAGGTCTCTGGCCAGGTGGAGCTGTTGCCCCCCTGGGCCTCCATGCCTCCAGTGGGCTTCTAGCCAGGGCACTATCTGAATGTCCTACCTCTAGCAGGCTTTGCCAAGAGAAACACTCTCTAGATTTCTGGCAGTTGCAGATGCATCTGTGCAGCATGTTTGAGAACTGGTGCTGTGCCAGGCATCGTGCACAGATGGGTACGGACGATGACTGAGGCCTAGAGAAGGGGATGACTTACCCAGCACCAGACCCGGATGGCAGCCGAGTCAGGCCCCGTGTGCTTGCTCCTGGAGATGCTCCTGAGCTGATGGGTCACAGCTGCTAAGAAAGGAGCTCTCGTGGTCCATGGGGATCTGGGGTCTCCCGTGTAGCCATAGTGGGGTGGGCTGGAGCATCTCCAGAGGAGGAGGCAGAGGCCTGTGTGTCCTTGTCAGTTTGGGACTCCATGGTGCCCTTCCTGCCTGTGCCTGCGCCATTCCTCATGCAGGTGCCCGGGAGCTGGGGGAGTTCCATGCCTTCATTGTCTCGGACCTGCGGGAGCTCCAGGGTCAGGCGGGCCAGTGCATCCTGCTGCTGCGGATCCAGAACCCCTGGGGCCGGCGGTGCTGGCAGGGGCTCTGGAGAGAGGGGTGAGTGCTGGGGCCTGGACCATGCTGCTGTCGGGAGGGGGGCCCAGTGCCAGTCTGGCCTGTGTCCTGGTCACCTTCAGCTGTCAGGACTGTACTTGGCTGTCTCCAGCAAGGCCCCTGAGTCCCTGCTCTCGTGACACCATGCTTGTCTTGGCTCCAGGCAATCCTTGTGAGGCCTGGGACCAAGGTGGCCATTGGGCCTGGGGTTTCAATAGGGCAGACATCATCACGGGCTCGGGCAGCAGTCCTGGGAAGACGCATCCAGAGGCGTGAAGTTCCTCTGGGAAAAGAGAGGGCTCCAGGGTGGCCGCTGCCCAGAAGGCCCTGTGCTGCAGAGCTGCTTCGGGTGTGGGAGGGGCTGCAGAGCTGGGGCACGGGGTTGCTGGCAGGAACTCAGGGCTCTCTGGGTCCCCTCCAGGCTTCCCCCCAGCCTGCCGGCAAGTTGACACTACCAGTTCTCGGGAGGGGCTTCTGCTGAGATGAGGTTTCTTCCAGGGGTGAAGGGTGGAGCCAGGTAGATGCAGCGGTAGCATCTGAGCTCCTGTCCCAGCTCCAGGAAGGGGAGTTCTGGGTGGAGGAGGAGGAGTTCCTCAGGGAGTTTGACGAGCTCACCGTTGGCTACCCGGTCACGGAGGCCGGCCACCTGCAGAGCCTCTACACAGGTAGTGCCCCGAGGGGCTGTGCTGGGCACGTGCTCTGCCTGCCGAAGTGAGGAGGCTGGGCAGGTGCCTGGGTTCCCCCTGCCCAGGCCCAGTTTGGTTCTCTTCAGCGTGGAGAGATGATTCTGTCCCAGGAGCCGGGAGGAGGGTGATGATTCTGTCCCAGGAGCTGGGAGGAGGGTGGGCTTGTGGGAGGGGCTGGCTCTGTCTGTGGCCGTAGCTGCTGCTTAGACCCTGCCAGGGTTCATGAGGCCACCATGGCGGGAGGCCAGCGAGGAGCCGTGTCCCACAGCTGATGCCTGGTGTTTTCTCACTAGAGAGGCTGCTCTGCCATACGCGGGCGCTGCCTGGGGCCTGGGTCAAGGGCCAGTCAGCAGGAGGCTGCCGGAACAACAGCGGCTTTCCCAGCAACCCCAAATTCTGGCTGCGGGTCTCAGAACCGAGTGAGGTGTACATTGCCGTCCTGCAGAGATCCAGGCTGCACGCGGCGGACTGGGCAGGCCGGGCCCGGGCACTGGTGGGTGACAGTCATACTTCGTGGAGCCCAGCGAGCATCCCGGGCAAGCACTACCAGGCTGTGGGTCTGCACCTCTGGAAGGTAACTCAGCCCCGTCTGGCTCACGCTCGGTTCAGCAGGTGGTGTGGAGGCCCATGGAGGTCTGGGTTCTAGGACTGGCTCTGCCGGGACACATGTGACTCTGCCACGGGCCCCACCAGTCTCCCCCCTCCTTGGGCTGTTGCACGGGGTTGACGTCTGCTGGTGCTCCCAGACCCGGCTCTGACCTGAGACTGCAGGTCTTTCTGCCTTGCCGTGTGCCTCATTGGCCAAAGGAAAGCAACAGAGTCTGCAGCCAGGGCAGGACCCGCAGGAGGGGCCTGGACCCGGGGGGCTCCTGGCAGCGCCGTGCCTTTCTGAGGCAAGGAGGTAGAGCCAGCGGCTGAGGACCTGTCAGGGCCAGTCCCAGCTCTGCAGCTTGCTGTGTGACCTGGCACACATCCTCTCCCTGCCTCCCTCAGTCTCTTCCCCTGCAAGACGGGGTCCTGACACGGATCTCATGGGATTGCTCTGAGGCCCAGGCAGTCCCAGGCTCAACCACTGGTTCACAAAGTGTGTTGTTTCCAGGAAGAACAGATGGGGGCGCCTGAGGGCAAAGGGCCTGAGTGTGGGTCGAGGATATGCCGGCTGCTCGCTCAGGGGCTGGGTTTTCATCTTGTGTGTCTTGACAGGGTGTGACACTTGGCACCACACTGTTCCCTGTCCCTTCATGGATGTGGCCCACATGATGTTCCTTTCCTCTTGCAAAAGAAGTTGCTGGAAGGCCCACTGTCCAGCAGCCCCCAGGTTGCCTGGGCCACGGTGCCTTTGTGGGCCCAGCTACAAGGAGGACTTGCAGGCTCGTGTCTGGGACAGATACTGGCGCCAGGGCCAAGTGAAGCCCGGGATTGGTGGGCATCTCTAGCTGGTCCCTGAGAGAGGGTGGAGGGTGCTGACAGGCCTTGGCGCTTTCATCTGTCAACTCCAGAGGCCCTTGTGCTTGCAGCAGGGAGGTCAAGGCCAGGGCGTCTGACCCCGGCCGCTCCTCCACACTGAGCCTCCTGCACGTGCTCACAGGTAGAGAAGCGGCGGGTCAATCTGCCTAGGGTCCTGTCCATGCCCCCCGTGGCTGGCACCGCGTGCCATGCATACGACCGGGAGGTCCACCTGCGTTGTGAGCTCTCACCGGGCTACTACCTGGCTGTCCCCAGCACCTTCCTGAAGGACGCGCCAGGGGAGTTCCTGCTCCGAGTCTTCTCTACCGGGCGAGTCTCCCTTAGGTGAGAGGAACCGCGCAGTGCTGCTGGCTCTCCGAGGCCACAGGCCCTTCCAAGGCAGGATTTGGGCACTTTCCCTCTGTGGTTGGCAGGTGTCCATGTGGGAACTGAGGCCACCGGGAACCTGCTGCCAGCGCCCTCCCATGTTTGTCTTCTTGGCAGCGCCATCAGGGCAGTGGCCAAGAACACCACCCCCGGGGCAGCCCTGCCTGCGGGGGAGTGGGGGACCGTGCAGCTACGGGGTTCTTGGAGAGTCGGCCAGACGGCGGGGGGCAGCAGGAACTTTGCCTCATACCCCACCAACCCCTGCTTCCCCTTCTCGGTCCCCGAGGGCCCTGGCCCCCGCTGCGTCCGCATCACTCTGCATCAGCACTGCCGGCCCAGTGACACCGAGTTCCACCCCATCGGCTTCCATATCTTCCAGGCAAGCTCCTTGCCCCAGGGAGGGAGGGGGAGCAGAAGGGGCCCTCAGAGAATTTGCATCTTGGCCTCCATTGTCCCAACAGAGGGCTCTGGGCTCAGTCACTTGGGCTCCCCCTGCCCTTCGAGGCGCTGCCTAGAACCCGCACAGGGCCCTCTCCCATCTCCAACCTCTCAGAGGCAAGGCCGAAGATGGCCTCTGGAAGGGCCGGGGGCCTGGGAGGTGGGCAGGGCTGATCCAGGCAGGGCAGGTTTCCAGAGGAGGTGGTGAGTGGGGAGGAAGGGAGAAGTTTGGAGAGGACAGGAGGCCGAGGTTGAGACCAGCGGGGGTGGGTCGAGCCCTGGCTTGGGAACGCAGGGGGCTGATGGACTCAGGAGTGAGAGGAGGGGAGGCCCAGGCTGGCTGGCCACAGCAGCCCCTCGGGTGTGAGGAAGTCCACAGTCACTGAGCTCAGCCAGCAGCCCCTTGTCCACTTACCCTGACTCAGAATGACTGTGTCCCAAGGTTCATTCTCTGCAGACATGTGTCCCCTGGAATGCAGGGGCCCTGACGAGGAAGGCACTGCAACCCTCGGTTCACAGTGGGCTGCCTGGGGACCCTTGGACCCTCGCTGTTTGCCCTGGGCCACCGGCTCAGGTCCCCTAGAGCTCTGAGGAAAACACATGCCAGGGCCAGTGGGAGCCCTTGGGGCGGGCTGGGCAGTCACAGGTGTTAAAGCCCCTGATGATGTGACAGGCCTCCAGGCGGGGGCCCCACTGCCGGCACCTTCTGGCAAGGGTGGCCAGGCCTTGGTGAGGAGGCGAGTCCAGTGTCCAGGCCTGGCAGCCCCTCCTCAGAGAAGGGGCTGTATGTGACTCAAGAGGGCCAAGGGCATCCGAGCAGATGGCCCTGGGCTGGGCTCCCTACCCCAAGGCTGGCCCCCTCAGTCTGAGCCTGCGCTTTCCTCAGGTCCCAGAGGGTGGAAGGAGCCAGGACGCACCCCCACTGCTGCTGCAGGAGCCGCTGCTGAGCTGCGTGCCACATCGCTACGCCCAGGAGGTGAGCCGGCTCTGCCTCCTGCCTGCGGGCACCTACAAGGTTGTGCCCTCCACCTACCTGCCGGACACAGAGGGGGCCTTCACAGTGACCATCGCAACCAGGATTGACAGGTGGGGCTCTGGGACTTGGGGGCGGCCAGCTGGAGGCTGGGGTGCTGGAGTCTTAGTGCTCGCCTGTCCCCCCACGTCTCCTGCCTGCCCCTCACCCTCAAGCCCCTATCTGTCCTGGCAGACCAGGGCTGTCCTGCCTACCTGGGGACCCTTCCTTGCTGGTCTGAGCCTGGAAGGAGAGTCTAGTGGGAGGTGGGCCAGGAGCACACAGCCACTTGTGTGACAAGTGCAGTCTGGGAGCGCTGATCTGGTGTCTCTCCACAGGCCATCCATTCACAGCCAGGAGATGCTGGGCCAGTTCCTCCAAGAGGTGTGTATGCAGCCCCGCCAGCCCGGCTCACCTGCCTGGGGCTGCCTGGTGGCCTAGGGTCTACCTGCAACCTCAGGCAGGTGGTTTCTGCCTGGGACGTGAGGTGCCCTTGACTCTTCCTGTGAGAGCCCCGGGCGGTGCCTTGAAGGGCAGGGGGAGCTGAGGCTGCGTCCCATTCCCTGGCTGCACTCGGGGTGGGGTGTGAGAAGGGGCGAGTGCCACCGCTGCCCGGGCCCCCCATCTGTCTTTGCAGGTCTCCATCATGGCAGTGATGAAAACCTAACAGGGTGGCCCCCTGTGCCAGCTCAGGTGACTGGAGCCCGAGGGCCTGACAGGTTCCCAGCAGCTGGGCCGGCCAGCCTTGCACTGTGGGGGCTGGTCCTGAGTCTTGGCCTGCCTCCCAGCCCTGCCAGGAGGCTGCGGCCTAGGGGTCCACGGGAAGCCTCCGTCAGGAGAGACGCAGCCCTGGGGGCCAGCTGGTGCTGCAAGGAAGGGTGGGAAGCTTGCTGGCTTCTGTTGCGCCACTGAGACGGCAGAGACCCCAGGATCCCAGAGCTTCCCAGGATCCCTCCCAGATCCTCTGCTGACTCCATATGGAGGCCTCACACCCAGAGGGTAGGGCAGCAGATCTTCTTTATAACTATTTATTGTTCGAATCACTTTTAGGATGTAACTTTATAAATAAACATGAGCGCTGATGATTTGCAGATCAGTCTTGCTCCAGGTAGTTCCAGGCTGTGCCTGCTCTTGCCAAGCAGGCTGTGGGGAGGGCTGGGTGCCTGCCGAGATGGTGAGGATGAGGATGGCCTCTGGAGGGGCTGGGGGCCTGGGAGGTGGGCAGAGCCAACCCAGGCAGGGCAGGTTTCAGGGGGAGATGGTGAGTGGGGAGGAGGGGAGAAGTTTGGAGGGGCGGGCCCAGGGCATGCCCCAGGCCAGGGGGCTGAGGTTGAGGCTGGCCGGGGCAGGTCAAGCCCTGGTCTTGGGGGACACAGACTGATAGACTGGGGAGTGAGGGGTGGGGAGAGCCAGCGAAGGCACTGCCAAGGCTGTGGCGAAGAAGGACATCTCGGAAACGGGTGTTAGAACCGGAGTTGCGCAGAGGGAGGAACCCCAGGTTCACATGGACTGGGAGCCTTGGATCTGGACGGCTCCTCTGCCTCCAGCCAGGGTTCACCTGCGCAGTGTCCTAGGATTGTTTATTTCCCCAGGCCTCTCTCCCTCGTCCCTCACACCAAATGCTGTGATGAGAGCTGTAGTGTCACTGAACGGTGCAGAAGACAGTTCCAGACATGGGTGGGGAGGGCTGTCACTAAGCCCTTTTGTTTTAGAGACAGGGTCTTGCTCTGTTGCTCAGGCTGGAGTGCAGTGGCATGATCATAGCTCACTGCAGCCTCGACCTTCTGGGCTCAGGTGATCCTCCCTCTTCAGCCTCCCAGGTGGGTAGGAAAACAGGCGCACACTCCATGCCTGGTTAGTTTTTTCAAGTTTTGAATGCTTAGGGGTCTTAGTATGTGGTTGCCTAGGCTGGCCTCAGTGATCCTCCTGCCTTGGTCTCCCAAAGCACTAAGATTGCAGGCATGACCGCCAACCCCAGCTCTAATCCCTTTTAAATTCCATTCGCTTCCTGAGTCCCTTTGTGCCTGGGGAGACCCCGTGTATTGGTCCTTTTTCACATTGCTGTAAACAACTCTGAGACTGGTAATTTATAAAGAAAAGAGGTTTGATTGCCTCAGTTCCGAAGACTGTACAGGAAGCATGGCTGGGGAGGCCTCAGGAAACTTAGAATCATGGCGGAGGGAAAGCAGGCAGTCTGCAGGTGTCTGGAGAAGGAGGAAGAGAGCGAAGGGGAGGTGCTGTGCACTTTTAAATGACCAGATCTTAGGAGAACTCACTATCACCAAAACAGCAAGGGGGATATCCGCTCCCATGATCCAATCATCTCCCACCAGGCTCCTCCAACACTGGGGATTATAATTCGACATGAGATTTGGGCAGGAACACAAATTCAAACCATAGCACCCAGTGAGCCTGATTTGGGCCTTGCTGCCGGATCACGACCATCTCTGGAGTCCTGGTGTCTGTTCCCACTGGGACCTGTGCCGCTGTCCCCCTCTCCACGCCCTGGCCACGCCAAGCCACCCTCCTGACTCACCCACAGGAAGCTGCCCTGGCCCTGGAGCCTGCCCCGTGAGCCCCTCTGCTTGCTGGTTCAATGGCCCTCCAGCAGCAGTGGCTGTGGCAGCTGGGTTCTCGGCATCTTCAGACACGGATTCTTGAGCAGCAGGATGGGGCTCCATCTCCCTGCGTGCAGAGCCTGCCACAGATCTCCCTCATCCACTGGCTTCTGTGCTGACTTCGGATGAAGCCAGTGGTGCCGCCTATTGGGGTACAGCAACTCAGGGCGAACAGTGAGGGGCGGCTCACCAAAGAAATACCCCGCAGGGCAGTGCCCAAGCCAGAGGCTTGAGCTGGGTCGGAGCTGCCCTAGATCCCTGGGTTTGTGGGCGGACAGGTCCTGTGCAGGGCGCCTGATGGTGCAGGTTGAGGTGGGACAGTTGGGGTCAAGGTATTTCTCAGGCACAGTGCCTATGAAGGGAAGACAGTTGCAGGGACTGTGTCCATGTCAGGATAGACTGGTGGGGACCCCGTGAAGAGTTCTGGAGCAAACCCTGCCTGCAGGGCCCCACCTGGGCTGGCCAGGCCCTTATGTTGAGCATCCCTTCCCCCAGGCCCTCAGGAGCCACTGTCCCCGAGGCAGGCCCTGAAGGTGGCGGCCACACCCTCCTGCTGGGCAGCTCTGCCCAAAGGCCACAGCCAGGACCTGCTTCCCGCGTCCCAGGCTACTGCCTGAGAGGAGGCCTCGAAAGCGCAGGGTTCCGTGACTTTAGAGGCCATGGTTGGCACCCATCATCGCCCCAGTGTAGATTGGCTCCACTCGACCTGGCTGCTTTGGCCATTTGGTCTACCAGCTGGAACCATGTTCCTGGGTGTGGAAAACGCTCCCTCCGAAGCCTGCGGAGAGCCCTGAGGCCTTGTGCTTCCTTCTGATGGGAGGTTCCAGATGCAGTTGGAGGGGATGTCTGGCAGGGCTCTAACCCCCAGCCAACCTAAACATTTCTGGTGCAGAAGGCCCCGGCCTGGTGTTGTTTGTCCCTGGCTGCCTCCTGCTCTGACACCATCAGCATCCTGTTGCCAAGGTCATGGATCAGTGCGGTGCTCTTCAGGGTGTCCGGCCAGCTGGGGTCTCTGTCCTGTATTCCGGCAGAGGCCCCAGGAGAAACAGCAAATGCCTTTGTCCATTCCATACAAATTTCATATAAATGTGAGCAGCTTCTGATCTTCCGTGGCGTATTCGTCCAGTTGATGGCCAACCCTGGGTACCTGGACCTCCAGGACCTGCTGCACTGGGCTGCCCCTCGGCTGTGTGTGCACTCGCCACGTGGCCCTCCAGGAATCCCATCCCACGGGGCCACACTGAACCAAATGGAGAGAGCAGGGCCACCACCCTCTCTCCGCATGCCACGGCTGCTCTGGGACCCGGGCAGGAGGGGACAGTCTTGGCCTTCCAGTGTCCCTCTTGGCCTTCCCACGGCCATCTCTACCCCAAGGATGCAGCAGAGATATCGGTCGCTCCCCAGGTGTCAATCCCAGTCACAGGCTCAGAGACCGGGACATGGCCCCGGGTGGGTCTGTAGGCCCTGTGGGCTCATGTGAGCTGGTCCTGGGCAGGACTCCATTATTAACTGCCTGTGATGTGTCCCACTGTCATGGAGCCCTGGTGACTCTTGGGGACCAGCATCAGCTTGGGGCCTGTGTGCTCAGTGGCTCCCAGATGCCTGGATATTCTCTTCCTGGTGCACATAGTCCCCGGGGAGGTCCTTGTCATGCACACTTGCTGATGTGGGGAGTGTCCTTCATCTTGCAGGCCTGGCCACCTCTTCAGTCAGCAGATACCTGGGCTGAAAACCGACTCGGGCAGTGTGGGCCCAACTGGGGCTCTATCGGAGTGACCACCCTCAGCCCTCCTGGACCCCTCTGCCGGCTCCACCTGAGCGCTGCCCTCGCTGGCAGCCCTGCCTTGCTCTGCTGCCATTCCGTAAGCCCTGCAGGCAGGCCCCTTGGCGCCCTTCAGCCGTGTTCATGATTGTCTCCTGGCCTCTGCTGTTTAGAGGTCTAATGCCCTCCGCCCCCGGCGAGCCAAACCCAGTGATGGTGGTTCCTGCCACCAGCTTCCTGTGGCACCGCTGCCACTCCCGCCAGGCTCCTGGGGCACCGCCACCACTCCCGCCAGGCTCCTGGGGCACCGCCGGCCACTCCCGCCAGGCTCCTGGGGCACCGCCGCCCACTCCCTCCAGGCTCCTGGGGCACCGCCGCCACTCCCGCCAGGCTCCTGGGGCACCGCCGCCACTCCTGCCAGCCTCCTGCGGCACAGCTGCCACTCCCTATTAACCAGCATGGCACAGGTGAGCGGTGTGACCTTGGTCTTCCCAGGGAACCAGTGCTTGGCAGCTCACACCACACACGCCTACGCCTACCCTCCACCAGCCACAGCAGTTGTGGCATCTCTACCCTGCCCAGCAAAAGTGGAAGTGTTGCCTGTGCCGCTAGGAACCTCCAGGTTTGCTCCACCTCCAGGGGCCTTGCCAGGGTGTCAAACCTGTGTCTCGGGACACTGCTGTTAGGTCTCCAGCTTCCCTATCAGGCGCCTCAGCACCCAGTCCTACCAGTGCTCCCGCCTCCCGTCCCCAGCTGGCTGGGCCTGCAGCCCCCTCCTGTGCCCCGAGCTGGCCGGGCCCGCAGCCCACTCCCTGGTCACTGGATGTTGCTGACACTTCACTCGGTCAGAGCCCTAGCACCCAAGGGGGGCCAGGGCCTGACGGGGGTGGAGCGAGGGGTGGGCCGCGTCTGTGCAGGCTCAGAAGCTTCCTAAGAGGCTGGAGAGTGGAACCTTCAGGCACCACGCACTGCCTCCTCCCTGCCCACGGTCCTGGTTTCTCCAGATGGGGCCTTGGCCTTGGCTAGGTGTTGATCAGGAGCTGGGAGTGCTGCGCCCCGCCCAACTTCTCCAAACTCCAGCCAGGGCACCTCAGTGAGGCCTCAGCCACCTGCGCCTTATTTGCTTCCTCCTTGGAGGCCCTCGTGTCTGTTCATTCATCAAACAGCAGCTGGGGCCCCCAGCAGACCCCCTTCCCCAACTTTCCCACTGGACACTGGAACCAGTTTCACAACTGGACTGGACAGGACGACCACCTTGTGCCAGGCGCCAGCTATCTCCCCTGACCAGTGATGGGTCCTCATTGCCCGTGGGCCGTGAGTGACCCAGTTCCAAATCCCAAATTAGTGACTCTCTTCTCCAATGGGGGTTGGATTCTCCAGAAGCAGAGGCAGACATAGAATTTGGGTGCAAGGTATTTCGGAGGGAAGGTGGAAGAGGTGGGGTTGGTGAGGGAGAAGCCTGGAGTGTCGGTGGCCGGGGTGCCCCCACCTGGCTGAAACGCCTGGTCTTTGTGCCCTGCCTGGCTCAGCCTCCCCAGGCAGACTACCCCATGGCATCCCTGGACAAGGCTGCCCCCAAGAACGCTGCCCACAGCCCAGCCATGGGCCTTCCCTTGGGGCTACCGCCCCGGCTCACACCTGCTGGCCAGCGTATTTACTCCTTGCTGGCTGCACCCTCTCAGCAGTGGCTGTGTAGACCATAACCCTGGGAACACCTGCGGGGAGAAGCGCCCTTGGCCTGGCGGCTTGGGGGAGACACCTGGGGTGTCAGGAGGGAAGGAAGGCAAGCAGGGGTGAGGCACTGTGGGACTTTTCCTGCTTTCTGGGCCAGTGGCCACAGGCCACCCAGTGACATTTCTCTCTCAGCGTCTGCTGGGGTGGACTCTGCAGCGGCTGCAGCCAGCCTGGATCGGCTCCTCGCACAGCTCTGCTTGAGGGTGAAGGCCATCTAGAAACCCTCAGTCCCCTCTCAGCCTCAGAGCTGATAGCGCTGCCTGACCATCAGCAAGCTTGTAATCAGCACCACCTCCAGCATGCCTGCTCCTGGATCTCCGTGAGGCTCCCCTGCCTGTGTCACCCAGGGGCCTCTAGGGGTGCTCTGGAGCTGGGAGCCACTGTCCAGCACTTCCTGCCCTCTCCGGCCTCTCTTGGCTGTCTGCCAAGCAGTCACTCAGTCTCCTATTGACCACTCGTTTTGCCGCAAGGCTGCTGGTTTACGTGAAAATAGAGAAAGCCAAAGAGTTTCCTCACCCCTGTAAGATTTACTGGCTCTTCTGGCATTGCACCTGCCTGAGTTCCTTGGTGGGGCCCCTCTTTGAGTTCCTTTGGGCTGCTGTAACAAAGCACCATAGCCTGGGCAGCTCGTAAACAGTGGAAATGCGTTGCTCTTTGTTCTGGAGGCTGCAAGTCCAAGATTGAGGCACTGGAAGACCTGGTGCCTGGTGAGGACCTGCTTCCTGGTCCAGAGACAGCACCTTCTCTCTGTGTCCTGATGTGGTGGAAGGGCAAAGGAACTCCCTGGGGCCCGTTTTATGTGGGCACTCATCCCATTCGTGACGCCTCTGCCTTCATGACCTCATCACCTACCAGAGGTCCCCACCTTTTCATTCCTCACCTTGGGGATGAGGACTTCAGTATGTGAATTTCGGGGACATAAATGTGTCATCTATAGAAGGGCCCATCTCTTACACAAATGCTGGGTCCCCAGTGGCCTGTGTCCTAGCAAATGAGAGCCACCCTGAAAAATAAAATCCTGTCTCCCCAACGCCAGCCCTGGCAAGGCACCCAGAACTCTCCGGAATGCTTGAAGGCAGGGCCTGGCCTTTCCATGGGGTCCAGGGCTGTGGGGTCCCTGGCGGTACTGTGGGCCTGCAGAGTGGGGCATGTGGGCTGAAGACCGTCTCCCCACCATGGTGGGAAGGGACAAAGGGTGGCCCTGGCAGATCCGGACGGGCAGGACTGGGTGTGTCCCATGAGAGCACCTCCTTCCTGGCCTTTCCTGTGGACTTTGTCCCACACCACCTGCCTGGGTTCCTTCCTTTAGTCACTTCCAGCTCCAGGCACAGCAGTTGGTGACTCCTTGGTGGGAGCCGTGTCCCACCCGGTCCTGATACTGCCGTCTTCTCTTTCACAGTCCTCCAGGCTTGGGCCAGCCTTGGGGGCAGCAGAGCTTCTGGGGTGAGTGTCGAGATCCTGTGTCCTGAGAGCGGTAGTCAGGGAGAGGGCTGGTCGGGGCAGGGCTGCCCGGGCAGGACACAGGATGCGGCCGGCCAGGCTGGGGCCAAGGTGTTCAGACCTGGACTTTGGGCTCGTGCTTTCTTCATGGTTGCGCCTTGCTCGCTGTCCCTTGGAGTCTTCATTTGGTTTTGCTTTTTTTGTTTGTTTGTTTTCACCTAATTTTTGCCAGACTTAAGCTAGTTTTGCTGCCTTTTGAAACTAGTGGAAGAATCATTTTATTCCTGGGGATAATTTGGGGCCTTTTGATCCCAACGTGAAGCCCTGCACATGGCTGCTTCATCAGGGGAAGGGTCTTTTCTGCTTTGGAGGAAAGGCTTTGGCAGGCAGGCTGACCTGGGAGTCTCCGGAGCTCTCGGCTCTCTGTAGCATCCTGGGGAGCTCAGACCATGGCTGCAGGGCTCTGGCCATAGCTTGCAGGCCATCTGGTTAGTGCTGCCCCCCAAACCCGGCCATTCCTCTCTAGTCCCCAGCAGGTATAGCCAGTGTCCACATAGACAGCACTGCCTCAGATCTGGGCTGGGACCACAACACTCACTCAGGGATCCCAGGGAACATGGCACCAGGTTTAGTAGGTTTAGTCGGGCATATGCAGTGTCCCTTACCCAGGTCAAGGCTCAGGCTGGGCCCATCTTAGCTGCCTGGGACACCCAGTCCTTTTATGAATCTGCCAGGGGAGGAGCAGCCAGGCTTGGGCTGGGGCCTGGATGGACGTGACATCGGGCACTGTGGCATTGTGTGCCTGTCTCTGTGTTGCAGCTGACATGGGCTCATTGCTCCTTCTCCAAGCCCTCTGAGGACATCAAAAGCGTGGACGCATCACTTTCCACCATCTTGCTGCCCACTGTCCCTCCATCCTGAGGCCTCCTAAGCACATGTGTGGGGTGGCAGGCACACTGCTGATAGCTGTGGATGCGGCCGTGACATCCTTCACCCCTGCCCCCATGGCATGCATGATCCATTAGGGAGGACCGTCTGCACAAAGGTAATCCATTGACTCAGACAGGGGGTTCATAGAAGAACAGGTGAGAGTGGCAGGGGGGGTATTCCTTGACCAGCTGAGGGTCAGCCAAGGGCAGGAAAGGGGCTGGGCACCCTCAGGGAATTGAAAGAAGCTCTCTGTGCCTGCAGTGCGGGGAGTGGGCTTGGAGAATATGGCAAGAGCTGAGGCTGGAGATGTAAGCAGGGGCCTTAAGTGTTGTTTAAGGAGCCTGAGTCTTATCTCCTGGGCAATTGGGAGCCACTACATAGTTTAAAGCAGGGCCTAACATACATATGTTTGAAATCTTTCTCTGGCTGAAGTCTCGAGGATGAATTGGAAGTAGAGGACCAACTAAAAAGTTGTTGCAGACATTAAGGTGGTGTCCTGGGTTAGGTGGGAGGTGATGGAGAGGAGAATAGGCTAGTGTTGACATATACCCAGGAAGCAAAACCATTGGGGCATGGTGCTTAATGCTTGATTGGATTGATCACATAGATGACTATGAGGAGGACTGACATATTTCAATCTATGAACGTGGTATACCCATCCATTTACTTATTTTTAATTTTTTAAAAATTTTTTTTTTTTTTGAGACAGGATCTCACTCTGTTTGTCCAGGCTGAAGTCCAGTGGCAGGATTTCAGCTCACTGCAGCCTCAACCTCCTGGGCTCAGGTGATTCTCCCACCTTAGCCTCCCGAGTAGCTGGGACTACAAGCACAGATCACCACACCTGGCTAATTTTTTGCATTTTTGTTTTTTAGTAGAAACAGGGTTTCGCTATGTTGCCCAGGCTAGTCTCAAACGCCTGGACTCCAACAATCCACCCACCTTGGCCTCCCGGAGTGCTGGGATTATAGGCTGGGGCCACTGTGCTGAACCCTGTCCATTTATTTGGATCTTCTTTAATTTCTCCCAGCAATATTTTGTAACTTCAAGCATACGTTTCCCACTTGTGCCTAGGTACTTTGTTTTCCAATGCTTGTAAATGGTATTGTATCTTTAGTTTTATTTTCCAATTGTTTTTTGCTAGTATATAGAAGTGCATTTTTTGGTATATTAATCTTGTATCCTGTAACCTTGATAATGCATTTATTAGTTCATAGTGTTTTTTGCTTCTTTTGTTCTTTTCTGGTAAATGCCTTAGGATTTTCTTTTTCTCCCGACTCCCCGCCTTCCTCCTCTTCTTTTTCTTCTGCCTTAGGATTTTCTTTTTCTTCTTTCTCCTCCTTCTCTTCCTCCTCCTCCTCCTCCTCTTCTTTCTTCTTTCTTCTTCTTCTTCTCTTTTTTGTTTTTAAATTGAGACAGGGGCTCACTCTGTTGCCCAGGCTGGAGTACAGTGATGCAATCTTAACTCACTGTAGTCTCAAACTCCTGGGCTCAAGTGATCCTCCCACCTCAGCTTCCCAAGTAGCCAGGACTACAGGTGTGCACCATCATGCCTGGCTAATTTTTATATGTTTTGTAGAGATTGGGTCTTGCTATGTTGCTCGGGCTGGTCTTGAACTCCTATCTTCAAGCGATCTTCTCACTTCAGCCTCCCCACATGTTGGGATTACAGGCCTGAGCTACTGTGCCAAGCTGAATTTTCTACATGCATGATTATGTCACATGTGACCATAGGTAATTTTACTTCTTCCTTTTCTATCTGCTTTTTTCCCTTGCCTTATTTCCTCTGGCTGGGACCTCCAATACCGTTTTTAATAGAAATGTGAGAGCCACTTCGTTTGTTTCTGAGTATAGTGAGAAAGTTTGGTCTTTTACCATTGCCCAGCTTGAAGTTTCCTATAGTTTATCTATAGGTGATCTTTATCACGTTGAGGAAGTTCTCTTCTCTTTCTAGTTTGCCGAGAGTTTCTATTATTCATGGATGTTGCATTTTGTCAAATATTTTTCTGCATCCATTGAGATAAATATATACATTTTACCATTTATTCTATTAATTGATGTTCTAATGCTAAAATAAACCTTTTATTTCTTGCATACTTTTTCATGATGTGTTATTTGTTTTATATATTGCTGGATTTGATTTGCTAATATTTTATTAAGGATTTTATGTCTATGTTTATGCATGATATTGGCCTGTAGTTTTCTTTTCTTGTAATATCTTTGTCCAGTTTTGGTACAGGGTAAAACTTGACTTAGAAAATGAGCTGGCCAGTGTTTCTCCTTTTTTCTGATGTGGTTAAGATTGGTATTATTTTATTCTTAAGTGTTTGATGGAATTCATCAGTAACACCATCTGGGTGAGGTATTTTCTTTGTAGAAAGGCTTCAAATTATGAATTCAACAACTTTAATAGATATAAGCTTGTTACATTTTATTTTTCTTGTGTAAATTTTGGCAAGTTGTGACTTTCAGTAGATGTTTTTCCATTTCATCAAGATGTCAAATGTAATTTCATGATGTTCTTACTAATATTCTTGTATTATTCTTCTGATGTCTGTAGGGTCTGAAGGGATGTCTCATCTTTTATTCCTGATATTAGTAATTTGTGGATTTTTTTTCTTTGATCAATCTAGCCAGAGCTTTCTCAATTTTTTTTTCTTTTCAAATAACCAATCTCCATTTTATTGATTTTCGTTTTTTTCTGCTAGTACATCAAATTTTCACTCTTTCTTATTTCTTCTGCTTACTTGGGTTTCATTTGTTCTTGGTGTTGTTGTTTTCTAGATTCTCAAAGTGGAATCTTAGGTAATGATTTTAGACCTTTCTTCTTTCCTAACATGAACACTGAGAGCTACAGATTTTCCTCTAAGCATCACACTAACCTTATCTCACAAAGACCGGAAAGTTGCATTTTTATCATCACTTAGTTCAAAGTATTTTCTTATGTCTCCTTGATTACTTCTTTGATCCCTGAGTTATTTAAATGTGTTGCTTAATTTTCAAATATTTGGGCATTCTTTGTGTGTCTTATACCTTGTTGCTATTGATTTCTAATTAAGCTCTGTTGTAGTTAGAGAACATATTCTGTATAACTTAAATCTTTTTAATTTTATGGAGGCTTAATTTATGGCCTAGCAGATGGACTATTTTGGAAAATGTTCAATGTGCACCTGAAAAGATTATATATTCTGCTGTTGTTGGGCATAGTGTTCTATAAACATCAGTTTGGATAAGATGATTGGTGTTGCTCAGGGCTATCATATTCTTACTAATTTTTGGTTTACTTGTTCTGTGAGTTACTGAGATGAGGGTGTCATAATAACCGATCACAATCATGAATTTGTCTGTTTATCCTTTCAGTTCTATCAGCTTCCTTCATTTTTTGGATTCTTTGTAATTAGGTACATACACATTTAGAATTGTTAGATATTCTTGATGAATTGACCCTTTTTTCATATGAAATATCCTTTTTTTTTTTTTGAGATGGAGTCTCGCTCTGTCAACCAGGCTAGAGTGCAGTGGCGCAATCTCAGCTCACTGCAACCTCCGCCTCCTGGGTTCAAGTGATTCTCCTGCCTCAGCCTCCTGAGTAGCTGGGATTACAGGTGCCCACCACTGCGCCTGGCTAATTTTTGTATTTTTAGTAGAGACGGGGTTTCACCATCTTGGCCAGGCTGGTCTCAAGCTCCTGACCTTGTGGTCTGCCCACCTCAGCCTCCCAAAGTGCTGGGATTACAGGCGTGAGCCAACACGCTGGTCCGTGAAATGTCCCTTTTTTTATTTTGCAATATTCCCTATACTAAAGTCTACTTTGATGTTAATATTTTTATTCCTGCTTTCTTATAATTAATGCTTGCATTTTATAAATTTTTCCATTCTTTTACATTGTTTTCATTCTTTTACTTTTAACTTTTGTTTATATTTAAAGTATATATCATATCAGGCAGACAGCATATTGTCATTTCTTGCTTTCTTTTCCCCTAAGACGAAGAGTCTCCTGTCACTCAGCCTGGAATACAGTGGTACCATCAGGGCTCACTGCAGCCTCAAACTCCTAGATTCAAGCAATCCTCCCATCTCAGCCTCCCAAGTAGCTAGGACTACAGGCATGTGGCACCACACGTGGCTAAGTTTTTAACTTTTTTTTTTCTTTTTTTGAGACAGTCTTGGTCTGTCACCCAGGCTGGAGTGCAGTGGCATGATCTCGGCTCACTGCAACCTCCACCTCCCTGGTTCAAGTGATTCTCCTGCCTCAGCCTCCCAAGTAGCTGGGACTACAGGCGCCCGCCACCACGCCCGGCTAATTTTTTTTTTTTTTAGTAGAGATGGGGCTTCACTGTGTTAGCCAGGATGGTCTTGATCTCCTGACCTCGTGATCTGCCTGTCTCGGCCACCCAAAGTGCTGGGGTTACAGGCATGAGCCACTGCACCCGGCCTGTCTTTTTGTTTTTTTGAGATGAGGTCTCACTGTGTCACCCAGGCTAGTGTGCAGTGGCATGAACTCTGCTCACTACAACCTCCACTTCCCAGGTTCAAGTGATTCTCATGCCTCAGCCTCCTGAGTAGCTGGGATTACAGGTGCGTGCCACTACGCCCAGCTGTGTTTTTTTGTTTGTTTGTTTTTGTTTTTGTTTTTTTTCGGTAGTTTTAGTAGAGATGGGGATTTCCCTATGTTGGTTAGGCTGGTCTCGAACTCCTGACCCCAAATGATCCACCCACCTCGGCCTCACAAAGTTCTGGGGTTACAGGCATGAGACACCGTGCCTGGCCAATAGTCTTTGTCTTTTAACTGGATTGTTTACCTCAGTCACATTTAATGTAATGGTTGATATGGTTGGGTTTGAACCTACCATCTGCTATTTGTTTCCTATTCATCTCCTCTGTTCTTTGTACTCATTTTCCCTCCTCTTTTTCTGCCTTCTTTTGGATTAGTTGACTATTTTGTATTTCACTTATCTCTTCTAGACTATTATACTTCCTTGTTTTATCATTTCATTAGCTGCAATAGGGTTTATGATATGCATATTTAACTTATTTATGATTGATTGGATGTAGGAGGAATGGGGGGAGAAAGATTCCAAAATGACACTGACATATGTGGCCTGGGTAACAAGAGGAACCACTCTCTGAGATGGAGACTTTGAAGGAAGATTAGTTTGGGGAGTGATGAAAGGGCTGGATGATGTGGTCAGTTTTGGACAAGTTGCATTTAAAGTGCTTCTGAGGCATCCAAGAGGAGATACCTGGTAGACATTTCTTTACAAGGTCCAGAGCTCAGGGCAGTGTCCGGGGCTGGAGCTGGCTCTAGGGGTGAAGGGCAGAGGGGTGACTGTTGAATGAATGGGAACAAGGTAGTCTGTGGATGCAGAACGTGCGATGGGACAGGAAGAGTCCAGGACCAAACCCTGAGGAGCCCCAACATTTTAGGGACCCAAATGCAGGACAGTAGAGATGAAAGGAGAGGCCAGCGAAGGAGCAAAACAAGGAAGCGTGTGTCATGGAGGCCACACGAGGAAGTGGCTTTGTGGTTACTTCTGGGACATTGGCAGAAGGATGTTTCAGGGCAAAGTGCAAGGGGGCCTCAAAGATCATCTTAAGTTCTGTTCCTTCACTTTCACGGTGGGTGCATTGGTGTTCATTTAGATCTACTCAACATCTTATTAAAACATTTTTTAAAAAGGACTAGGGACTGGGAGGCCGAGGCGGGCGGATCATGAGGTGAGGAGATCGAGACCGTCCTGGCTAGCACAGTGAAACCCCGTCTCTACTAAAAAAAAAAATTAGCCGGGTGTGGTGGCGGGCGCCTGTAGTCTCAGCTACTCGGGAGGCCGAGGCAGGAGAATGGCGTGAACCCGGGAGGCGGAGCTTGAAGTGAGTGGAGATCACGCCACTGCACTCCAGCCTGGGCGACAGAGCGAGACTCTGTCTCAAAAAAAAAAAAAAAAAAAAAAGGACTAGGGACTTACTGACTTGGCCAAAGGCTGCTGGTGGGTGCGTGGAGGTGCTGCCTGTCAGCTGTGCTCTGGGCTCTAGGGACATGGGAGTCCAAAGGGCTCTCACCTCCTCAGTGAGAGGTTCTGGTGGGCTGACCATGGTGGGATCCAGATTTCAGCAGGTGGACCCCGAGGGGGTGTGAGGAAATGGACTCTGTGAGTGGGAACTTCTCTTTCAGAGGAATTTGCAAGACTGGCCTGAGCCGCACACGGCTCTTCAGCAGGGCTTGGCAGCCAGCGGGGCCTCGGGAGGAGGCAAACAGCTGATCAAATCCGGGCTTCTCCAGAGGAAGAAGGGGAAGGGCAGGTCTGGGGAGGTCAGAGCGTGGGTGAGAACCGTGGCCATGGGTGGGATCCACATCCCAGCCTGCAGGGCCTCCTGGTGATGGTTCTCCAGAATTCTGCGATTGGAGCTGTGCTCACAGAGTCACTGTCCCCGACCTCCCAGGGGCGCGGACATAACCCAGCCTCAGCTGCAGACAGCAGAGACTCTGCACAACTGCAGAAGCTGAGCAATCAGCCTCATCAGTGGCAATTCCTGGAACTCCAACCTCAACTGTAACATGAGCTGTGGCAGACCTTCAGTAACCCCAGACAAGGAGTGAGGCAGAGCCTGATAGCTCAGGGACCAGCTGGGATGCTCAGTAAACAAGAGCTCCAGAAGATACGCGGAACAGGAGAAGGTGAAGTGTGGGGACAGCAGGCGCTGCAGGCCACCCAGAAGGAGGAGGAGAGGGGACAAGAAACACTGACCAGGCCTTCAAGATGAGGAGTGAGCAGAGAGGACAGCAGAACATGGGAAAACCTACCTGGCACTATGAGGGTGGAGAGGGGAGTGTTGGAGGGTGTGCATTTGAGTGCAAGTGTGTAAAAGAGGCCCTGGACAAGGAGTGAAGAATCTCATCAGATGGTTAAAGTGAGGGAGCACCAAGTAAACCATAATGAACCATAAGTCATGTGGACCCCAACCCTAATGCTAATCATAAACCTAAACCTCGTGTGGCCTGGAACCCTAACCTGAACCCAAATCCTAACCATAACCCTAACCATAACCATAAATCATGTGGACTCCAACCCTAATGCTAACCATAACCCTAAAATTCAGGCAGAACCGAACCTAACTCGAACCCAAACCCTAACGAAAACTCTAACCCTAACCCTAACTCAATTCAAACCTTAACCCTAAACCTAACCATAACACTAACTCCACCCTATTCCGAACCTTAAAGCTAATTAACAATGCCTCATATGGACCCGAACCCTAACCCTAACCGAAACCCTAACTCTAACCCTAACCCTAACTCAACCCAAACCTTAACCCTAACCATAACACTAACTCCAACTACAACCATAACCCTAACCAAAACTCTAACCCTAACCCTAACTCAACCCAAACCTTACCCCTAACCATAACACTAACTCCAACAACCATAACCCTAACCGAAACTCTAACCCTAACCCTAACTCAACCCAAACCTTAACCCTAACCATAACACCAACTACAACCCTAACCCTATCCCGAGCCCTAAACCTAATTAACAATGCCTCATGTGGGCCCTAACGCTAACCCTAACCATGCCTCATGTGGACCCGAACCCTAACCCCTAATTCCAACCCTAACCCTAAGCCTAACCCTAACACTAACCCTAGCCAAAACCCTAGCACTAACCCTAACTCCAACCCAAACCCTAATCCTAAGTCTCATGTTGACCATAACCTGGCTCAAACCCTAACCTGAACCCTAACCCTAAGCCTTGTATTGACCACAGCCTGGCTCTAACCCTAACCCTGACTCTAGTCCTCACTGTAATTCTACCTCTAGCCTTAATTCTAACCCTAACTCCAATCCTAACCCTAATCCAAATGCACCCTCTGATCCAAACAACTCTTCAGCCAATGTCAGACCTCACCTTAACCGTCACCTTCACGATCACCATTCCAGTTCTCCCTTCAGACTTCCCAGGGACTTGAGCCAGCCCCTGGCCCCCAGGCCTTGGTTTCCCCACCTGTGCAGCATGGATTTGGGGCTGAGGGTACAAAGACTGGCACCCACCTGAGCCGTTGGAACAGGCCTGCCCCTGGTCCTGAGGAGGACTCTGCTCTCCCGGTTCTCCCCTTGCCCATGTGGAAGGGGGCTCATCCCCCAGCATGGGTGCTTCCTGCCTGGTGTCCATCTCTGTGTGAGTTCCTTTAGGGAGGGACCGGGTAGGCGCAGTTGGCATGGCACCGCCATGCCCCTGGCTCGGGCTTATGCGGGCTGACAGTCCTGTCCCTCCACCCAGAGGCCCCTCCAATGATGTAGCTTATCAGAGTGTGTGTGTATGTGCACATGTGCATGTGTGTATGTTGTATGTGTATATATCTATGTATGTATATGTAGTATCTATATATATGTGTATGTGTATATATGTATATATGTGTGCATATATATGCATTTGTGTGTGCTTGTGTGTATGCATGTTTATGTGTGTATTTGTATATGTATCTATGTGTGTTTATATGCGAGTGTGCATGTGTGTATGCAGTGCTTGTGTGATGTGTCTGTTTTTATGTGTGTGCATGTGTATAGTATATGTGCATGTGTGTATGTTTACATGTGTCTGTGTGTGTATGTATATGCCTGTGCTTGTGTGTGTGTGTGTGTACACATACACGTGGACAGGCGAGGGAGAAGCTGTATTGCACCACCACCCAGGCCCTTCGAGCCCAAGTGCAGTCTCCCCAGGGCTCACGAGGCCCCAGCACGCTGCCCTCCTGCTCAGATGGTGCCCAAAAGCCCCTTGCCGAGTCCTCTCTAAGCCTCATGTAGACCCGTGAGTCCCTTCTCCGTCTGTTTCCCCTGCCTGTGATGCTTAGGGATCGTTCATTTCAGGGCCAGTGAGGAAACCCCATCTTCTCCTGCACTGCCGTGGAGTTAAAGGAGAAGGCCACAACACACTCCCACGTTTTCTACAGACTAGCAGTGGGGTGTTTGGCCACCTTTGGTTTTGACCTTTTATTTTGGAAATGTTCAGACTGAAATAAGCAGAAGTGTAATAACCCCTTGTGCCCATCACCCCACCTTTGGCAAGAGCCAAAGAGTCACAACTGATTGTGCTTCACCACACTCCATCTATGGGCTCAAAATGTTTTGAGATAAGTGCCAGACATCATATCCTTCTATCTACAAAAAATGCCACATGAATAAAAGATAAGGACTTTTAAAAACACATGACCACAGTAAGCATTATCACATCTAGCCAAGAAATGAACCTTTCCTTAATTGCAACAAACAGGAGTTAACTTTTACATTTTCTCTACTTCTACAATTTTTTAGAGAACAGTAAGGTAGACTTTATTCAACGGAGGCTACCACAATGGAGTTTTGCAGCAGGGAAGGGAGATGAGGCTCAATTCCCACCTTATACGTTTTTAAAAAGAGCTTATTTGGTTGAATTGGATCTGAGGAGTCTGGCTGCAGGCCAAAATCCTCTGTGTGATCATTCAGGCCCAACCGCAGTTGTTGCCAGCAGGCCCCACAGGAGAAGCAGCCCTCCTGCCCCAGACGGCACTTTCCACCCTTAGCCTCCTCCACGGTTCCCCAGGCCAGATCCTTTTGTTTGAGCCTTCTGTTTCGCCTGCTTGGTAGTGAGATCATCTCCCCATCTGCCTGATGTCATCCAGGGGGCAAAAATGGGACGTAGAGGAGCCGGCACCTTTTTCCTTCTGTTTGCCTCTTGCCTGCACTATTGCAGTCGTGAATACAGGCCTGAGGGTGACCTTCCATTGGGCTCGTGGTCCCAACCTCGACAGCAGTGGCTCCACAGGATGCATACGAGGTCCCCGCGGTCCCGGCCGACATACCTGTTGGGTTCTTAGTTGGCAGCTTCCTCCTCCGTCTCTCTATTCCCCTCCTAGGTCTCTTGCCCTGTGCAGCTTCCTGCAGACTGGACTTGCAAAGTCCAGCCTGTATGGCTGGAGTTCCCATGCCTGCCAATCTCCTGTCGACTGCGAGTCAGCTCCGATACTTCACCAGATTCAGGTGAGAGTTTTGGTTTTTTGACAAGCCCACTTCATCAGCAGGGCATGCATTTCTGCCAGGGGGCTCATGATATCTGGTGGTCTCTTTGTGAGGCCAGCAGCCACCAATGATCACGAATGTGGCAGGAAGCTGCCAAGAGACCCCCCAGTGGGTGATTCCTGCCTCCTGCTGTCATGCAATTCCCTCCTGAAGGGTGGCTGGACTTACTCACTTATAACAAACAATACAGTAAAAAAAAAAAAAAAAAAAAAAGTGATGTGTTGTCTCTTCCGTGATTAGGTTGAAAGAGACCATGGCATCTGTCTTGGATGCATACTCTCTCTCGCTGGCTCTGGGGTAGCCAGATGCCATGCTGTGTGCTGCCCTGTGAAGAGGCATGGCCAGTAAGGAACTGAGGGCAGGAACCAGGGAAGATTTGGGGTCCTCAGGCCAGCTGCCCATTGGGAATGAAACTCTACCAACAGCCACCTGGGGGAGCTGGAAGTGAATCTCATCTTAGCTGAGCCTTCTGATGAGACTGCAGCCCCAGCTGACACCTGGATTGCAGACTCATGAAAGACCTGAAACTCTACCAACAGCCACCTGGGGGAGCTGGAAGTGAATCTCCTCGTAGCTGAGCCTTCTGATGAGACTGCAGCCCCGGCTGACACCTGGATTGCAGACTCATGAAAGACCTGAAACTCTACCAACAGCCACCTGGGGGAGCTGGAAGTGAATCTCCTCGTAGCTGAGCCTTCTGATGAGACTGCAGCCCCGGCTGACACCTGGATTGCAGACTCATGAAAGACCCTGAGCAGAGGACCCAGTTTGGCAGAGCCCGAATTCCTGACCCACAGGAACTGGGAGATAAAACTCTGTGGTTTTAATCTTCTCATTTTAGAGGTAATTTTTTTGTGTAGCAATAGGTAGCTGACAATGCACAGCTAAAATAATAGATAATTAACCCTAATGCTAGTTTCATTCATCCATCAGGGTTTGCAAAGTAGTGATATTCTACTTCTGTCTTCCTTCATTATTTATTAGCAGAAATGTATCTATAAAAAGAAGTGTTCCTTCATTAACTCTTTGGTCATGTTGAGGTACAGTTTGCATAGGAAAGGCAGGGCAAATGCTTGATTCTTTCCCTTCCTTTCCTCATTTATAAAATAATGAACTGTTTTCCTGGCATCTTTCAACAATGACTAATGAGTTTTTAAAGTATAATTACAAGTTCATGAGTTTAAACATTTTTTGATGTTCCCATTAACATTATTATCCTTATTGATATTCAGATCTTCCTGTCTTTGTCCAGTGCCAGCCTATTTGATTTAACTCCTGAGCCCCTTTGGCACTGCCCTAATAATCTTTGACAGCTACTTTGTTCTCTGGCATAAGAAGACATTCCAGAATTACATTAGACATTTCCTAACCCAGATTGGACAGCATACACTTCTCTCCAAGAGCCCCTCTTCCTCTTCAAGAGAAATGGTACTTAGAGACCACAGTCTGGGTGTTAGGTGTGCTTGTGGTTACTGGATTTGTCGTCATTTTTAGGCCTTGTCAGTGGACAGAACTAAGGCTTTTTTTTTTGAAAGACACATTATGAGTACAAATGGATACTTTCTATTTAAATTCGGATTTACATAGTTTTTACTTAATCTTATTGATAATATATCTGCATCTCCTTTCTCCCACACCAAAAATCTCAAACAATACCCAACATAGTTATTCATTTGTTTTATCCTGTAACACACACAATATTTTCAAAATGACTTTACCAACACTACCATCAACAGTATATAACCACTGAAAATAGTTTAAAATTATTTTTAGATACTTTTAAAGTCCTTGGGTTGTGTCGACGTACAGACAAAACAGTGTTTTAAAATTATTTGGAAAATGATTACTTAAAATAATGAAAACTTCTTTTGCCATTCTTTCTTGTTGTCAGGCTATATGGATATACATCCAAATGACTGGATTTTAAAATCACTTGGAAGAGTTTGGTAGGTTCATATTGTCAACCCATAATGCAAGTCAGTTAGTTTCATTTTGCTTTCAATTTTAAGAATTCCTTTTACAAGTTAATTTAATTAAATTAAGTAATTACACAAACATTTGACATGAGTCTAAATCCAAATCTAGAAACCAAGATATGGTCACAGAAGTCCGTCCCTATCCCCATCCCATTTCCACCTGTTTCCTACAGGTAACAGTTTAATTTAAAGCAAATTTTGTAGCTTATCTTTCCATTTGTAAAACATACAGCTGATGGCTCCATCTAAAAACACATCAATTGTCTATATGTACATAAACATGCTTTTTTTCATTTACAAATACATTCTGGAGATGACCATATGACAGTGTGTAGAAATATTTCTCCCTCCTCTTTGCAAGTGCTCAGTGTCCTGTGGTGTGAACACGCTTCATTCAACCTGGGCCCTTGGGAGAGATGCTGAGTGGTTCCCGGGCTGTCCCCACTCCACACCGTGGCAGTGAAGAGCTGCTGAAGTACATGCTTCATAGTCCTTGCGTCTCTCTGTGAGTACATTCCTAGAAGTGGGGTTATTGGGTCAAAGAGTAAATGCATCTCTAATTTGGCTAAAGATATTGCCAAATCCACCTGCCTGGGGGTTTGTGCCACCTTAGAGATCAGTGATCAATGGGTGATATCCGAGGACGTCTTTCTATTGTGGTCAGACTCTTGGATTTTGACCTGACTAATGGAGGAGAAATGGTGTTGCAGTGAACTTTTGATTTGTGTTTCTCTTTTTATGATCGTTTTGAGCTTAATTTGTGTTTCTCTTTTTATGATCGTTTTGAGCATCGTTTCGTATCTTTAAGGAGCAATTTACATCTCCTCTGTGAGCGTCTACTCCCATCTCTATCAGCAGGCGTCTTGCCTGGCTCCGGAGGAAGTGTCTCTGAAGGCTGGTGGTCCCAGGATAGGGCAAAAGAACGGGAGTGAGAACTCTCCACACAGTGCTTCTTCTGGGGTTAAGGACCCTCTGCCTCAGTGGCTCCTGGGCGTGATTAAACTTGCCATTTCCTGGGCCCATCCTAGACAGGCTGCTGCAAGCCAGCCAGGCCGGGATCCTGCTGCCCCGGGGAGGACGTGGGGAAAATCCCTGCTGGAGGGACTGCCCCTTCCTTGTCCAGCCACTGGGTGTTTATGGTTCAGTTTAGGGCGGGGATGACAGCACACGACACACACTCCGCTCTCAAGAGTTACTCCTCCCTCCCCGCCAGACTCCCCCAACCGGAGGTCTCCCCAGAGTGGAGGACCTTCCAGCGGCTGGCAGGCGGCCTCAGGCAGGCAGTGGGGAGCCTCTGCAGGTTCCCGAGCCAGGAAGTGGCACTTAGGAGTGAGGATCTTAGGAGCGGGGCTCTTGGACAGGAGGGCGAGTGAGTTGGGAGGGCCTCAAGCGGGGGCCCGATGGCTCTCTCTGCTGAGAAGGGAGGGCCCTAGGGATGGGGACAGAGAGCTGGCAGTTGAAGGGCCAAGGAGCAGGCAGCTTCCCAGTCACAGAGCCTTGTGCAGAGGAAGGGGAAGGAGTCCGAGAGGGTGGCCCTGCTGTCCAGGGCCAAGAAAAGGGAAAGCCGCTGGAAATAGCAGAAACCTGGCTGGGGCAGCACCCAAGGCCCACCCCGAGGCCAGGTGGGGACCCCAGCGGGGCATCTGGCAGCAGTGGGTCCCCAGGAGCAGGCAGTGGGAGCCATCAGGGTGAGTGAGCTGGCGGGGGTGGCCCAGGGGCTGGGGTCACCTGCCCTCAGCCCAAGGAGCCTCTTCTGGCCTTTGGTGGCCAGGGCTGGGATCTCCCTGCTGGTGGCCAGATGCCTCGACACCCCATAGGCTGGGTGAAGGTGGGGCAGGAGTTCCAAGGCGTGGAGACGGCCCCTGAGTGCCCAGGGGCCTCCTGCTGCAGGTGGGCAGAGCTGGAGGCTCCACTGTGAGGGTGCCTGGTGAAGGGAGGCGTGGGCACGGGGGAGGCAGGGAAGGGCCCTGGGTGCGACTTGCAGCCCCTCAGACCCTCTCAGGACCCCTCCTGCCCCCATCGTGGTCCTCTCAGGGCCCCTCAGGATCCCTTCCAGACCCCTGGGACCCCGTGTCCCCTGCTCGTCCTGCGGTGGTGCCCAGCTCCTGCCAAGGGCCCTGCACTTGGGCTGTGGGGACCCCCTGTGGGGATGGGGCCATCACAGGAGGCTGAGCACAGGGCGGGGTCTTGGCTGGAGGGGACCTTAGGCCACAGGTGCTAGTCTTCTGCAGCCACCCCCCAGGACCCCTGCCCGCTACCTCCTCTGCCCCACAGCTGACAGGCTTTGCCCTCCCCTGCCCCTCTGTGGCCACACACTCAGTTCTCTATACACTTTTATTATGGAAAACATCAAATACACACAAAAGCAGGGCATCTAGGACAGAGACCCTGTGTCCTGGTCCCCAGCCCCTCACAGTGACACCGCCAGGCTTTAGGCAAGATCAGTGGGGGAGGGGAGTTTCCCAGCAGGACGTGCACTTCCAGACCTGGTTCTGTGAAGAGGGGAACAGAAAGTGCTGAGGGTGACAGGGAAACCTCGAGAAGAGGGAGGTGTACTCACATCCTCTCTCGGGGTCCACAACTGAGCCCCCACACAGAGGACCCCACTGGTCTGCCTGAGCTGCTGGGTGGGCAAGTGAGGCACTGGCCTCGGGGGCACAGCGCTTGAAGGGACACCAGAAAAACAGTCATAAAGATAAACCGTAATGTGTTGTTTTATTTCTTATTTATTTATTTATTTATTTTTGAGATGGAGTCTCCCTCTATCGCCCAGGCTGGAGTGCAGTGGCGTGATCTCGGCTCACCACAACCTCCGCCTCCCGGGTTCAAGCAATTCTCTTGTCTCAGCTTCCCGAGTAGCTGGGACTACAGGCACGCGCCACCACGCCCAGCTAATTTTTGTATTTTTAGTAGAGATGGGGTTTCACCATGTCGGCCAGGCTGGTCTTGAACTCCTGACCTCGTGATCCCCCTGCCTCGGCCTCTCAAAGTGCTGGGATTACAGATGTGAGCCACTGCACCCAGCCAATGTGTTGTTTTAGTAAACCAAAACTATGCAAAGGACGCATGAGGATCCAAGCGACTCATTTAGGATGGCAGCTTCACTGCAAAAGGAGTCTCGATTCAGACCTCAAGACATGCTTCGTGGGTCTCACTCAGGAAGGAAGTGGAGGCAAGTCAGAATGTGGTGAGAAGAGAGGGTTTATTGAAAGTTGCTCCATTACAGAGCAGGGTGTCGTCAGAAAGCAAGAGGGGGAACACCCCAGCTTTAACTTTTTCTCATACAGGGGTCTCGTCTGTGTAAAGACTAAGCTAAACTGTGCCTAACATGTATTATTCTATTGATTTAAAGAAAACTGTCTGTCACGGGGTCTTGCTCTGTTGCAACCAGGCTGGAGTGCAGTAGCACGATCTCAGCTCATTGCAATCTCTGCCTCCCAGGCTCAGGTGCTCCTCCCGCCTTAGCCTCCTGAGTAGCTGGGATTACAGGCATGCACCCCCATGCGTGGCTGATTTTTTTTTTTTTTACTTTTTGTAAAGATGGGGTCTTGCTATGTTGCCCAGGCTGGTCTCAAACTTCTGGGCTCAAGCCAACCTCCCACCTTGGCCTCCCAAAGTGCTGGGATTAGAGGCCTGAGCCACCGCGTCCGGCCAAGGGTAGTTGTCTGGAAAGCATATATTGTTCTGGATACCAGGGCACTTGGACACTTTGCTGTCATAGAAGTGTGTCCACGCAGGCGTCACTGGCTGCTGCTTTAGCTGTAAACATCGTATGACCATGGGCTGTGGCTGGCAGGTATGTGCCTCATTGGTCTCAAGGTGGAGCTGAACGTAAACGGCTTTTCTCTGGCTCTCCCAGGCTCCTGCTTCCCTGACATCGCCTCACAGACTTCCCTTCAAAGCAGGGCTGTCCAATCTTTTGGCTTCCCCGGGCCGCATTGGAATAAGAAGAATTGCCTTGGGCCAAACATGAAATACACTAACACTCACGATAGCTGATGAGCAAAAAAAGGTCTCTGCGTAAATCTCATAATGTTTTAAGAAAGTTTACAAATTTGTGTTGGGCCACATTCAAAGCCCGCAGCCCGAGTGTTGGACAAGCTTGCTGCAGAGGCTCCCCTAGATAGGGCTGCAGGGGTGGCGTCCGGCAGCTCTAGCTGGAGAAGCAGGAGGAGGGGCAGGAAGGAATCCTGTTCGGAGCTCCTCGCGTCACACATACAGCCCAGCGGGGTGAAGTGGGAGGGGCTGGCGCTGCTGCAGGGGGCTAACCTTGGGGGTGAGGGGGCAGCCTCGGAGAGGAAGCTGCCCAGGAGCAGAGGCTGGGGGCGGAGGGCCCCGGGCAGTGCCCCCGTGCCCACAGCAGGACCCTGGCTGCCAGTTCTCCGCAGAGGGCCAGGTGGTCTGAAGCTGCCCAGCAGGGAGAGAACAGGCCTGGCCTGGACTGGAAACCTGCCATCTGGCCTCTCGAACCTGGGGACTCCGGGTGTCCTCGAAGAAGGGCCTGAGCAGCAGCAGAGGACCCCAGGCGACCGTGCCTGAGCCGGGCGCCGACGACGACTGAGCACCTGATATGTCCCCGGCACTCGCAGCCCCGCGGCCGGAGTCGCTGTGGGTGAGCGGTCGTCGAGCTTCACAGAGGCCGGGCTCTGTGCCAGGGCCCCGACAGGGCAGGAAGCAGATAGAGTCCCACAAGCACAAGCCCAGTGCGCAGAAAGGGTTACTTAAAAAATAAGTTCTGTGATAAAATCAAACAGGGTGAAGGGCTGGAAACAGGTCATGAGGGCGCAAACAGGTCGTGAGGGCGCAAACAGGTCGTGAGGGCGCAAACAGGTCGTGAGGGCGCAAACAGGTCGTGAGGGCGCAAACAGGTCGTGAGGGCGCAAACAGATCGTGAGGGCGCAAACAGGTCGTGAGGGCGCAAACAGGTCGTGAGGGTGCAAACAGGTCGTGAGGGCGCAAACAGGTCGTGAGGGTGCAAACAGGTCGTGAGGGTGCAGCTTTGGGGAGAGAGGGGCCCTGGGGGTGAGCGGGGAGCTAGGAGAGAAACAGCGCTCTGGAGGGGCCCGGGCAAGGCCTGCCTGAGTGGGAGGGGGCAGAGCACGAGGGCCCAGGCTCCAGGCTGGGTGGGACTGCCCTGAAGTGCCTGCGGAGACAGCCAAGGGGCAGATGGAGAGAGGTAGGGGGTGGGCTGGGGACAGCGTTTCCTGTACACAGGTGGAACCTGGTGGCAAGGGGCCCTTCCCAGAGACAGTCAGAGTCTCTAAATGTCCAGTTTCTTCCCCAAGTCCACACAGCCCAGAAGAATCCGCTGGGACCATGTGGCCCTGCCCAGTGGGGCTTCCCTTCCAGTGTGTGAGGAGCACAGGTGCCAGGCCACGTCAGGGAGGCCAGGCCTGGTGGGGACGGGGTGCCCCAGGCCACTGCTGGGGAGGAGTGATGCCCAGCAGAGGGGGCACGGTGGAGTTCATGGCTGGCCTGGTGGTGGGGGGGGTGGGGGAGCTCTGCAGGGCCCTGGCTCTGGTGGGCTGGGTAGGCCTGCTTGGGGCACCATCTGATCTGCCAGAGGTGGAAGGAGCACTCCTGGGAGATGCCGTGCCCTGCACCTCCAGTCCCTGCTTGACGGCGGCCGGGCTTGGACTGATCAGGTGCCGTGCCTTCTGCTGACCCCAGAGGCCAGACCCTGTGGCCAGAGTGAGGGATGGATGAAATCCCAAATCTGAGCCTCCTGCCCGAGGATGAGGCCCCTCTCCAATGAACATCATGGCCCATGGAGACTGGGCAGGGAACCCAAGGGCGCACACTGGGGACTGGGCCTGGAGGGACAGCCGGGGAAGCAGGAGGAAGGGCAGGAAGGACAGCAGGAGGAAGCAGGAAGAAAGGGACAGGAACCAGGCCCGGGATGACAGCAGAGAAGGACCAATGCCCAGCCAGGGCTTCCTCACGTGCCTCTGGGTAGAGAGCCCTGGTCTGGCTCAGGAGGCCCAGGCACTGGTCTCAGACCTGCCACCACCTGTGTGACGCTGGGCCAAGCGCTTCCCTTCCCTGGGCGTCCGTTTCCACCGCTGTAAAGTGGGGAGGGGTGAAACTGAAGCTCTCCCCAGCCTATCCCAGCCGTTGAGGAGGGAGAGGCTGTGGTCAGGGGCTGTGGGGCCCACGTTGAGGAGACGAGGCTCCTGCCCTCAGGGTGGACAGGGCCCAGGAAGGGGGTGCTCTGCACCATGGGGGCGCAGCCTGGGCCTACGGGCTCCCCCACCATGAGCTCAGAAGGAAGATGTCCGCTGAGGAGTTGGGGGCCAGGGAGAATATTCTAGACCAGATAGGGGTGGTCTGGGTAGGCTTCTGAGGGGGTGGGCTTGGAGGAGGGGCCGGTGGCCAAGTCGGGGGGAAGCAGGGGAGGAGCCAGCCTGCCTGCGTGTGCCTCTCACCTGTGTGCATTGGCGTGTGCATGTGTGTGTGCATGTGTGCCAGCGTGTGTGTGTGTATTGGAAGGCGCCCACGGAGCGTGTCTGCATGAACCAGGATGAGTGTGCGTGCTGCACCCTGTCTTGGGGCTGGGCATGAGGCGCTGGGGAGGGCGAGCTGACCGCAGACCCTGGGAGGGCTGGGCCCTGGGAAGGTTTCCGAGATGACAGGGCAGAAGTGGGCTGGGGAGGAGGAAGGCTCCGTGGGCGGGGCTGGAGCGTCTCTGGTTTTGCTGTCTGTCTCTCACGCTGTTTCCAGAACAAATGTGTGCCCTCAGCAAGGATGCTGGCTCTTCAGAGGTGTCAGCACAGGCAGCCGGCACCCCACTTCCCTCCCAGAAATCCCCCACGCCCTCTAGCTGGGGCTGGTGCAGGAGCAGTGGGGAACTCCTGTTACCCCTGACCTGCTGCCGTCAGTCAGCCGCCCGCCCCCCCACCTTAAGGAGGGGCAGAGTCAGGGACCAGCCCTGAGGGGTGGCTCACCCCAGCTTCACTTCCCCCAGCCCTTCTCAGACAGCCACTGTGCAGGCTTTGGCAGCGGGGGTCACACACTCCACCCGGGAGGCCAAAGCTGCCTGCAGGTCAGTGCCGCCCACTGCCCTAGGGGCCTCCCAGCGGGGCAGGGGCATGGTGGGGGTCTCAGAGTGGGGTGAGGCTGTGATGGGGTCTCAGAGCAGGGTGAGGCTATGATGGGGTCTCAGAGTGGGGTGAGGCTGTGACGGGGGTTCTCAGAGCGAGGTGAGGCTGTGACAGGGTCTCAGAGCGGGGTGAGGCTGTGATGGGGGTCTCAGAGCAGGGTGAGGCTGTGATGGGGTCTCAGAGTGGGGTGAGGCTGTGATGGGTGTCTCAGAGTGGGGTGAGGCTGTGATGGGTGTCTCAGAGTGGGGTGAGGCTGTGATGGGGGTCTCAGAGTGGGGTGAGGCTCTGATGGGGTCTCAGAGTGGGGTGAGGCTGTGATGGGTTCTCAGAGCAGGGTGAGGCTGTGATGGGTTCTCAGAGCAGGGTGAGGCTGTGATGGGGTCTCAGAGTGGGGTGAGGCTGTGATGGGGTCTCAGAGTGGGGTGAGGCTGTGATGGGGGTCTCAGAGTGGGGTGAGGCTGTGACGGGGTCTCAGAGCGGGGTGAGGCTGTGATGGGGGTCTCAGAGCGGGGTGAGGCTGTGATGGGGGTCTCAGAGCGGGGTGAGGCTGTGATGGGGTCTCAGAGCGGGGTGAGGCTGTGACGGGGTCTCAGAGTGGGGTGAGGCTGTGATGGGGGTCTCAGAGTGGGGTGAGGCTGTGATGGGGGTCTCAGAGCGGGGTGAGGCTGTGATGGGGTCTCAGAGCGGGGTGAGGCTGTGACGGGGTCTCAGAGTGGGGTGAGGCTGTGACGGGGTCTCAGAGTGGGGTGAGGCTCTGATGGGGTCTCAGAGTGGGGTGAGGCTGTGATGGGGTCTCAGAGTGGGGTGAGGCTGTGATGGGGAGTCTCAGTGAGGTGAGGCTGTGTTGGGGTCTCAGGTGGGCTGAGGCTGTTGGGGTCTCAGGGGTGGCTGAGGCTGATGAAGACTTGGAGCCTGTGTCTGGGTAGCAGCTTGTTGGAGTGTGGGATGTGACATTTAAAAACAAGAATGAAGAATACCCCGTGCTGTGGCCCCGAGGTGAGCAGCTACTTTGGTGAACTCGTGTCACTCACAGCCCCATCCTGGGTCCTGGGGTGTGGTGTGCTGTGTGGGGCCCAGGCCCAGTGGGGTCACAGGTACGGGGGACTCTGGTGCCTGGGCCACAGGGATCTGCACCTCACTGCGTGCCCCCACGTCTTCAGCAGTGGTTGGGGCCTGTGGTCTCAATCCCAGGCCAGCCAGGCACTCTGGGGTCTGGGCGGGTCCCGGGTCCAGACAGGGGGAAGGGCTGGGGAGGGGCTCTGGTGTGGCTGGATCGCCCGTCTATGGCCAGGTTTCTCTCCTGGATCACTCAGTGCAGAATCAAAGGGCACTTTTCTGCTTTTGTGTGCAGAAGCCGAGGGTGACCTTGTCATCAGAAGGGGAAGCGGGGCCTCAGAGGCGTGCTGCTGGCTCCAATCCCCAAAGCCTCCTGGGCAGGAAGTGGAAGGGCCCCATCCCCACGGTCCCCGGCAGCGGGAGCTCCCTGAGGCTGATGGTGCTGGTGTCTGTCGAGGAAGACAGGCCTGAGGAGCTGAGGCGGGAGGCCAGCTACGGTCCACGGCCTGGACACAGATTCCTGTGCGGGACTGGGGCAGTAGGTGGGCATCTGTGCTGGCCATGTTAGCTCCCAGGGGCCCCATGCCATCTGGGCTAAAGCCTGGGCCTTGATTTCCTGAACTTTTCTGGGAGGCACTCCACGGGCGAGACAAGGACCCATGAACAGGGCACTTCTTCGAAGCCTACGTGCACCTCGAAACTCTTGCAACATTTGCATTTTTCTCCCTAATAGTTCAGTGTTTGTTTTATTATAAACAGGAAAATTTAAATGTTGTAGTTAGAGTTTTTTTCTTCTTCTTAGAGATGGGGTTTCACTCTGTCTCCTAAGGCTGGAGTGCAGTGGTGGGATCATAGCTCACTTCAGCCTCAACCTCCTGGGCTCAAGCCGTCTTCCTGCCTCAGCCTCCCGAGTAGCACGCATCACCAGCCCAGCTAATTTTCTGTCTTTTTTTTTTTTTTTTTTTTTTTTTTTGTAGAGACGGGGTCTCCCTGTGATGCCCAGGTTGTTCTTAAACTTCTGGCCTCAAGTCATCCTCCTGTCTCAGCCTCCCAAAGTGTTGGGATTACAGGCATGAGCCACCGTGCCTGCCTGCAGTTAAACATTCCCCCACAAAATACTGGGCCACACCGAGGCTAGTATGAAAGTTGCAGCCCTGGGTATGTGTGACCTGAGAGCCCCTTGGCAGCCATGGGGAGCGATGGGGGAAGCTGGGGCAATGGGAAGGGGTCTAGGCACACGAGCCCTCGGGTCCTCACCTCCCACGAGGCAGGGTCCCAGGCTGCCTCTACTCAAGGTGGGGCAGCAAAAGAATCGCCCTCTAGCTGTGCAGACCCCCTCCCCCTCCAGGTCTGCACACCGCCCAAGGCTGGCCCTGGACTTCTGGTGGATTCAAGTACTCAGGTGGGGAGAGTAGGAGGCCAGTCGCACGGAGCCCTCCCCAACGCACAGTGCCTGCCCAGCTCAGGTGCCTCTGAGGTGTAGATTCTGAGCAGGTTCTGGGATCTCCTGGCCCCCAGCGGGGGCTGCCACAGGAGTATAGGCCCAACAGGAAGGGAAGATCCCAGCGATTGGTTCCAGTGGGTTCTGGGGATGTCCTCGGAGCCTGGCCTGGCTCAGGGTCCCTCCAAAAGTCCCTGGAACGAGGGTGAAGTGTTGCTCATGAATCAGAGAGAAAGCAAGCAGGACCCTCAAGAAGGGAGGAGAGAGACCACTGGGCGTGCAGCACTTTGCACTCGGGGGAAGGGCTCCTGAAACTTGGAAGTCAGCAAATATCTGCTGTACTTCACCAGAGGTGGGATCTAAGGAGACAGAATGAAGCCAGGGGGCAGAATGTTTCGTTTCTGTCTGAAACCTGTGCCCTCCATCCCTCATGGACTGGGGACCTGGAGTTCCCGGGGACCACCGTGGGGAAATGCGTCCCAGCACTAATGGTCCCCAGCAGCTGCAGTCACGGGGTTTGGGCGCTCTCCCCTCCTGATTTGGGGGACCTTTTGTGCTCCTCTGGGCAGAGGGAGGAGGCAGAGGGAGGAGGAAGGCCCTTCGCTGTGGGCTGAGTCCTTCCCACCTTCCATACCAGCCCAGCAGGAAGCCACTGCAGGATGCCCCAGAGGACAGCCTGATGGTTGGGGGAGAGGCTTCTCCCGCCCTCACCCCTCCGGGTTCTTCCTGGACCCACTGAGTAACCCAGGTGGTGGGACGTGTGGCTGTGAGTCCTGGACTCTGGGCGCTCACCAGCAGCTCCGTCTCACACCTGCCTGCGTGTGACACCAGCACCCCTTATGATGAGGAAACAAGTTTGCCCAGCTGCAGGGGTGGCCGAGTCAGGATGACTCTAGCCCGTGTCCTGGACACCAGACCCTGCCCAGGTCCAGCCGGGGCTGGTCTCAGCCTTCCTGGGCTATGTCGCGGAGGGTGTTGGGGACAGCGAGAGGCTGGCGTGGACAGTGGAGGGGTGACTTTGTGGGTGGTCCTGATAGTGACGGAGAGGAGGATACTCAGCTCCACCCCTGGGCGGCCCCTGAGCAGCACGACTGGGCCTGAAGGGGCAGGGCTGCCGTCACAGGCTCTGGCCCCTGGGAGCTCAAGGGGTGAATCCCTGATCCCAGGTGTGGGACTGGGATGGGGCCTCAGGCTGATGCAGGCAGGACCTCCAGAGCTCAGGACTGGGTGGGTGGGCTCACAGGGAGGTAGGGGCAGGCCAGAGTCCCAGCTGTCCTGGACTCTGCTGTGGGGAAGGGCTGATGCAGGTGTGGAGTCAAATGTGGGTGCCTCCTGCAGCCGGGTGCCAGGAGGGGTGGAGGGGCCACCCTGGGCTTTGTCCGGGAGCCTGGTCTTCCCGTCCTTGGGCTGACAGGTGCTGCTGCCTCTGAGCCCTCCCTGCTAAGAGCTGTGTGCTGGGTAAGGCTGGTGGCCCTTTGGGCTCCCTGTCCAGGATTTGCGCTCTGGAGGGTAGGGCTTGCTGGGCTGGGGACTGGAGGGGAACGTGGAGCTCCTTCTGCCTCCTTTCCTGCCCCATGACAGCAGGCAGATCCCAGGAGAGAAGAGCTCAGGAGATGGGAAGAGGATCTGTCCAGGGGTTAGACCTCAAGGGTGACTTGGAGTTCTTTACGGCACCCATGCTTTCTTTGAGGAGTTTTGTGTTTGTGGGTGTGGGGTCGGGGCTCACCTCCTCCCACATCCCTGCCCAGAGGTGGGCAGAGTGGGGGCAGTGCCTTGCTCCCCCTGCTCACTCTCTGCTGACCTCCGGCTCCCTGTGCTGCCCCAGGACCATGAATGGCACCTACAACACCTGTGGCTCCAGCGACCTCACCTGGCCCCCAGCGATCAAGCTGGGCTTCTACGCCTACTTGGGCGTCCTGCTGGTGCTAGGCCTGCTGCTCAACAGCCTGGCGCTCTGGGTGTTCTGCTGCCGCATGCAGCAGTGGACGGAGACCCGCATCTACATGACCAACCTGGCGGTGGCCGACCTCTGCCTGCTGTGCACCTTGCCCTTCGTGCTGCACTCCCTGCGAGACACCTCAGACACGCCGCTGTGCCAGCTCTCCCAGGGCATCTACCTGACCAACAGGTACATGAGCATCAGCCTGGTCACGGCCATCGCCGTGGACCGCTATGTGGCCGTGCGGCACCCGCTGCGTGCCCGCGGGCTGCGGTCCCCCAGGCAGGCTGCGGCCGTGTGCGCGGTCCTCTGGGTGCTGGTCATCGGCTCCCTGGTGGCTCGCTGGCTCCTGGGGATTCAGGAGGGCGGCTTCTGCTTCAGGAGCACCCGGCACAATTTCAACTCCATGGCGTTCCCGCTGCTGGGATTCTACCTGCCCCTGGCCGTGGTGGTCTTCTGCTCCCTGAAGGTGGTGACTGCCCTGGCCCAGAGGCCACCCACCGACGTGGGGCAGGCAGAGGCCACCCGCAAGGCTGCCCGCATGGTCTGGGCCAACCTCCTGGTGTTCGTGGTCTGCTTCCTGCCCCTGCACGTGGGGCTGACAGTGCGCCTCGCAGTGGGCTGGAACGCCTGTGCCCTCCTGGAGACGATCCGTCGCGCCCTGTACATAACCAGCAAGCTCTCAGATGCCAACTGCTGCCTGGACGCCATCTGCTACTACTACATGGCCAAGGAGTTCCAGGAGGCGTCTGCACTGGCCGTGGCTCCCAGTGCTAAGGCCCACAAAAGCCAGGACTCTCTGTGCGTGACCCTCGCCTAAGAGGCGTGCTGTGGGCGCTGTGGGCCAGGTCTCGGGGGCTCCGGGAGGTGCTGCCTGCCAGGGGAAGCTGGAACCAGTAGCAAGGAGCCCGAGATCAGCCCTGAACTCACTGTGTATTCTCTTGGAGCCTTGGGTGGGCAGGGACGGCCCAGGTACCTGCTCTCTTGGGAAGAGAGAGGGACAGGGACAAGGGCAAGAGGACTGAGGCCAGAGCAAGGCCAATGTCAGAGACCCCCGGGATGGGGCCTCACACTTGCCACCCCCAGAACCAGCTCACCTGGCCAGAGTGGGTTCCTGCTGGCCAGGGTGCAGCCTTGATGACACCTGCCGCTGCCCCTCGGGGCTGGAATAAAACTCCCCACCCAGAGTCAGTCCTAGTGGGGCCCTCTGTGTTTCGCACTCGTGTGGTGGGAGGCAGGGAGGGAGCGCGTGGCTCAGAGGGCTGGCGGACATCTTCCAGGGACCCTTCGGGGCTCTTCACTTTGAGGTCCCCCTTGGACCCTTTCACCCCTTCCCACCCCCACCCACCTGGAGCGTGAGCAGGGGCTGTTGGAAGCTCCTGGCAGGACCACAGTAGAGGCCCCCAGCCCAGGTTTCCTTGCTCAAGACAGGGCTGGGAGCAGCTGATCTCCATGTAGGGGCTGCACAGCGGTGCAAGGGGGGGTGACCAAGGTCAAGCAGGTGAGGGTGGGTTGGGGTGGGTGGCAGTGAAGGGGGTGGCCAGGGTCTGTCAAGGAACCCAGCCCTCTTCTCCTTCCTTCAGGGAAAGGCTGGAAACCATGTCTGGCAGGGGCAGGGGTTGGGTGCCCACTCAGGTAAAGGCACGATGTCCTGCTGGTTTCTGCCTCTCCTGTACTCCTGCATGGAGGGCATCTCGAAACCCAAGCTGGAAGGACAGGGCACTCCAGAGACCTCCTGTGAGTGTGGGCCAGCACGGCCTGGGCTCAAACCCCATCCTGTCATCCCATATTGCATGTCCACAGGCACCGCCCCACCCTGTTCCATGTTCCACAGGACTGGAGAGAGATGGCAGTCATGTTCTGGCAGGGACATGGCACAAGCATGCGGCTGATGGCATCTCACAGGACCCAGGCTCCGGAGGGCCCATGCCCAGGAGAGCCCCATAAGGGCTCTGTGCCTAAAAGGGTGCATGCCCAGGTGGGCCCATGCCCAGGAAGGTCCATGCCCAGGATGGTCCATGAGCAGGAGGGCCTCATTCCCAGGAGGGTCCCGTGCCCAGGAGGGCTCTATGCCCAAAAGGGTCCCATGTCCGGGAGGGTCCATACGCAAGGGTGTCCATGCCTGGTTGGGGGGGGTCTATGTCCAGGAGGGTCCCATGCCTGGAAGGGTCCATGCTCAGGAGGGTTCATGCCCAGGAGAGTTTATGCCCTGGAGGGCCCCATGCCCGGGAGAGTCACGTGCACAGAGGGCCCTGTGCTCAGGAGGATACATGTCCAGGAGTGTCCCTGTCCAGGAGGCTCCATGCCCAGGAGGCTCCATGTCAAGAAAGATTCATGCCTAGGAGGGTTCATGCCCAGGAGTGTCCCTGCCTAGGAAGATCCATTACCAGAAGGGCCCATGTCAAGGAGCGTTCATGCCCAGGAAGGTCCAGCCCAGGAGGGTCCATGTCAAGGAGGTTCCATGCCCAGGAGGGTCCATGCTGAGGTGGGTCCATGCCCAGGAGGGTTCATGTCCAGAAAGGTCCATGCCTAGGAGGGCCCATACACAACAGAGCCCTGTGCCCAGGAAGGACCATGTCAAGGAGAACCCCATGCCCATGAGGGTCCATGCCCAGTAAGGGCCATGCCCATGAGATCCTCATGCCCAGGAAGGCCCATGCCCAGGAGGGTCCATGCCCAGGCCAGTTCATGCACAGGAGGGCCCCATGCCTAAAAGTGTCCATGCCCAGGAAGGTCCATGTCCAGAAGAGTCCATACCCAGGAGGGCTGATATGGTTAGGCTTTGTGTCTCCACCCAAATCTCATCTTGAATTGTAATCCCTATAATAACCATAGTCCCCATGTGTCAAGGGAGAGACCAGGTGGAGGCAATTGGATCATGGGGGCTGTTTCCCACATGCTGTTCTCATGATAGTGAGTGAGTTCTCATGAGATCTGATGGTTTTATAAGGGGCTCTTCCCTTCACTTCTCCTTCCTACTGTCTTATGAAGAAGGTTCCTTGCTTCCCCTTCACCTTCTGCCATGATTGTAAGTTTCCTGAGGCCTCCCTAGCCATGCTGAAGTGTGAGTCAATTAAACCTCTTTCCTTTAAAATTACCCAGTCTTGGGCAGTTCTTTATAACAGTATGAAAACAGACGAATGCAGTAAATTGGTACCACAGAGAGTGGGGTGCTGCTGTAAAGATACCCAAAAATGTCGAAGCAACTTTGGAACCGGGTAATAGTCAGAGGTTGGAACAGTTTGGAGGGCTCAGAAGAAGACAGAAAGATGTGGGAAAGTATGGAACTTCCTAGAGACTTGTTGAATGGCTTTGATCAAAATGCTGATAGGGATATGGACAATGAATTCCAGGTTGAGGTGGTCTCAGATGGAGATGAGGAATTTGCTGGAAACTGGAATAAAGGTGATTCTTGCTATGCTTTAGCAAAGAGATTGGCAGCATTTTGCCCCTGCCTTAGAGATCTGTGGAACTTTGAATGTGAGAGAGATGATTTAGGGTATCTGGCAGAAGAAATTTCTAAGCAGCAAAGCATTCAAGAGTGCTCTTAAAAGCATTCAATTTTATGCATTCACAAAGAGATGATTTGGAATTGGAACTCACATTTAAAAGGGAAGCAGAGCATAAAAGTTTAGAAAATTTGCATCCTGACTATGGGATAGAAAAGAAAAACTCATTTTCTGAGGAGAAATTCAAGCCAGCTGCAGAAATTTGCATAAGTAACTAGGAGCCACATGTTAATAGCATAGACAATGAGGGAAATGTCTCCAGGGCATGTCAGAGGTCTTCACAGCAACCCCACCCATCACAGGCCTGGAGGCTTAGGAGGAAAAAATGGTTTTGTCGTTGGGGCCCAGGGCCTTGCTGGTTTGTGCAGTCTCAGGACTTGGTGCCCCACATCCCAGCAGTGGCTAAAAGGGGCCAATGTACAGCTTAGACCTTTGCTTCAGAGGTGCAAGCCCCAAGCCTTGGTGGCTTACATGTGGTGTTGGGCCTGCAGATACACAGAAGTTTGCTGCACTGGTGGAACCCTCATGTAGAACCTCTGCTAGGGCAGTGTAGAAGTGATATGTGGGGTTGGAGCCCCCCCACACAATCCCCACTGGGGCACTGCCTACTGCTACTGGAACTGTGAGAAGAAGGCCACCATCCTCCAGACCCTAGAATGGTAGATCCACTGATGGCTTGAACCATGCACCTGGAAAAGCCACAGACACTCAACACCAGCCTGTGAAGGCAGCTGGAAGGGAGGCTGTACCCTGAAAAACAACAGAGGCAGAGCTGCCCAAGGTCATGGGAGCCCACCTCTTGCATGAGCCTGACTTGAATGTGAGACATGGAGTCAAAGGAGATCATTTTGGAGCTTTAAGTTTTGACTGCCCACCTGGATTTCGGACTTGCATGGGGCCTGTGGCCCCTTCATTTTGGCCAATTTATCCCATTTGGAATGGGTATATTTACCCAATGCCTGTACCCCCATTCTATCTAGGATATAACTAACTTGCTTTTGATTTTATAGGTTTGTAGGCAGAAGGGACTTACCTTGTCTCAGATGACACTTTGGTCTTGGACTTTTGGGTTAATGCTGGAATGAATTAAGACTTTGGGGGACTTTTGGGAAGGCATGACTGGTTTTGAAATGTAAAAGAGACATGAGATTCGGAAGGGGCTAGGAGCAGAATGGTATAATTAGGCTTTGTGTCCCCACCCAAATCTCATCTTGAATTGCAGTCCCCACATGTCAAGGGAGAGACCAGGTGCAGGTAATTGAATCATGGGTGCAGTCTCTTCCATGCTATTCTCATGATAGAGAGTGAGTTCTCATGAAATCTGACAGTTTTATAAGGGGCTCTTCCCCTTTGGCTTGGCACTTCTTCTTGCTGCGTTGTGAAGAAGGTGCCTTGCTTCCCCTTCGCCTTCCGCCATGACTGTAAGTTTCCTGAGACTTCCCCAGCCATGCTGAACTGTGAGTCAATTAAACCTCTTTCCTTTATAAATTACCCAGTCTCGGGCAGTTCCTTATAGCAGTATGAAAACAGAATAATATAAGGCTGCATGCCAGGCAGTCCCATGCCTAGGAGGGTCCATGTCTCGGGGTCCCTCCCAGGAAGGTCCATGTCCAGGGGTCCCTGCCCAGGAGGGTTCATGCCTAGGAGGACCCATACCCAGTAGAGTCATGTTCAGGAGGGTCTATTCACAGCAGAGTTCATGCCCAGGAGGGTCCATGACCAGGAGGGGTCTGTGCCCAGGAAGGTCCATGCCAACCAAGGAGGATCAATGCCCAGGAGGACCCATGTCTAGGAGGGTCTACGTCCAGGAGGACCCATTCCCAGGAGGGGCCATACCCAGGAGGGGCCATACCCAGGAGAGGCCATACCCAGGAGGGCCTATACCCAGGAGACTTCATGCCCAGGAAGGTCCATGCCCAGGAGGGCTCATGCCTAGGAGGACCCATGCCCAGTAGAGTGTCCACGAGGGCCTATTCACAGGAGGGTCCACACACAACAGAGCCCTGTGCCCAGAAGGGCCCATGCCCAAGAGGATCCATGACCAGAAGGCTCTATGACCAGTAGGGTCCATGCCAACCAAGGAGGGTCCATGCCCAGGAGGGTCCATGTCCAAGAGAGTCGATGCCCAGGAGGACTCATGTCAGGAGGTTCCATGCCCAAGAGGGTCCATGCCCAGGAGGACCCATGCCCAGGAGCGTCCATATCCAGGAGGGTCCATGTCCAAGAGGGTCGATGCCCAGGAAGGCTCATGTCAGGAGGGCCCATGCCCAGAAGGGTCCATGCCCTGGAGGGTCCATGTCCAGGAGGGCCCATGCACAGTAGGGTCCATGGCAGGAGGGCCCAGGCCCAGGAGGGTCCTATGTCCAGGAAGACCCATATTCAGTAGGGTCCATGCCCAGGATGGTCTATGCCCAGGAGGGTCCATTCCTAGGAGGGCCCATGCCCAGGAGAGCCCATATCCAGGAGTGTTTATGCCCAGGAGGGCCTGCACTCTACAGGGTCCCATGCTCAGGAGGGCCATGCCCAGGAGGCCCTGTGCTCAACTGGGCTGTACCTACTTTAATGCACCACTGTCCTGAGCTTCCTGATTTTTCAGAGGCCCTGGGTTTTTGTTTTGCGGGGCCTGCATTTCCTGTGACCTGCAGAAGTAGCTCAGGACTAGGCAGTGTGGTCCCAATTCCAGAAGCTCTGGAGGCCTCTGTCCCCCTCTGCCTTCAGGTGGGCTGGCTCCCTGGCCCATGCATGCGTCCAGGCTTCTGCCTGCAGCTGGAAACCCTCCTGTCCCTAACTCTGGGGCATTGGAGGCTTCAGGGACAAGTTGGACCCAGAACCAGCTCAGGGAGCCAGGGTGCATTTGGTGGGGGGGTCGGGGGACCAGCAGCCCTGGGCTCCTCCATCTCTGTTCTTTCCCCTCCCCACAGCACCTATGGCCTTTGGCTGAGCCAGATCTTTCCAGGGCTTTGGTGATCCTCAAAGACCAAAGTCAGGAAACACCACAACTGTATCAGAGCCCCCATCGTTTTCTGGTACCCAGGTCCTGGGGGTCTGCCCCTGCCACTGCACACGCATCCAGTCCTGGCCCATTCCAGCGGCTCCCTCTCCCCACCTCCCCACAACCATCCGCATGGAATGAGGGGGTCTTGAAAACCGTACACCTGGCTCCCGGGCCTGGCTGTGTCCAGCCCTGCGGTGTGGCCTGTGGTCACGGCACCAGCCTCTCCCCACCCTCCCCCTTCTGTTCCTGCATTCACCATCACGGGGCACACTGCCTAGCCAGGACCAGGCCTGCTGCCACCCCACCCACGAGGAGCTCACCTCAACCCCACTAAGCCTCTCAGGCTACCCTCTGCTTGGAAGGCCTCCCTATGGGGTTCCCTGCTCATCTCCCCCTCCTCAGGGGCCCGAGCCCTTGGTTGCCCTTTATACAGGCCATGCCCAGCCTGCCCATGACTCTCCCCAAACCCTAGATCTGCACCAGGTGGGACCAGGTCACACCATTCTGGAAAGGCCCATGAAGGTGACCAACAGTTACTGGTGGAGTAGGGATGGGGGACGCACCTGCGTGAGAATGAGGGCAGCCCACTTGGGCTTTTGCACCCTCTCCTCTCTCCATCCTGCCCCCACCACCCAGCCCGGTTTCCCTCCTGTGTTACAGGAACCCCTGGAATGGGTCCTGGCCCTGCCACTGGCCCCATATCCCCTATTCAGGGCTTCCTGAGGACTCTTGCACCTGCCCTGGTCCTCCAGACCTGCTCCCACGGCCCTGACACACCTCCTGCTGTCACCAAAACCCAGCGTCTCTGGGGCCCACCCCATGGCTTTGTCCAGGGCACAGCCAAGCAGATAGTTTCCATGTCCCTGACTTCTACCACCCTGGCCCTCTGGGACTTTCATTTCCAAGAGATGGAGGAGTCCATGGAACAATCCCAGCCCCAGGGTGGATTCCTGCGAGGCTGACCAGCTGAGCCAGGACGGAGCGCAGATGTCCAGTCTTGTCCCCAGCCAGGTTTGGGGATCAGGGAGACAGGAAGAACTGGGCCTGGGACTCGGCTCCAGCCTTACCCATCTGAGGGGCACTCAGATGGCCGGCGTAGACCAGCAGCGGCAAAGAGCTTTAGATGGAAAGGTGAACTCTGGCCAGGTGGTAGCTTCCGACAGCCCTGTGTCAAGAAGGATTCTGAGGCTCCCTCGGGGCTCCAAGGCACAGAGAGGGGTGCTGTCTGCAGAGGCACCGTGCCTGGTCTGGCAGAGCCCCACCCTGCCCCTGTCTGTGCCCTTCGGGAAGTCCTTGCCAGGGTGGAGTAGAGGACAGCAGTGGGCGAGGCAGACGATGCTCTTCTAGAGCCTCTGCAGCAGGTCCTGGTGTGGGGGCTACTTGGTGGTGGACGGAGGAGCCCTCAGCTCTCCAAGGACCCCCCGCAGCCCTGGGGGGTGCACAGAGCTTTGGGGCACTACTGCCCCACACTGGCTGTCAGGATACGGCCCCTCCACAGTGGATGGCTGGGACAGGGACTACACACACCCACTCTCCCTCCTATCCCCTCCTGGCTCCCAGCACCATGGAGGCGGCTGGACTTTCACAAAAACCCAAGGACATTGAGAGGAAACAGAGGCAAAAGCACGACCAGTCAGGCGCCCAAGAACTGACTTCAGAGCCCCGATCACAACTACACACTCTGAGCACCCACATCCGAGTCTGGCCTTTGGGCTGGGCCAGGCCAAGCAGAAATCCTCTTTCTCAAATGAGACCAGGCACAGACCCCAGAGGGCTTAGGAGCAGCCCACACACTCATCACCACAGAGTCACCATTAACTAGCAAAACCATTAATTAGCAAAGAACAAGCATTAGAAGTCGATTCCAGTTGAGGCTGCATCAACAGGAGTACAGGGTCTGGAACGTGGGAACACAGAAGCGCATCCTCCCTTGCTAGTGAACACCTGGGGAATTGTATCTGGCAAGGGACACGTTCTGTATGGGGACCACAGTCATCCTGGGGAAGGTTCTGGAGTTGGATGCAGGGTAGCAAGGGCTTGGCAATTCAAACTACTTGGGAACAGAAGGGGAACTGTGGCTGTTAGCAGACGGCGAGCTGCCTCCCAGAAAGTGACGGCCCTCTGCAGCCACTGACGAGCAGAAGGTCCAGATGACTGCCGAGGACGGACCCAGGACTGGCGGGGGACCCAGCACACTGCCCAGAACCGAGAGGCTTCTGGTCAGGGACACGGGTGTCTACTTAGGTTCTCGTCATTGGATTCTTAGTGCTCTGTGCTGTCTGTTTGCTTCTCCCAGTCTGGAAGCTTTTAGGGTAGATATGTATTTACACTGAGAGCGTGAGGATTTCACCACGATGCACACCAGGCTGGATTTTCACTCAGTTACTGTGCTGGGAACATGGTGTGCTCTTCCAGTCGGAGGACCGCAGCTGTCTGGGCTTGATTCCCTTCTTGGATAATTTCCTCCACCCGTGAGCCAGAGTTTGGAGTTCTTAGACCGACCTTCTGTTCCTTATTGATTCATTTTTCGTTTCCTTTTGTCCATCTCTTTGACCTTTTGTTCTGCCTTCAGGGGATACCATCTCATCTTTATTTTCCAAGTGTTTTACTAAATTTTTATTCCAGTGATTATTCAAGAGTCCTTTCTTGGTTTTTGGTCATTCCTTTTTATTTATTTATTTATTATTTTTTGAGACGAGGTCTCACTCTTGTCACCCAGTCTGGAGTGCAATGGCACGATCTCGGCTCACCACAGCCTCCGCTTCCCGGGTTCAAGCAATTCTCCCACCTCAGCCTCCCAAGTAGCTGAGATTACAGGCGCCCACCACCACAACTGGCTATTTTTAGCCTTTTTAGTAGAGACAGTGTTTCCCCATGTTGCCCAGGCTAGTCTTGAACTGTTGACCTCAAGTGATCCTCCTGCCTCGGCCTCCCAAAGTGCTGGGATTACAGGCGTGAGCCACCGCGCCCAGACTGGTCATTCCTTTTTAAAAATACTATCCTGTTCTCACTTTGTGATGCCCCGTCTTCTCAGGTCTCTCTGGGGACGTCACTTGTGGTTGGCTTTTTATTTCATTTTTAAACAACTGTATAGGGGTATAACTTCTGCACAGTAAGCTGAACTGAAGGTGCACAGCGTGATACGTTGGACCAACGCCTCCGCCCATCGCCTGTCACCGCGCTGTTGTCCCCAGAGCTCCCCCTGCCCTGTGGCCCCTCCACTGGTTGGCTGCATCCCCCACTTTGCATTTTCTGGGGCTCCACATGGATGGGGCCTGCGATGTGTGCGCACTCTGCAGTGTCCTCCCCGGCGGGGTGACTTCGGAGCCCGTCCAAACAGCCGCACTCTGCTTCCTTCATTTCATTGCTGGGTGGGTTCCGCTGACACGTGTTTTCAAGTCCCCTCTGCTCCCCATGATCTCTGTCTCCTCTGATTTCCTCGTTTTCCTTTGTTCTGATTCCTTCCTTCCTTCCTTCCCTCCCTCCCTCCTTCCTTCCTTGACCTACCTTCCTTCCTTCCTTCCTTCCCTCCCTCCCTCCTTCCCTGACCTACCTTCCTTCCTTCCTTCCTTCCCTCCCTCCTTCCTTCCCTCCTTCCCTGACCTACCTTCCTTCCTTCCTTCCTTCCTTCCCTCCCTCCCTCCTTCCTTCCTTGACCTTCCTTCCTTCCTTCCTTCCTTCCCTCCTTCCCTGACCTACCTTCCTTCCTTCCTTCCTTCCCTCCCTCCTTCCTTGACCTTCCTTTCTTCCTTCCTTCCTTCCTTCCCTCCCTCCCTCCTTCCTTCCCTGACCTACCTTCCTTCCTTCCTTCCTTCCCTCCCTCCTTCCTTCCTTCCTTGACCTACCTTCCTTCCTTCCTTCCTTCCCTCCCTCCCTCCTTCCTTCCTTGACCTACCTTCCTTCCTTCCTTCCTTCCCTCCCTCCTTCCTTCCCTGACCTACCTTCCTTCCTTCCTTCCTTCCTTCCCTCCCTCCTTCCTTCCCTGACCTACCTTCCTTCCTTCCTTCCTTCCTTCCCTCCCTCTCTCCTTCCTTCCCTGACCTACCTTCCTTCCTTCCTTCCTTCCTTCCCTCCCTCCTTCCTTCCCTGACCTACCTTCCTTCCTTCCTTCCTTCCCTCCCTCCTTCCTTCCCTGACCTACCTTCCTTCCTTCCTTCCTTCCCTCCCTCCCTCCTTCCCTGACCTACCTACCTTCCTTCCTTCCTTCCTTCCCTCCCTCCCTCCTTCCCTGACCTACCTTCCTTCCTTCCTTCCTTCCTTCCCTCCTTCCTTGACCTACCTACCTTCCTTCCTTCCTTCCCTCCCTCCCTCCTTCCTTCCCTGACCTACCTTCCTTCCTTCCTTCCTTCCTTCCCTCCCTCCCTCCTTCCTTCCTTGACCTTCCTTCCTTCCTTCCTTCCCTCCCTCCCTCCTTCCTTCCCTGACCTACCTTCCTTCCTTCCCTCCCTCCCTCCCTCCTTCCTTCCCTGACCGTCCTTCCTTGCTGAAGGTGCTCAGGCAGCTCCTTCCATCCCCGGCCATCCAGGCTCCGGCGGTCCAGGAGAGAGCTGCAGTCAGCCTGGGCAGCCAGGAGGTGGCGTCGGTCATGGGGCGAGGGGGCAGCTGGCCGGGCTGCCAGCGTCTGTGCGCCTTTCCTGTGGAACAGTTTAGTTTCTTCGTGAAGGTTCTTCTTGTTCCTGCTAGGGGTGGAGCCTGGCTGCAGGTGGTCTGAGGGAGAAGCGGGTCTGGGTAGAGGGAGCCTCGGTACTGACCGTGGGCAGGCGTCTCACCGAAGCTCCTACACGCTCGGTCGGGGCCCAGTGGCACCCCGAAGCTCCTACACGCTCGGTCGGGGCCCAGTGGCACCCCGAAGCTCCTACACGCTCGGTCGGGGCCCAGTGGCACCCCGAAGCTCCTACACGCTCGGTCGGGGCCCAGTGGCACCCCGAAGCTCCTACACGCTCGGTCGGGGCCCAGTGGCACCCCGAAGCTCCTACACGCTCGGTCGGGGCCCAGTGGCACCCCGAAGCTCCTACACGCTCGGTCGGGGCCCAGTGGCACCCCGAAGCTCCTACACGCTCGGTCGGGGCCCAGTGGCACCCCGAAGCTCCTACACGCTCGGTCGGGGCCCAGTGGCACCCCGAAGCTCCTACACGCTCGGTCGGGGCCCAGTGGCACCCCGAAGCTCCTACACGCTCGGTCGGGGCCCAGTGGCACCCCGAAGCTCCTACACGCTCGGTCGGGGCCCAGTGGCACCCCGAAGCTCCTACACGCTCGGTCGGGGCCCAGTGGCACCCCGAAGCTCCTACACGCTCGGTCGGGGCCCAGTGGCACCCCGAAGCTCCTACACACTAGGTGTCCCTAGTGTCCCCGCTGTCCCCACCATCTGCAGGCCTGTGGAATTTTTCCTAGGAATACATCTCCAGTCTTCTGTGTGGGAGAGCGTATCATCAGGGCTCAGTGCAGGGAAAAGAATCTTCCTCAAGCACAATGAGAGTAAGACCTGAGACGCTTGGGAGGCCTGGGAAAGGAATATGGGGGCTCTGAGGGGGGTTGTGGCCTCCAGGTCAGCCCAGCGCAGCTGCAGGGCCTTGCCTGGCCCAAGCGGGCCCTGCTGTGAGGGAGGGCGGCGGAGTGCAGCGTCTAGCACCCAGGACGCCAGTGCAACGCGGGGCTGTCTCCCCAGAGCAGCCATCTAGACGACGGCACGCAAGGCCCGACCTCGCTGGAGCCCGCACGGAGAAGCCACGCGTGGGGCCCTCACCTGGCCCTGGGGAAGGTCAGCCCCCACCTCCCCACCCACGTCCCGGCCCCACGAGCAAGGAGGTCTGGGGAACATCAGGCTTCCAGACCTTGCCACCCAGAGAGCTTAGGAGAGGGCAGAGATGGGCACCGGTGGTCAGGAGACCCTCTCGGGGGTGGAGGAGGTGCCACGGGCCCTGCTCTCAGAGCCCCTCCTATGCCCTCTGGCTGTCAGATGGACTTGTTCCTGACCGGGCCCACCGGTGCCAGCCTGCGGCATCACCCACGCCCCTCCGCCCCCATGGCTCACAGGAGGGCGTGCGTCTTCCTGACATCCCCGGACCTCCCGAGGTTTCCACCAGCAGAGGGAGGGGGCGCCGCTCTCCTCACCTCCTGTCTCCTGGAGGCCAGCCTGGCTGGGGTCTCCAGGCGAGTCCTGCTGCTGCACTGTGGCTGCTGGCCAGGTGAGCAGACCCTCAGGCCCTCTCGGCCCAGCACTGAGCCACCCTCCCACCTGCCGCCCCCCAGGGGGCTGCCGCCTCTGGGACTGGAGTTTGCATGCAGGGGTTTCACCAGGTGTTCTTGGGAACACCACGCGAAAAAGGGCAGGCGAGGCAGTGACTTCACTGTGACCCCAGGATGCTCTGGAGCTGAGATGACCCTCAGAGCTGACCACCCTGGGATAGTCTCTGGACACAGCTGCCTCCGCTGAACCGCATCACCAAAGGTGATGCGCGGAGGGGTCTTCGGTCATGAGCAGGCCAGTGAGCCGTGTGTGCCTCAGTCCTGAGGGGTCTCTGTGCAGCATACCACAGAGGCTGCCACACCCTCCCCAACCCTGCCAGGCCCAGGAACCTGCCCCCCACCAGCTGCAGCTGCCAGGACCGTGTGTTCAGGCCACATGCAGTCAGCCCTCCCTGAAAGCCCTCTTTGGACCCCGAGGCCCAGGGCAGGTCTGGCTTATTGGCTCAGACTCCAGTGTCCAGCAGGGAGGGAGAGTGGGGGCTGCTGGCTGAGGGTCTACAGGTTCTCCTGAAGGGCAGCTGGCCTGCTGTCCCTGGAACTCCCCAGCCAGCCCAGATGCATGCAGGTCGGGGAGGGCGGCCCTGCAGCCTGCACACCCCACAGTCTCCCCACTCCGCCCACCTGCCTTTCTGCCTTCCTTTTGCTCCACACATTGCCCATCACCCGGATTCTCCTTAAGAAATGAAAACCTGAAACCAGTCCAACAAGCAAACAGCCCTCCAGCTCGTCAAGCCAGGTGGCAGAGGGGCGGCGGGGGGGTGCCTGACTCCTCTTTGGCCAGGCCGTGCCCTGACGGCCCCAGTACCCTCAGCCCCCAGCCCTCTCTGTCTCCTGTCTGACCACTCACTCCTCTGTTGCTGGCCAGGTCCTGGGGATTCTGCAGAATTCCCACCCCACTTAGGAGCTGTTCCTGGGAGGGTGGTGCAGCAGAGAGGCCACGCACCCCGCCCTGCTTACCCTGGGGAAGCTTCCTCTCTGTGCCTCACCTTCTTCATCTGCAGAAGGGTGCGTGGCCGGTGCGACGGGCCATGGCGAGCATTTCCAGGCTCAGAGCTGCACACGGTGGGTGGCGGAGATCATCTGTTCCATTCTTTCATGGACGGGGGCTCCAGCTGAGCTTTAGTTTAATGAAGATTCCCACAGTGAGAGGTCTGAACACCGCTGTCCTCACGGGTGGAAGCAGAGCTGCTTTCAAGCCACTCCCACCACGTACCACTTCTGGCCTTCGATCTCTAGGTGCTGGGCAGACCAAGCCATCCGCCATCCCTACATCTATCGGGCTGCCCACTTATCGGACCAACTCAACCCTCAAGCCTCAGCCTGGTAACACCTCCTCCTAGGAAGCCCTCTCCAGGCTCAGACAGGTCTGGTGCCTCCCATGGTCCTCACACTCAAGGCTGGCTGAGCTGAGTGGCCCAATCTCCTGTCCGTGACCCCCGTGTCTTGATTCCTCAGAGGAACGGCTAGAGAGGGGCTGGGAGCCAACCCCAAGGTCCCCTGCCTCCCCCAACAGCGGCCGTGGGTTTCGGGATCCATTTACTCCTGCTCTGAGGATCTGGCATGACTGAGCTGTGGGATTAGCGCAGATGCTTCCCTAACAACCGGGCAGTGGGTTCCGGAGAGAAGCCCAGGCAGGAGGCAGTCCCGAGGGACTCTTGCTGGCTGCAGGGCTTCGAAATATGCTGGGGATGCCTGAGGCGAGGGAGCAGGGTGGGTGTTCTCGACAGCCTCTGGTGAGCCTGGGTGAGGGGAGTAAGGAGTTGGGGGAGGCCCAGGCTCAATGCCCTGCCCCACTCTTCCCCCAGGCGCACCAGCCCCTGCACTGTTTGCAGATCTCCTCCCTCTCTTCCTTCCTCTCTCCTCCCCTCCCCTCCCCTCTTCTCTCCTCTCCCCTTCTTTCCCCTCCTCCTGTCCCAGCCTCTACAATCCTGCCCAGAGCATCAGCGGAGCATCCCACCCTCAGGGCACAGACATGGGCCCCTTTCAGCCTCCCCAGCTACACAGGAAGATGTTGGAGGTCAGGGACCTTCTGGCCTCTGCAACCCTCATCCCAGCCGTGGTCCTGAGGACATGGGAACCCACACTGCCTGTCAGAATCAGCCTGTGCAAGGCTGTCTCACACGGGGAGCCAGTCGTCTCTGTGGCTTTGTGGCCAGGGGAGTCTCCACTTGCCCCAGACAGCAGGGGTCACCCCAGAGCCTTGCCGTGGGGGATGGGGAGAGCCAGCCCCTGTCTGGGTTTCAACAGTGCTGTGGGTGGGACTGGGGATGGTGGTCGGCCCGAGTCAGCCACAGCCGTCCTTGCCTTCTGCTTCCATGTCCTGTTTGGGCTGGAGGTCAGCCTGGCTCATGGTTCCCAAGCCTTTGGGAGACATTCCCCTGAGCACCTGACCCCTCTGCCCCGAGCCTCTTGCCTGCTGCTCACCTGGAGAGAGGGAAGGAGCCTCCTGCCCTACATTCTCAGCCATGCTGGGGAGAGGTGTCTCTCAGCCCCTGGCTCTGCTCCCCTGGGGTGGTGGCCAGGAGAATCGCAGGGTCTGACTTAGGAAGGAGCCGTAGCCTGGACTTGCCACTGGAGCCCACCTCAGAATTGGGGCCCCAGCACCAGGCCCTAAGGACTGGGGCTTCCAGGCCACACTCAGGCCTGGAGATGGGGCTCAGCCACCTGATATCATGGCTGGGCGCAGCTTCCCTGCTGGGAGCGCAGCCTGGGTGGCAGAGTGGGCGGGCGATTCCCACCTCCCAGCTCCAAGGGGGCGGCGGGCATCCTGGGGTGGCTCCCAGGCGAGGGATGACTGCTTGCCTGGACCCTCCCTTCAGGTGATCTGCGAGTCAGCTTCCAATGTTTCTCCAGTCTCAGCCCTGTGGGAACTGCTGGGGCTGTAGGCCTTGGTCCCTGTCTTTGTCGCTGTCCAAACATTAGACTAATATTGCCCCAAATCGTCACTAATTCATAGCCAAAATATCGCAGCAGCTCCATATTAGACTTCAAATAAGTAGTCCGAGGGTCTGGAGGGTCCCAGGAATAGCCCGCTGCCCATCGGAATGACGCGGCACTGTCTTCGGGATCTGGACGTGAGAGGGGATGGGATGCATGGCCACCATGCCATGTGACAGTGATGCCTTCGACAGAACTGTCACCTGTATGGATGCCCACCTGCCAAAGCCTGCCAGGAAGGCACCTGCCAACAGCCAGTGCCAGGTTTCTTGCCTGCTGGAGCTAAAGGTTGCCTGCACGTCTTGGGAAATGCTGTGCAATGAGCCCTCTAGGTGGAGAAGGGCAGGAGCACTCGTTACAGGAGTGGGCTTGTGTTGGGTGACAGGGCAGGCTCTGAAGAAGCAGACATTGGCTCTGGATTGGGTGTGTCAGGGATGGGCGGTGGTGACAGGTATGTGTCATCTTTGATGGGCAGGCGGCACAAAGCCAGGCTGGAGCTGTCTCTGGACAACAAAAAACAGTCCCTCACCTGGGCCAGGGCTGTTTCTGCAGGTACCTGATGGTGTCTTTCGCTTTGTTTCCTCACAGACGCAGGCTCCTGGTGCTGTCTTCCTGTGACGTTGTCTTCCTGTGACGTTGTCTTCCTGTGACGTTGTCTTCCTGTGACGTTGTCTTCCTGTGACGTTGTCTGTAGCCAGCAGGAGACACGACGGCACGGTGGCGTGCCCGGCTTCGGGCTGGGTGTCCTGGGCGTCCAGGCAAGTGAAGGCTCTTTTCTTCTGGTTGTGCCCCCTTCTGCCAGGGCAGCTGCAAGTAGACAGAGAACACACACCAGTGATGTCAGAGCTGCCCTTTGTCGAACTTCTGCTTTTTCCCAAGGTCTCCTGCAGAAGGTTGTCCATAGCTGGACTGGAGCTGTGCAGCTGGCTCCTTTGCAGCAGGATGCAACACGGAATCTTTTCACCAGACACCCGCGGGGTGGGCGCTCACCAGAAACAAAACCGCCCTGGTGCTTGCTGGGCCACGAGGCCGGGGGTCTGCGTTGGCGGCCGGCAGCCTCTTCTGTAAAGGGCCGGTCGGTGAACGTCTCCAGCCCCCTCAGCGAGGAGACCACGCTGTCGGCGGAGGGTGAAGGCAGCCGCAGACAGCGGAGGATGACACGGACAAAGGCCAGGCTGAGCTCCCGTGACCCTGTTTACAGAAATAGGCAGTGGCCCATCTGGTTGTAGTTTGAGACCCCGGCTCTGTGTGTCCCAACCCAGGAGGGGCTGCCTTGGAGGCTCTTCCCGGCTGCCCTGCATGAGCTGTAGTGTTCATGGAAGCGCGGGAAGAATCTTTGGCCAAAGCCCCGGCTCCCCCTTGGCTCCAGGAAGAGGCAGCCGGAGCCCTGCGCGTGTCCCTGACACCTCGGACCAGGGAGTGGAGGAGGGAGAGTGGCTGGGCTTCCAGGGCAGAAGCAGCACCCCCAGAAGAGGTGGCCCATGAGGAGCACGGGGGGCTTTGGGGTGCGTGGTTCCTCTCGGAGCCAGCGGCCCCTGGTCCCGAGCGAGTGTCCTCTGAGCGGAGGCTCGGGCCCCTGCCCTGGGCGCACTCAATGCCCCGCCCGCTGGTACCCTGAGCAGAGCAGCTGCCGGTGGCGGCGCGGGGCCTCCTGTCACACCCCCTCTGCATGAGCTGGGCTTCGTTGATGGAGCTGGAAGCTTCGCAGTAGCGGAATTTGTTCGTACAGGACCAAGCCCAGCTTTTCTAAGGGCTGGGGTGAAAATAGGAGGGCAATTTAAGTGCCGTTCGAGTTGTGGAAAGGATTAGCTGCTGAGCGTCAGGCAGCAGGCTCCGCGTACGGTCCTGGGCAAGGCCAGCAACGCAGCAGGGGCAGGAAGCTCCGGGCCGGGAACAAACAGGACACGCGCTCTGGCATCTCGGGGGGAAGTCGGCCTGGAATGGGGCAATAGGGGGGTTGGGATGAACTGGAAGGCAGAGAGGGGCTCTGAATTACTGGCGGTGAAAGCCCTGTGTCCGCCCCCTCAGAGGCAAGCATCCCTGTAGGACCATCTGGGGTCCTTGTGAAGCAGGCCTGTGCCCCCACAGGTGATGTGACTTTCGTCTCTGCTAGTGACAAGCTCTGACAGCGCTTGAAGACTGGAGGGAAGTGGACATTGGCGACTGAGTCCAAGTCACACAGCAGCCCCACTGACGCAGCTTTGAGAGCCGTGGCTGCCTGTGCCCCTGCACACGCTGGAGTCTCCAGGCCAGTGCCCACTCTGCCCTGAAGGAAGCAGAATTGTCAGCTCCAGCTGTCACGGGTGTGGCCAGGCAGTGGCTTGGGGCAGAGGTGGCCAGAGAGGGGGTGGGGGTGACAGTTTAACCTCTGAGGTCCTTTCCACACCCAAGACCAGACATAGGAAGCGGGAGGTGAAGGCCACATAACAGGGAGGGTTGTCAGGGATCCTGGAAAGTCTTTGTCACTGTTGTTTTGCCTGGGGCAGGACAGGCTGAAGAGGGGCAGGTGTGACCTGTGAACTCTGCTCAGGGCCCCTGGGCACCTGTTGTGTTAAGGTTAGGGGGGCCTCCCAGCAGAACATCCCAGGGAGATTCACTGGAGGAGAACGGGCCCCACGCCCTTGGGGTCGCAACTGAGTTCAGGGTCCCTGCTGGATGTCCAGTGGCCTGTCCCAACTCTAGGCACCCCCTAAAGCATGCTCTGGGACACCCTGGTCCTGAGAGATGATAGGGTGAGCGGCCTGGGAGAGGAGAGGCACTTTGGGGAAACAAATCTGGGCAGCTGGTTTGCCTGGGGAAGACAGTGAATGGGGCTGGCTTCCAGAGGTACTCAGAAGCCGGTACTGTGGCACCAGGTTTAAGAAAAGACAAGCTTTGCTGTGGGTCAGCAACAAGGAGACAGGATGCAGCTCACATCCATCTCCCCTTCCTGGCCTTAAGGCAGTGCCGTCATTAGGAAAGGTCTGGGGTGGGTTCTGGGATTAGCGGGTGATTGCCGGAGGGAAAGGGGAGGTCTGAAATGTCCCCTGGGCATGTGCAGCTGTGTCTTCGTGCCTCTGCAGGGTCACATGTGCTGATTCAGGGGCAGTGAGTATGAACGTGAGGTGGAAATTTGGGCCGTGATGTCAGCAAGCTGCTGCCCACTCCAGCCGGCCCTTTGGGTCCCCAGGATCTCAGGCAGTTTTATTCTCACAAGGAGGGAATTTCCAGCACGCTGCTGCTGTTCTTACCTGCCGTCATGTGAGCTCAGGAATCCCCGCTGTCAGTCACCGGTCTTTTTAACCCTTCGGGGCACGGTGTCACCTCCCCTCCCCGGCCCCAGCTGCTTCTCCTCCAGAGCTGGATTCAGGACTGAAGGAGGGAGGGAGGCAGCACCGAGGCCAGGTCTCCCACAGGCAATCCCCAGCACCCGCGATGGATGGACGAGGGAAGGATGTTTTGTGGAAACGGTATTTCCCAAACATTCCTAAAAATCAAGTTTTAGTGAGTTGAACATAACTGGTCTTCTAACTACTGTATATTCATCTCTGGGTCCATAGAAGAGAACAGTGTTTCTGCATCTCCCCAGATGTGAGACGGCTCCTATAAAACCCTCACCGAACTTCCCTGGTGCAGGGTCTTAAAAGGCGGCCACACCCAAATAATGTCCTTCCCTTGTCAGAACAGAAGGAAAGGAAACAGTGCCCCCAGGAAATTCACTTCCAAATGAGCTTCGTGTAGAAATCACTACCCCAAGAACTAGAATTCCGTCCAGCTTCAATAGGACCAATTGTGTAATCAACTCACCACCACAGTGGAACCAAAGGAGAGGGCAGGACAGGCTGAAGAGGGGCGGGTTTGACCCCCGTACTCTGCTTAGGGCCCCCAGGCCCCTGTTGTGTTAAGATTAGGATGGCCTCCGAGCAGAACATCCCAGGAAGATTAACTGGAGGAGAAAGAGGCCCCCAGCTGCTTCTCCTCCATGTGAGGAAGATACATATTAGCTCCAACAGGAGGTCCAATATTAGCTCACAAGAGAGGGAAAATGGGTTTCTGACTCACTGAAACTTGCGATTTGGGAAAAAGATCAATGAGAGGGCAGGGGATGAAGGACCTCTGGTTCCTGGATGAAGAGACTTATTAAATAACAATGACACAAATATGCTTCTTGCAGTATTCGGAAATCAAATAATGTGGAAATGGTTTACTAAGATTCACATTTACATAATGTACATTTATAAAACACTACCCTAAAAATTACATTAGGTCTCCATTTGAGATATTGTGTAACCATTTCATAATAACAAAAAAAAAAATAAAAGAGAAAAACATGGAAATTATTTTAGAAGACAAAGTTCTTGCTGTGTTTCTGGATAACTTTATTACACTAATTAACAACAACAAGATAATGTAATTACACTTCCCACTAGTGGGAGGGCATGAAAGCCCTTAATCACTGGGAGTCATGTTTGAGGAACCTGCAGGACATTATAGAAGAATTATAATCTGTTAGATTTCCACTTAAGTCGCTGAATGATCACTCAATAGCCACAAAACTAACAGAGAAAAAAATCAGCATCGCTTTAGTAGAGAGCAAAGCGTCTTGCGGTGGTTCTGGGTCTTTGGAAGTGGGCTCACCGGAAAGTGGGGTCACTCGGAGGCGAGACACTTCTGCTGTCAGGCTGTGTGGACAGCTCTTGGTGTAGGCACATTTCTCTGCTCTTCAGTGGAGGAGATTCTGGGCCAGGGCACCCTCACAGGGGAAGACTCCTAGCAGTGTCTTCCTCCCTTTCTGGAATCTGGAAAAGGACAGAGTCCTCTTCCTAGGAGCTGCACCCCAGAACCCTTAGGACCCTCTAATATGTGGCAAGGGGATGAGGAGAGGATGGAGCTGGGTCAGCAGCACCCTTTCCTGTGGGAGGGTTGGATCAAGGCAGCCAAACTGTAGGTGGTTCCGGGAACACAGGATCCACAGCCTGAGTTCTGGTGCCTGGCCTCTGGGGTGGGCCCACGTGAGGCTCTGGCTCCTGGGCCTGGGATGTGTGGTCCACCCTGGGCCCTGGAACCCAGACCTCACCTGCCACAGCCAGGTGCTCCTGCTCCTCAGGCTTCCATCACCGCGAGGGGCCTCTGGCAGATGCACCCCATGCAGCATCAGGGACATGAGGATGCTCTGGGAATCCTAAACTCCTTCTTCCATAATTTTTATCTCACACGTTGTGCGGTAAAGAATTTAACCTTATCCAAAAAGATGTCTAGCCCTTCCCTTGGCTTCTGGAAGGTCATGTCTAAGCCCTTAGAATGTCATGACTGATAGGAGTGTCTTTGTTTACCTTTGTTTGCCTTGGATAATGCCAGATAGTCTAACAAGGTGATTTAGGGTGGTGGCGGGCCACACTTGATAGTATTTAGGTGGGGGCTAACCACCAGAAAGACCGACAATGTGATTTAGGGTAGGGGCTTTTGGTCACACATCTCAACCTCCTGAGGGCTGGAGTCTAAGGTCAACTATGTGAGCAATCAGTCAGTCAACCAATCAATCAACCATGCCTACATATTGGAGCCCCAGTAAAAACTCTGGGCAGAGAGCATCAAGTGAGCCTCCCCAGCTGGCCGTGCTGCAGGTGTGTCACCACACGTACATGCCAGGAGAGCAAAACTGGCCTGACCACACAGGGAGAGGACAACAGAAGCCTCTTGTTCTCCTGGATTCTGCCCTGTGTGCAGCTTCCTTGGCTGACTTGAAACTGTGTCCTTCTTCTGTGATAAACTGTAACCACACCTATAACAGCTTTCGGTGAGTTTTATGAGTCTTTCTATCAAATTACAGAACCTGAGGGTGGTGTGGGGTTCCTGGAACTTGTAATTGGTGTCAGAAGTGAGAGTGCTCTTGAGGACTGTTTTCTCTGTCGTCACATTTGGCTAAAGCTCTTGGAGTTGGAGTTGGAATTGGAAGTGAAATTCACTAGAATGACCCTGACTCACTGAAACGTGTGGTTTGGGAAAAGGATCAATGAGAGGGCAGGGGATGAAGGACCTCTGATTTCTGGATGGCCATGGGTCACGTGTGGTATGGAGCTGCAGCCCTGCTGTGGTCAGTTGCAGGAGGTAAAAGTTTCCAACAGAATTTGGAAATGATGGATCCAGATCCCCAGGAACTGGCTGGCCGGATGAATAAGGAAATACAAAGTAACAAAAACCAAGCTACATATGCAATCTCTTGGTTATTGTGTTCCCTAAAAGCTAAAACAAAAGTTAAGAGAGGGTGAAAGTAAAAGAGAGATCCTTCATCCCCTGCCCTCTCATTGCTCCTTTTTCCATACCACATTTTTTAGCGAGTCAGGGACATTCTAGTGAATTCCACTTTCAGCTGCAGGAATTTTATCAAACTGTAAAGGCAGAGAAAACAGTCCTCAAGACCACTCTCATTTCTGACAATTACAATGATAGGCTATTACCACGGAGACACAACAGTAGGCTATTAACTACTAACAGCCCGCTGTTGACCCGAAGCCTTACTGATAACATAAATAATTAACACTTATTTGGTATGTTATAGGTATTATAAATTGTATTCTTCCAATAAAGTAAGCTAGAGAAAATAAACTATTATTAAGAAAATCATAAAGAGGGGAAAATACATTTACAGTACTGTACTGTATTTATCAATATCATTAAGTTTTCTGTCATCTGTTTACAAGATGAATTGTCTCTCTGAAATGGCACAACCGCACCTGCAGACCTCAGTACGTATCCAACAATTCAACTTTTTTCTTGTAATGTCATGACTTTTCTCTGCTTCTTGGGCACTTCCAGCATCACTAGTGGCACTTCATATGGGTCCACTGTGAGTTATTGTTTCTGTAAAAGCTGAAATGAAAGCAAGAGAGAGGTTCTGAGCCTGAGCCAATGGGTAGTGAGGCCGAGGTGGTTGCCTTGGGGCCATGACCGATGGGAAGGTTAGAGGGAAAGGTAAGGAAGATGTTGGGCTGAATCCTGACATTGCACCAATCCTGGGTTCTGGGAGGTCCAAGCTATAGTCGCTGGCCTCAGGGCCAAAGGAAAAAGTTGTGTGGAAACAACAGATTGTGGGGAAATTCAGACTGCTTTGCAAAAGAATGAGGAAAGTCAGGTGGGAGAGTGAAGGAGCCCATCCCAGCAGGTGAACATCCTTCAACAGTTATTAAGAAATGGAAAGAACATGGCCGGGCTCAGTGGCTCATGCCTGTAATCCCAGCACTTTGGGAGGCTGAGGTGGGAGGACCGCTTGAGGCCAGGAGTTTGAGACCAGCCTGGTTACATAGCAAGACCTCATCTCTAATTAAAATAATAATAATAAGCCTGGGCGCGGAGGCTCACGCCTCTAATCCCAGATCAGGAGTTCGTGACCCGCCCGACCAACATGGTGAAACTCCGTCTCTACTAAAAATACAAAAATTATCCAGGTGTGGCGGTGGGAGCCTGTAATCCCAGCTACTCGGGAGGCTGAGGCACAAGTATCACTTGAATCCAGGAGGCGGAGGTTGCAGTGAGCTGAGATCACGCCATTGCACACCAGCCTGGGTGACAAGAGCAAAACTCCATCAAAAAAAAAAAAGAAAGAAAGAAAGAAAGAAAGAAAGACAGACAGACATGGGCAGAGCAAAGCAGACATTAATGGGGTTAAAACAACACTCTTACGGCAGCACTCTCAGAAACTGGAACTGCTGGGAGCTCCTGTGTGCCCCAAACTAAAGGGCCTAAACCTATGTTCATCCAGTTTGGAGAAATAGAAAACATTAGAAGGCAAAGGTGACCATGAGCAAGTTGGCCTCCAGTCACCTAGAGTGATGCTCCTGCAATCCAATCAAGATAAGGGCTTGATTGATGAGAGGGTCAGGCATCCTTTGGCCTGACCCCTGGCTGGGGACCCAATGCTATACACCCATGAGTGGGTAAAATGCTCAGGGGATGGAGAAGAAATGTTTCTGGGACTCCTCAACACGAGAGCCCCATGCACTGAGATTGCTCCATGGTGAGCAGGTCAGTGCAAACCTACCCGCAAAGGCCCCAGGAGCTGAGAGGCCGAAGAAAGAAGCTGACAAATACAGCTTCTCAGAAAGAAATATAGAATAGGGACTTATGTGGCTCACGCCTGTAATCCCAGCACTTCGGGAGGCCGAGGCAGGTGGATCACCAGGTCAGGAGATCGAGACCATCCTGGCTAACACGTGAAACCCTGTCTCTACTAAAAGTACAAAAAATTAACCAGGTGTGGTGGCAGGCACCTGTAGTCCTGGCTGCTCGGGAGGCTGAGGCAGGAGAATGGCGTGAACCCAGGAGGTGGAGCTTGCAGTGAGCCGAGGTTGCGCCACTGCACTCCAGCCCGGGCGACAGAGCGAGACTCCATCTTAAAAAAAAAAAAATAGGGACTTATGAACAGAAGCCACGTCTCAAGGGGCTGTGAGCCACTTGCCCTCCAGAAAGCATCTTTTTTTTTTTTTTTGAGATGGAATCTCCCTCTGTCACCCAGGCTGGAGTGCAGTGGTGCAATCTCAGCTCACTGCAACCTCTGCCTTCTGGGTTCAAGTGATTCTTTTGCCTCAGCCTCCCAAGTAGCTAGGATTACAGGCATGTGCCACCACACCTGGCTAATTTTTGTATTTTTAGTAGACATGGGGTTTCACCATGTTGGCCGGGCTGGTCTCAAACTCCTGACCTCAAGTGATCCGCCTGCCTCAGCCTCTGAAAGTGCTGGGATTACAGGTGTGAGTCACTCACATCAGGCCAGAAAGTATCCTTTATCTAGCAAGCTTGTGTGATAGAACGTGTGCAGCTGGTCATATCTTCGGACATTCTTGCCAAGACGTGTGTCCACTGAGCAGGTTAGATAGACGTCTTTTTGAAGGGTTCTCTCTGCTGCAGGCAATGTCTACAGACCCTACTGCAGAACACCTTGGTATGTGGGGATCAAACACTGGTCATCATGGTGTTTTTGCTTCGAGATAAATACACAGCAACAGGCTGTTCTCCTACTGTGATTCCAAACCTGTTGGTGAAGTCTCTGTAGAAGCTACAGCTGGGGTGGGAGGGTGCAGGAAGCAAAGGTTGATGGGATGAAGGTGAAAGTTCCGATGAATATCGGAATGTTTGAGCAGATTTTATGTGATGTGGTTGCACCTGCTGCACCTGAATGTGTCATGGGGGTAGATACTGCATCTGGCTGGCAGATGCTTCCCTTAGGTCACATGTAAAACAGAAGACAGGTGTATTAGTCCATTCTTACACTGCTGATGAAGACCTACCTGAGACTGGGCAATTTACAAAAGAAAGAGAGGTTTAATGGACTTACAGTTCCACATGGCTGGGGAAGCCTCACAATCCTGGCAGAAGGCAAGGAGGAGCAAGTCATGTTTTACGTGGTTGGCAGCAGGCAAAGACAGAGCTTGTGCAGGGAAACTCCCATTTTTAAAACCATCAGATCTCGTGAGACTCATTCACTATCATAGAAAGACCTGCTGTCATCATTCAATCACCTCCCACCAGGTTCCTCCCATGTCATGTGGGAATTGTGGGAGTTACAATTCAAGATGAGATTTGGGTGGGGACACAGTCAAACCATATCAACCATATCAACAGGTAAATCTACCTTTCAGCCAATATTGGCTGGGCATGCTAAATGGAGCCAATAACGTTGTCTAAGCCCACAGAGGTCATTAATTTGAAACAGTATTAAACAGCTGGTGGACAAAAAGGGCTTACCACTTGAATGAATGCCCTGTTAGAAGCAGGAGTGCAGGCACACATTCTCTGTATGGTCCAGCCCTGTGTGAGGCAGACCAGGACTCACAGTCAAGCCTGTGAGCACCATCCAGCAGTGAGAAGTGCGATTTTGGACTGGAAATTTCTGTTTGAGAGACAATTTGCGGGTTACTGAGCTTTGATTAAGACTGTTCCTATGACTGAAGGACATAAAATAACCCCAGAACCTGAAATACCCAGAATGTCTTAAGCATTGCCAGAGAAACACTCCCATGGAGAGGTCAGTGCCCAAAAGAATTCCGGAATAAAATGGAAATTTTATTTAATTTATGTATTCGGGTACAGGTACATGCTCCTGGGGGAAGGTAGGAGGAGCTCATCACCCCATGAGCAGAGCCTCTTTTCCCCGAGGACGGACGTTGGAATCCTCTGAGGAGCTGCCAGATGCTGTCACCATGAAAACAGTGCCCAACGGATCAGCAGGAAGCTGCTTGGTTTATGGACAGCAGGTTCAGGCAGAATGGGGAGCATCCTGTTTGGAAGGCTGTCCCTCTGTTTTGTTTTGTTTTTTTTGTTTGTGTTTTGAGACAGGGTCTTGCTCTGTCACCCATGCTGGAGTGCAGTGGTGTGATCACTGCTCATTGCAGCCTCAGACTCCCAGGCTTGAGTGATCCTCCTGCCTCAGCCTCCCTAGTAGCTGGGACTACAGGCACCCGCCACCACACCTGGCTAAGTTTTAAAATTTTTTTTTAGAGATGGGGTCTGGCTATGTTGCCCAGGTTGGTCTCAAACTCCTGAGCTCAAGTGATTCTTCCTCCTCTGCCTCCCAAAGTGCTGAGATTACAGGCATGATTCTCTGATTGAAGAAGGAAAAGTCAAACTAGCTCAGTGGGCTGACTTGCATGTGGTTTTCCTGTTTGGGTTTTTACTGACTCATAAGGGGTGGCCGGTGACATGGCCATGTGATTGCAGATAGCCAGTGGAAAACTAGTCTATTAAAGAAAGGGCCCCTTGAAAATCACCGTGGGAGTTTCAGGGGTGCATTAAAGTAGAACATGACAATATCCATCAGAAGAACCCCTTCCAGGATCAGAAGGTGATCGGAACTGGCAAATGGGAGTCCTGGTGCATTCACTTGGGATGGCCACAAGGGCCCATGGAAGCCGTGGATGTGGAGGCTGCAGCGGCGCAGGGAAGGGCTGCGCCTAAACATGTCCTCCCCCTCAACACACCCTCGGAGCCATGAGATGCAACTATCTGCTGATACAGAGACAGAGACTGCAGATGGCTGCAGGGCAGATTTACCTGGAAGCAGAGGGGGGTAAGGGGGAGGCCCTGCACATAGCTGGCAAGTAGAATTGATTCTGTAGCCCCAGAAGCCTACAAATAGGTCCTGAAAGGAACAGACACTGACTCTGGGCTGGGCTTTGCTTGCCCAGTGGTACATGCAAATACACAGAGTGCTGTAAAAGAGCTGGAACAGAAGCTTTCATGCCAGTGTGCACTGCTGAGTTACATTTCTTCACATCAAGAAACACACTCATCTTCAGAGCAATGGCTTGAGAAAGAATTGAAACAGGCAATTGAAACACTGGTTTTCCAAAAAGAAAGAAGCTATAGGCACCAAGGGCTGGTGTGTGCTCACACTGAACATGAGGGGCCAAGGGAGGGTCCCTGCTGGGGAGATTCCTCTGCTTTTCTGGGGAGCTGGGGAGGAGGGGGTCGGGGAGAACTCATATAATTATACAAGTCTTTCCGTGAGGGAAGGATAATGGTACAGTTCTTCTGTTTGCTGCATGCACATGAGTAATTGTCCCTGGTAATTTCTTTGCTCTGAAGGTTCTATCTGTATTAATAGAGCCATGATTACTTGATTTTGTTCATGTTCTCATGGTCTACCTTTCTCCATCCTTTTATCTTCAGCCTAATCATATAATAATTACAGTTGAAATGAGTTTCTGAAACACAGCGTGTATCGGGATCATGTTTTTGTATCCATTCTGCCAATATCTTTAAATTGGTATATTTGTCCATTTACATTTTATGTAAGTACTGATATAACAGGGCTTAATCCTGCCATTTTATTTTCTGTTTACTGTTTTTTCCCTCTGATTTTTAAAATAAACTTCATTTTTAATAGATTTTATTGTTTAGAGCCATTTTAGGTTCACAGAAAAATTGAGCAGAAGATACAGAGATTTCCCATATACTCCCTCCCCCCAACACATGCCTAGCCTCTCCATTGCCCACATCTATCACCAATGTGACATGTTTGTTACAATTAATGAACCTACATTGATATATCATTATCACCCAAAGCCCATGTCTTACATTAAGGGTCATTCTATGTTGTACATTCTATGGGTTTTGACAAATCTACAATGACATGTATTTACTATGACAGTATCATATACAGCATCCTACCTCATGTATTTACTATGACAGTATCATATAGAGCATCCTACCTAAAACTCCTCTGTGCTCCACCTGTTCATCCATCTTCCGCCTTCCCCATCCCTTGGCAACCACTGATCTCTTTACTGTCTCCATAGCTTTGCCTTTTCCAGAATGTCATATATTTGAATCACATAATATATGATTGATTGGCTTCTTTCACTTAGTAATATGCATTTAAGGTTTATCCATGTCTTTTCATGCCTTCATAGCTCATTTCTTTTTAATGCCAATAGTATTTTTTAAAAATTTTTTATTTCCACAGGTTACTGGGGAACAGGTGGTGTTTGGTCACATGAGTAAGTTCTTTAGTGCTGATTTGTGAGATTATGGTGCACCCATCACCCGAGCAGTATACATTGAACCCAATTTGTAGCCTTTTATCCCTCACCCCCTTCCTACCCTTTCCCTCTGAGTCCCCAAAGTCCTTTGAGTCATTCTTATGCCTTTGCATCGTCATAGCTTAGCTCCAACTTTTGAGTGAGAACACAGAATGTCTGGTTTTCCATTCCTGAGTTACTTCACTTAGAATAATAGTCTCCAATCTCATCCAGGCCACTGCGAATGCCATTAATTCATCCCTTTTTATGGCTGAGTAGTATTCCATCCATATATATATATATATTTCACAGTTTCTTTAACCACTCAATTGATGGGCATTTGGGTTGGTTCCACGTTTTTGCAATTGCGAATTGTGCTGCTATAAACATGCGTGTGCAAATATCTTTTTCGTATAATGACTTCATTTCTTCAATGTGATACCATCTTACTCCTGCAAGAATGGCCATAATAAAAAATCCAAAAATAATAGATGCTGGTGTGGATGTGGTGAAGAGGGAACACTTCTACACCGCTGGTGGGAATGTAAACTAGGTCAACCATTATGGAAAACAGTGTGGAGATTCTTTAAAGAACTAAAAGTAGAACCACCATTTGATCCAGCAATCCCACTACTGGATATCTACCCAGGTTTGTTCTTTTTGCTTAATCTTGCTTAAGGTCAATCTTATTTTCATTGTCTGAATTTATGCATTCACTTACTGAAGGACATCTTGATTGCTTCCAAGTTTTGGCATTTATGAATAAAGCTGTTATAAACGTCTGTTTGCAGGTTTTTGTGTGGACATGAGATTTCAAGTCCTTTGGATAAATACCAAGGTACATGATTGCTGCATCATATGGTAAGAGTATATTTAGTTTCGTAAGAAAGTGCCAAGCTGTCTTCCAAAGTGGCTGTGTCATTGTGTATTCCTACCAGCAGTGAATGAGCCTTCTTGTCGCTCTGCATCCTCACCAGCGTTTGGTGTTGTCAGTGTTCTGGATTTTGACCATTCTAATAAGTGTGTAGTGGCATGTTGTTGTTTTAAGTTTCATTTCCCTGATGACATGTGATGTGGAGCATCTTTTCGTATGCTTATTTACTGTCTGCTTATCTTCTTTGCTGAGGTATCTGTTAAGGTCTTTGACCCATCTTTTAATTGGGTCGTTTGTTTTCTTATTTTCGAGTTTTAGGAGTTCTTTGTATATTTTGGATGAGAGTCCTTTATCAGATACATCATTTGCAAAGACATGTCATTCCTTGTCTGTGGCTTGCATTTCCATTCTCTTGACAATGTCTCTTATAGAGCAGAAATATTTAATTTCAGCAAAGTCTAACTTACCTTTTCTTTCTTTCATGGCTATTGTCTTTGGTGTTGTGTCTAAAAAGTCATCACCAAACCCAAGATCCTCTAGAATTTCTCCTATGTTAGTTTCTAAGGGTCTACAGTTTTGTGTTTTACATTTAAGGATGTTATCCATTTTCAGTTTATTTTTGTGAAAAGTGTAAAGTCTGTCTAGATTCTTTTTTTTTTACACATGGATGTCCAGTTGTTCCGGTATCATTTGTTGAAGGGATTATCTTTTTGTTACTGTATTTCCTTTGCTCCTTTGTCAAAGATCCATTGACTATATTTATGTGCTTCTATTACGGGCCTCTATTCTGTTCCATTCATCTTTTGTCTATTTGTTCACCAGTACCACGCTGCCTTGATTACTGTAGCTTCATAGTGAGTCTTGAAGTCAAGTAAGTTCTCCGGCTTTGTTCTTCTCCTTCAGTATTGTATTAATACTCTGAGTCCTTTGCCTCTCCACATAAACTTTATTTATTTATTTATTTATTTATTTATTTATTTATTTTTGAGACGGAGTCTCACTCTGTCGTCCAGGCTGGAGTGCACTGGTGCAATCTCAGCTCACTGCTACTTCCGCCTCCCGGGTTCAAGCAATTCTCCTGTCTTAGCCTCCTCAGCACCACCACACCTGGCTAATTTTTTTGTATTTTAGTAGAGATGCAGTTTCACCATGTTGGCCAGGCTGGTCTCGAATTCCTAACCTCAAGCGATCTGCCCGCCTTGGCCTCCCAATTGCTGGGATTACAGGCGTGAGCCACCGTGCCTGGCCTCCACAGAAACTTTAGAATTTATTTGTTGATATCCACAAAATTACTTGCTGGGATTTTGATTGGGGTTGTACTGAATCTATACATCAAGTTGAGAAGAAGTGACATCTTAATAATATTGAGGCTTCCTGTCCATGAGCGTGAAGTATCTCTCCATTTCTTTAGTTTTTAAAAAATTATTTCATGAGAGTTTTGTAGTTTTCATCATATAGGTCATATACATATTTTGTTAGCTTTATAACTAAGTATTTAATTTTTGAGGGATGCTGAAGTAAATGGTAATATGTCTTTAATTTCACATTCCACTTGTCCATTGCTGGTATATAGAAGAGCAATTGACTTTTGTATTTTTTTTTTTTTTTTGAGATGGAGTCTTGCTCTGTCACCCAGGCTGGAGTGCAGCGGCACAATCTCAGCTCACTGCAAGCTCCACCTCCTGGGTTCACACCATTCTTCTGCCTCAGCCTCCTGAGTAGCTGGGACTACTACCACACTCGACTAATTTTTTTTTACTTTTAGTAGAGATGGGGTTTCACCGTGTTAGCCAGGATGGTCTTGATCTCCTGACCTCATGATCTGCCCGCCTCGGCCTCCCAAAGTGCTGGGATTACAGGCATGAGCCACCGCGCCCGGCCAACTTTTGTATGTTAATGTTGTATCCTGCAACCTTGCTGTAATCACCTGTATTAGTCAGTTCTTGCACGGCTATAAAGAAATACCTGAGACTGGGTAATTTATAAAGAAGAGGTTTAATTAGCTCATAGTTCTGCAGGCTGTATAGAAAGTATGGTGGCATCTGCTTCTGGGGAGGCCTCAGAGAGCTTTAACTCATGGCAGAAGGCAAAGCGGGAGCAGGCATCTCACATGGCGGGAGCAGGCATCTCACATGGCGGGAGCAGGCATCTCACGTGGCAGGAGCAGGACCGAGAGGGGAGTGTGCCACGCACTTTTAAACAACCAAATCTTGTGAGAACTCACTCACTATACAGAACCAAGGCAGGGGGACGGTGCTAAACCATTCATGAAGAATCTACCCCATGATCCAATCACCTCCCATCAGGCCCCACTGTTGTAATTCCCAACACTGAGAATTACAATTCAACAAGAGGTTTGCTGGGGACACTACATCACCTGTTAGTTCTAGGAGGGTTTTTTTTTGTCCTTTTTTTTTTTTTTTTTTTACATAAATGATCATGTCATCTGCAAATAAAGAATTTTATTTATTCCTTCCCAATCTATATACTTTTTATTTCTTTTTCTTGTGATATCACATTAGCTAAGACTTCCAGTACAATGTAGAAAAGCAGTGCTGACAGGGGACATCCTTGCTCCTGATCTTAGCAGGAAATCTAGTTTCTCACCATTATGTACAATATTAGTTGTAGGTTGTTTTTTGGTTTTTTTTGTAGATATTCTTTATCAAGTTGAGGAAGTTTCTCCTCTATTCTTAGATTACTCAGGATTTTAAATTATGAATGGGTTTTGGATTTTGTCAAATGCTTTTTCTGCACCTATTGTTGTGACATAATTTTTCTTCTTTAGCCTGTTGATGTGATGGATTATATTAATTGACTTTCTAATTTTAAACCAGTATTGCATACTTGGAATAAATTCCACTTTGTCATGGTGTATTTCCTTCTGTTTTGTTTGTTTTATATAGAAATTATTTTAAAAAATAGTTTTAGATTTATGGAAAAGTTGAGAAGATAGTACAAATAGTTCCCAGAGTGATGATCAGGGAGACATAAACTGGACGTGGGTTGAACAAGAGCCACAAATCTGCCAACATAAATTGTTTGTTTATATCTTCTGCACCCAGTTTTCCCTATCATTAACATTTTATGTCGATATGGTACATTTATTACAATTGATGTACAAATATTGATCATTATCTAACGTGGTAGTTTATTCTGATAGTTTAGTTTTTATCTATTTTTTTGTTTATATTTATGTCTCATTTAACACACTTTTTCGGTTCCAGCAGGTCATCCAGGCTATCACATTACATTTAGCTGTCATGACTCCTTAAGCTTTTCTTGGCTGTGACAGGTTCTCAGGCTTTCCTTGTTTTTGATGGCCTTGACAGTTTTGAGGAGTGCTGATGTAATGAGAATGCCACAGCAATGTTTGCTCCCTAGGCATTAGAAGTAGAACATCCAAATGGTTGAAGCCAGTGGCTAGAGAGAAGAACTTAGAAGTCTGGTATGCAACAAGATCTTCAAAACCAAAACCAAACAAACAAAAATGAACTTAGAGGCATCTTCCACACCCAGCAGACTGGGCTCCCTGCTTTCCTGTGGCTTCTTTCAAATGAACCTTTCAGACATTTCCCCATGAACTTCAAGTGGCTGGAGGATGAAGGACTTCCCTCCTAACTGTGCTCTTACTGTCCAAGATCTATTTGTAATAAATCTTTGAACATATTTCATATTGTGGTGGTGTACTGAATTTGCACCTTCCACCAGAAGAACACAAGGTCAGGCTCCCAGCATCAGAGTGATGGTCAGGCAGACACAGAATGAAGATCAGGCAGACATAAGCTAGACATGAGTCAGACAAGGGCCACTAAGCTATCTGCCAGTATAAACAAGTTTCCAGTGCAAGGAACCTCCCTGGTCACGGGTCAGACACTAGGTATTAGGTTGTCTTCCAGGTGATAGAAGTAGCCCATGAAAGGATACCGTAGGCCAGGCACGGTGGCTCACACCTGCAATCCCAACAGTTTGGGAGGCCGAGGTGAGCAGATCACCTGAGGTCGGGAGTTCAAGACCAGCCTGGCCAACATGGAGAAACCCTGTCTCTACTAAAAATACAAAATTAGCCAGATGTGGTGGTGCATGCCTGTAATTCCAGCTACTCAGGAGACTGAGGCAGGAGAATTGCTTTAACCTGGGAGGCAGAGGTTGCACTGAGCCAAGATCACACCACTGCACTCCAGTCTGGGCAACAAGAGCAAAACTCCATCTCAAAAAAAAAAAAAAAAAGGATACCGTAAACACCCATGTCCAGACCCTCTTCATTTTCTGTTAGGGCAGGGTTGCTAGCTGCTGTGGTACTGGAACCCCAGTTTAGCTGGGGGCTCTCAGAGCAACTGCTCAGGTATGTTGTAAAATGTAATTTTATTAGAATTTATCTGACTTTTTTCATTATGAGACTGAAATGATGGGTTTTGGGGAGAAGACTACAGAAGTAAAGTACCATTTTTGTCACATTATATCAAGGGTACATACTATTGACATCGTATCAACATCATTTATCCCTGTTGATGTTGACCTTGAGGTAGTGTGGTGAGTTTTCTCCACTGTAAAGTGACTATTTCCCCTCCCTCCTTTCCATACTGTATTCTTTAGAAGGAAGTCTTCATGTGCAACCCACAGTTTAGGAGTGGGAAGTTATGCTTCCTCTCCTTGAGGGAAGAGTAGCATCATAAAATATTTAGAATTTTTCCACACATGACTTTTGTTTCTTCTACCCCATTAACTTATTTATTCTACAATTAATTTATATCAGCATGGATTCATGGATTTTTTTTTATACTTTGGGCTATGATTAAATATTATTTTATTTGTTTTGTTAACTCTATTCCAATCTTGGCCACCGGGGAGCTCTTTCGGTTGGCTCCTGTGTCTCTCTGACGTGCTGCCACCAGTGTGGGTTTTTGTGTCCAGCACTTCCTAACTTTCTGGCACTACAAGATGCTTTAGGCTCATCTTTTATATTTCTAGCCCCGGTCCTAGAGTCATCCATTTCTCCAAGAAATCTTGGCTCCTTTTATTGGAGAGTGGTCTTAGAAATCAGGATCTGGGCCGGGCATGGTGGCTCACACCTGTAATTCCAACACTTTGGGAGGTCCATGTGGATGGGTCACTTGAGGTTGGCAGTTCAAGACCAGCTTGGCCAACATGGTGAAACCCTGTCTTTACTAAAAACACAAAAATTAGCCAGGTGTAGTGGCCCACATCTGTAATCCCAGCTACTTAGGAGGCTGAGGCACAAGAATCACTTGATCCTGGGAGGTGGAGGTTGTGGTGAGCCGAGATCACGCCACTGCACTCCAGCCTGGGCAACAGAGCAAGACTCCATCTAAAAAAAAAAAAAAGAAATCAAGATCTGGAAGCCGGGTATGCTTGTTGCTATTGAGGTGCTGATTTGTTTAGGCTCTCTCTGCTGACACAATGAGGAAATATATGTGTGTATTCTATCCCATGTATATACATATATTTATAAATATTTCTCTAAGTAATCATGACTTCATTTGATGTTTCCAAATCTATTACCATGTAGATTATTCTAGTTTCCTTCCCTTACTTATCCCACCCAGTAAGAAACCTGGCACCCACCATCTGCCATCCATTAGCCTAACTGTCCAACCTTAGCATACACATATAGTGGCATAAGAATTGTTCACCCTCACGCCTGTGGGAAATGACATTATCAGGTAGAGTACAGTGCTTATGTGCAGTGTCCTTTGCCTTCAGTCTTGCAGCAACACTCATTTCCAAGGTTACTTAGGTGAGCACCTTTTCTTTCCACTCCCTTCAGTGAGGTTGTTTTATACACTTGTAATACAGTTAGATGTTTTTGTCATAGTCTGCATTCTTTCCTGAGAGCCTCCAACCTCCTAAATGACTTTTTAAAATTTTGCATATGTTAACATTTATCTTTTATTCTGTAAAGTAGTATGGATTTTGAGAATTGCATAATGTCAAGTATCCACCATTATAGCATTATACAGAATATAGTACTTAAAGAATAGATTTATTGTCCTAAAAATTCCTTTGCTTCACCTTTTTAACTTTCTTCTTTCCCCTCAAATCCCTGACAACCACTGACATTTTCCATGTTATATCATAATTATTGATATATGCTATATAACCACTGTATAGTATATCACCTTTCAGACTAGCTTCTTTCATTTATCAATATGCATTTAAGGTGTCTCCATGTCTTTCTGTGGCTTGACAGCTAATTTATTTTTATTACTGAATAATATTCCATTGTATGGATGTACCAAAGTTTGCTTATTCATTCACCTGTTGAAGGATATCTTTGTTGCTTCTAATTTTTGGTGATTATGAATGAAGCTGCTATGAAAATTCACATGCAGGTTTTTGTGTGGACATAAAGTTTTCAAATCAGTTGGGAAAATCATTAGGAGTGTGATAGCCTGATCATATGATAAGACTATGTTTAGCTTTGTAAGAAACTGCCAAACTATCTTCCAAAGTGGTGGTACTATGTTGCATTCCCACCATCAATGGGTGAGAGTTCCTATTGCTCTGCATGCTCATCAACATTTGGTATTATCAGGTTGTTGGATTTTAGCCATTCGAATAGGTGTGTTATTATTTTAATTTTTAATTCTCTAATGATGAATTATGCAATTATATATATCAAATATGCATATGGAAATGTACATTTGACAAATATGCACTTCCATATGCATATTTGGTATCTCTGTATCTTTTCTGATTAGTTGTCTGTTCTGGTCTTTTGTTCATTTTTAATTTGGGTTGTTTTCTTACTAAATTTTAATAATTCTTTGTATAGTTTGAATATAAGTCCTTTATCAGATATGTATTTTGCGAAGATTTTTCTCCCATTCCATGAACTGTCTTTATATTTTGTTAACAATGTCTTTTGCTGGCAGAAAATTTTATCTAATATCCAAAGTTAATTTTTCTTTCATGAATTATGCTTTTGGAGTAGTATCCAAAAACATCATCAATCACAGGGTCACACAGAATTCCTCCTTTGTTTTCTTCTAGACATTTTATAGTTTTGCATTTTACACTGACGTCTATGATCCATTTTGGGTTAATTTGGGGAGAAAGTGTTAGGCTCATGTCTAGGTTTACTTTCACATAGACTTCTGTTTGTTTCAGCATTGTTAGTAAAAAATAACTACTCTCCTTTATTTCTTCATTTTTATTTCTTTCTTTCCAATATATATACCTTTCATTTCTTCTTCTTGTATTGTTTCATATGCTAGGAATTCCAGTGCAATGTTGGGTGGATGTGGTGAACAGGGACATCCTTGCCTTGTTTGTGATCTTAGTGGGAAAGTGACCAGCTTCTCACCATTAAGTGTGATGTTTCCTTGTAGCTGTAAGTTTGCTTGTAGATGAGCTTTATCAAGTTGAGAAACAGCATCTCTATTCCTAATTTGCTGAGAATTTTTCGTGAATGGATGTAGGATTCGGTAAATGCTTTTTCTAAATCATTTGATATAATCATATAATTTTTCTTCTTTAGCCTGTTGCTATGGTTATTAGAATAATTTTCAAGTATTGAAACAACCTTGGATATCTGGGTAGCAGTATATAATTTATTTTTTTATATGGTTGGATCTGACTTGATATTTTGTTGAGGAGTTTTGTGTGTATGTTCATAAGAGATACGGGTTTGTAGTTTTCTTTGTCTCCTTTGGTGTTAGAGTAATGCTAGCAGCGTAGAATGAGTAAAAAGTGTTTTCTCTACTTCTCTTTATTGGAAGAGATTATGGAGAATTAATATTAATTTTACCTTCCTTAAAGGTTTAGTAGAACTCACCAGTGAAACTGTCTGAAAGTACTGTGGTTTTTTGGTTGTTGTTGAAATCATTAATTATTCATTCAACTTCTTTATTATATACATGTAGACATGGCAATTCAGATAATCTTTTTCTTTTTTTGTGATTTTTGATTTTTGATATTTCAAGGAATTGGTTCATTTTGTTTAGTTATGAAATTTGCAGACATAGAGTGGTCATGGTATTCCCTTATTATTCTTTTAATGTCCAAAGAATCAGTAGTGATGATTCCTTCTTCATTTCTGATATTAGTAATTTGTGTCTTCTCTTTTTTTCTGGTGCAGTCTGGCTTGAAGTTTGTGCCAATTTTATTGATCTCCTTTAAAAAGCTTTTGGTTTCAGTGATTTTCTCTACTTTTTTCCATTGTATGTTTCATTGATTTCCGATCTAGTTTTTATTATTTTTGTTATTCTGCTTGTTTTAGCCTTAAATTGTTCTCTTTTTGGTTTCCTGAGATGGAATCTTAGGTTGTTGAATTTAGATACTTCTTTCTTTATAATATGTGCATTTTAATGCTATATATTCCTCTAAGCTTTGCATTTCCTGCATCTCACAAATTTTGATAAGTGGTATTTTCATTTAGTTCAAAATATTAATTATCATTTATCTTGATAATAATTCTTTGATCCATGTGCTATTTAAAACTATGCTGTTTAATTTTCAGATATTTGGGGAAAGCTATTTTACTGTTGTTGACTTCTAATTTTATTCCACTGTGGTCTGAAAGATCCTTTGTGTTTTTATTTTTTATGTTTGTTTATGTGTGTTTTATGGCCTAGAATGTGGTCTACTTTGATGAGTGTTCCATGAGAGTTTGAGAATAATGCATATCCTACACATTAGATGGGTTATTCCAGAAATGTCAGTAAGATCAAGGTGATTGTTAGTGCTATTCAGGCCATCTGTGTCTTGACTCATACAGATTGGGAACACTTACATAGAAATGAATTGAAAACGCTCTGCTTAAGGTACATATGCTTCACATGAAGCAATAGAGTGCTATTCAAAGTTCAACTTACATTAGTTAAAATTGTATATTGGGAGCTCTAGGACAACCACTAAAATTTTTAAAAATATAAACATATTGTTTTGATACCCTAGTGATGGCCTAATAGAGGAGCTAAATTGGAATTGTATAAAATGCTTCATTAAAACCAGAGTAGACGGTAAAAAGAGGTGTCTGTGGTGAAAAGAAGAAACAAAAAAAAAAGTGAAATTAATGAATGGAAACAGATACAAATGTGATACATATTAATCCAACTATATGAATGATCATGTTGAACGTGAATGGTCTAAATATACCAATTAGAAGACAGATTGTCAGTGAGGATAAAAAAACAAGATCCAATTATATGTTATCTATAAGTAACTCATTTAAAAAACAAAGATTTAGATAGGTTGAAAGTCAAGTAAGAGAATGATATACTATGCCAACACTAATCAAAAGAATGTGAGAGGAGCTAATTTAATTACAACAGCAGGAGGATACATATTCTTCTTAAGATCTCATGGAACATTCACAAAATTAGAACACACAATGGGCCATAAGCCATACATTAACAAATGTGAAAAACAAAAATACAAAGGATCTTTCAGACCACAATTAAATAAAATTAGAAACAAATAACAATAAGACAGCTGGAAAATCCCCAAGTATCTGGAAATTAAATAGCACATGTTAAAATGGCACATGGGTCAAAGAATTCTCAAGGTAAATAAAAATTAATATTCTGACTAAATGAAAATGAAAATACAACTCATGAAGTTTGTGGGATGCAGCAAAAGCAGTGTCTGGATAGGGCTATAGGTAGATGACATATGCATATGTTATAAAGGAAGAAATATCTAAATTCAGTAATCTGAGTTTCCATCCCAGGAAACCGTAGAAAGATAACAATTTAATCCTAAAGCAAGCAGAATAACAGATATAATAAAAATTAAATCAGAAATCAATAAAATTGAACACAGAAAAACAAGAGAGAAAATTATGGGATCATAACTTTGTTTTTCATAACCTTTTTCAAAAAAGCCAATAAAACTGATAAATGTCTAGCCAGGCTGACCAAGTAAAAAAGAGATAAAACACAAATTACTAATATCGGAAATGAAAAAGAAGTCACCACTACTGATCCCATAAATATTAAAAGAATCATAAAAAAAATACTATGAAAACTATGTCCACAAAATATATGTCCACAAATTATATAACTTTAATGAAATGGATCAATTCTTTGAAAGACACAAACTACCAAAACTCACAAGGAGGAATAATTTTTTTTGTTTTTGAGATGGAGCATCACTCTGTCGCCCAGGCTGGAGTGCAGTGGCCCGATCTCGGCTCACTTCAAGCTCCACCTCCTAGGTTCACGCCATTCTCCTGCCTCAGCCTCCCAAGTAGCTGGGACTACAGGGGCCCACCACGACGCCTGGCTAATTTTTTTTGTATTTTTAGTAGAGACAGGGTTTCACTGTGTTAGCCAGGATGATCTCGATCTCCTGACCTCGTGACCCGCCCGCCTCAGCCTCCCAAAGTGCTGGGATTATCCTGGCCACAGGGAGGAATAATTTTAATAGGCCTATATCTATTATAGATGAAGGCCTATTAAATAAATGAAAAATTAATAAGTTTCCCAAACAGAAACCACCAAGCCCAGATGGCTTCACTGGTTAATTCCACCAAACATTTAAGGGAGGAATTATAGGAATTTTCCACAATCTCTTCCAGAAAATAGGAGCAGAGGGCTCACCTCCTAACTCCTTCTCTGTGGCTACCGTCAACCTAATACCAAAACCAGATAAAGACATTATCAAAAAGGAAAACTACAGACCAATGTCTCTCATGAGCATAGATACAAAAATTCTCAACAAACTATTAGAAAATGGAGTCCAATAATGTTGAACAATATTATACACTACAAGTGCTAGGCTGAATTATGTTTTCCCAAAAAGATACTTAAAGTCCTAAACCCTGGTACCTGTGAAGGTGAACTTATTTGAAAACAGCCATTTTAGATATAATCAAGTTAAGATGAGGTCATTAGGGTGGGCCCTAATCCAAAATGACTGGTGTCCTTATACAAAGAGGAGAAGAGACTCAGAAACAGAGACACACAGGGAAGATGCGAAGATGGAGGCAGAGTCTCAAGTGATGTTTGTACAGGACCAGGAACACCAAGGATGGCCAGCAACACTAGAAGCCAGGAGAGACCTCTGGAACAGGCTCTAGTATAGCATCGTGTGACAAATAGCAGGCCCTGAAAGAAATCAACACATTTTACCCCAAAATATATTTCTTTGATGTATTTTTAAGTGGCCCTGCAAAGCTGTCTCTTGTGGGGGAAATTTACATTCTGTAGAGAATCTCCTTCTCTTACTAAATCTTTTCAGGAGAGTCTAGCACCTTTTAAGGACTGATAAGAAGACATTTACCATCTATTGTCTCTGAAGCCTACTACCTGGATACTTCATCTGCGAAACGAGAACCTTGGCTTCCACAACCCCCCACTTACGTTAACCCAAAGCATTTCTTTCTGTTGACTTCAACTCTTTAGACAAAACTTAACTCTTTCAACCAATTGCCAGGCGGCAAATCTTTGCATCTACCTATGACCTGGAAGCCCTCTCACCCCACCCCAGATGTCCCACCTTTCCAGACCGAAGCAGTGTATACCTCGCATGTATTGATTGATGTCTGCCTGTAACTTCTGCCCTCCTAAAATGTACAAAATCAAGCTGTGACCCAACCGCCTGGGCACATGTTCTCAGGACTTCCAGGGGCTGTGTCACAGACCATGATCTTGAACCTTGGCAAAATAACCTTCCAAATTGATTGAGACTTGTCTCAGATGCTTTTTGGTTTACAATCTGTGGCCCCCTGCAGCTACTGTGTTACCTGTTGATCAAAATTAGTGACAGACACAGGAGTCTCAATTGATCAAGTTTTATTAAGCCAGAGCTTGAGGGTGTGTTGGGGAAAAACACAAGTCACAGACATGTCTGTGTCTGACGTTATCCAAACAGGTTTTCAGGAGGTTTAGAATTTACATATTTCCTTACAGGGAGAAGGCTTGTAGGATGGCGGGTGGCAGAAGAATGGTTGACCTTATCTTGTCTTTGTTCTGTACCCAGGAAGATGAGCATCATCAGCGTGGAACCTGGCAGACTCTAGTTTTAGGAGCTAGACATAGAGTGCAGACTTAAAGCTATAACGGACACATCCTTGTTTTATAAGCAGATAGGCAGCCTTGAAAGCCTGCAAGATTTCCAGATGTCGGGAGTCTTTTGCCTTTCTCAGGCAGTCTGGCTAATGGATAATGCTTTGGCACAAGACTGTAAAGTGATGACTATTTATTTGGGTAAAAGATGGCAGTGTTGTGTGACTGTCTCCATGCTTAATCTTCCCTCTGGCATGTAGGGAAAAGAAAGAAAAATCAGACTGTTACTGTGTCTATGTAGAAAGGAAAGACGTAAGAGACTCCATTTTGAAAAAGACTTGTACTTTAAACGATTGCTTTGCTGAGATGTTGTTAATTTGTAGCTTTGCCCCAGCCACTTTGCCCCAGCCACTTTGACCCAACCTGGAGCTCACAAAAACATGTGTTGTATGAAATCAAGGTTTAAGGGATCTAGGGCTGTGCAGGACGTGCCTTGTTAACAAAATGTTTACGGGCAGTATACTTGGTAAAAGTCATCGCCATTCTCCAGTCTCAATAAACCAGGGGCACAATGCACTGTGGAAAGCCGCAGGGACCTCTGCCCTTGAAAGCAGGGTATTGTCCAAGGTTTCTCCCCGTGTGATAGTCTGAAATATGGCCTCGTGGGATGAGAAAGACCTGACCGTCCCCCAGCCCGACACCCGTAAAGGGTCTGTGCTGAGGTGGATTAGTAAAAGAGGAAAGCCTCTTGCAGTTGAGATAGAGGAAGGCCACTGTCTCCTGCCTGCCCCTGGGAACTGAATGTCTCGATTTAAAACCCGATTGTGCATTTGTTCAATTCCGAGATGAGAGAAAAACCGCCCTGTGGTGAGAGGCGAGACATGTTTGCCGCAATGCTGCCTTGTTATTCTTTACTCCACTGAGATGTTTGGGTGGAGAGAAACATCAATCTGGTTTAGGTACACATCCAGGCATAGTACCTTCCCTTGAACTTAATTATGACGTACGGTGCCCTGAGCAGGGAGGGGAGGTGGCTGCAGGCAGAGCGCTGGGGGGGCCATTCCTGTCCTAGCGGTTGTGGGAAGTGGTCCGTGGGGGGCTCCGAGTTCAAATATAAGGGTGGGGCTCGCCTCCTCCGGGCGCCTCTGGATGGACAGGCCAGAGCTCCAGAGGCCCAGGCGATGGAAGCTCTGCCTGGGTGGGGCTCAAGGCGACTGCTGCCCTTGGAGCCCTTGGAGCGTCCCCAGAGCCAGCCGCCCTCGTGGGCACACAGGCCCTTCCCCGCCCAGATGCGACGCATCCTGCCCCGCGACACCTCCTTCACCACCCTGCGGGACCCAGCCCTCGTCCTGGAGTCCGCTTTCTACAAGACGGCCTCTCCCTTCGTCGGAGCCCGGATCCTGCGCCACTTCCTGCGCCTTCTACGACCCCAGGCGGCCCGACAGGCACCATGGCCACAACCTCATGGCCTTGGACTTAGGCTTCGACCACAACGCGCCGCCGCCTTGTAGGGTGGCAACGCGCCTCTTGGCCCCGGGGGTGCAAGCGGTGGCCGCGCGCTTCGACCTGCTGCTGATCGCCCAGCACCTGGACGAGTCCCTGGGGCTCCTGCGCCGCACTGCGCTGGGGCCTGGATGACCTGGTGGCCGTCCCCGCCCACTGGCGCGCGGCCTTCGGCCCGGAGCCGCTGGAGCCGCGCGTGGAGTGCAGGGCGAGCGCCTAGAACGCGCTGGACTTGGCGCTCTGTGCGCACTTGAACCGCACGCTGTGGGCGTGGCTGGGCGCGCTGGGGGCCGCTGGGCTGCCGCTGGAGGTGGCTGCGCTGCGGGAGCGGTGGGCGCGCACCTGCCTCCTGCATGGCGAGGCCTGGGGGCGGGGCGCGGAGCTTGACCCGCAGCTGGCGCCGCTGCAGCGCGGCCTGGCGCCCATCCTGGGCTACCGGCTGCCACCAGACCTGGACCAGGCCACCCGCCGCCACTGCCAGGACCTGGCCACCCCAGAGCTGCAGTTCGCCAGGCGCGTTCCCGGAGTGGGTGTGGGATCCGGGACGCCCTTGGGGAGCAGAGCTCCAGGCCAGGCAGCGTCGCGCGGCAGGCCCAGGCCCAAGGGAAAATGTGGGCCGTGTTCAGAGGCGGGCAGGGGTCCGTAGGGCCCTGGAGCAGAAGGGCGCGCCCTCAGCCCCTGTTACATGGGACCCCACAGGGCGGGCGACAGTGGCCAGGAGCCCCAGCCGAAACTGCTCCGTCCCGGCTCCCTTTTCTGCGCATCCTTCTGCAGGGCCTCGAAACCTGTTTTTGGCAACTTGCTTTTCTTTTCATCTACTTGAAAGCCACGTAGGTCACCCATGGCAGATGCACGATTCCAAGTCATTTTGGCAGGTGTTTTTGTTTTTTGTTTTGTTTTGTTTTTGAGATGGAGTTTCGCTCTTGTTGCCCAGGCTGGAGTGCAGTGGCACGATCTTGGCTCACTGCAACCTCCGCCTTCTGGTTTCAAGCGATTCTCCTGCCTCAGCCTCCTGAGTAGCTGGGACTACAGGCACCCGCCACCACGCCCAGCTAATTTTTTGTAATTTTTTTTTTTTTTAGTAGAGACGGAGTTTCACCATGTTGGCCAGGATGGTCCCGATCTCTGGACCTCGTGATCCTCCCATCTCGCCCTCCCAAAGTGCTGAGATTACAGGCCTGAGCCACCGCGCCCGGCATTTTGGCAGTTTTAATGTGGAGAAGGCTCTTTCTGCAGAGGGAACGTTGCAGAGCTGCTGGGAGTGTCTCATAGGCTGTGGCGACCTGGGAAGCTGCTCTGCGGAGCCTCCGGAGGCGCAGATTTCAGCACATCGAGAGCAGATGAGCGGCTAGTCCCAAAACTGTCCGCGCTTCAGACAGATGACTTTCGCAGAAGTTTGAGTGTGCTTGTAGATGCAAATCTATCGTGATTATGTTTCCTCGGACGTTTCCTGTGCTTGTGGAGCTCATAGGAGAGACTGAAGGTGAATTCACGATTGCACACAACTTACAACATCTGTTTGTGAATTCCATCAGTGTATCTTCAACTGTAAGAAAAATTAATTTCAAAACTTCTGCATTAATGCCTGGATACTCCAACATCTTATAGGAAAATTGTGCTCGTTTCTGTCCAATGCTGTGGCCCTTGCTTCAGGGTTTGTGGATTTTGTTGAGAATTTCGAGATTGTCAGAAAGAGATTCTAAGCTGGAGTAATTCTAACAGCTTCCTGGTTATGTTACTGGGATAAGGCTGTGTCTGCTCCTCCCATGCTCAGTTACTGATACAGTTACTGCCTGAGCACCGGGACCTCCACTCCTGGAAGGATCTGTGCAGAGGCTGCAGGCACTGATGGGGAAATAGACACACCTCCGGCACCCAGGGGCCTCGTGCTGCCACCGGAGGAGGATCCCCTCTCCTTCCTGGGGCTCCAACCCCTGCTGCTGCTTCTGCTGCCATGTGACACCCAGGCATGGCCAGGCCCCCACGCAGAACGTCTGTGAGGGCAGCTGGTTGGCCCCACCCCATCGGCTCCCCTGTGTGCTCAGCAGCCCTTTGCCTGGCAGGATCTGGCAGCCCCATCGGGGCCTCTGGATGCCACACAGGACTGGCTCTCAGGCCTGTCCCATGGGATTCCTGTCTCCAGTCCACAGCAGGGAAGAGGAGCCAGGGGCTCCAGAAAGAGCCAGCTCTCTGCCTGGGTAGGAGGGGGCTTTATGGAGGGGTGAAAGGTGTGTGTGTGGAGGGGCAGCCTCAGAGAGGAGGATGTGTGTGTGAAGGGGCTTTCTCGCAGGGAGGAGGGTGTGTGTGTGAAGGGGCAGCTTCAAAGAGGAGAGTGTGTGTGTGAAGGGGCAGCCTCAGAGAGGAGAGTGTGTGTGTGAAGGCGCTTTCTGGTGGGGAGGAGGGTGTGTGTGTGAAGGGGCAGCTTCGGGGAGGAGGGTGTGTGTGTGAAGGGGCTTTCTGGCGGGGAGGAGGGTGTGTGTGTGAAGGGGCAGCTTCGGGGAGGAGGGTGTGTGTGTGAAGGGGCAACCTCCGGGAGGGGAGAGGATTCTTCTTTCTCTCCCTCCACCAAACGCTCGTCCAGGAAAACGTGGCCTCACCGGCATCCCCAGGGAGAAGCCCACGCACCATGAGACGGGAATCATACAGGGTGGTCAGAGGGGAGTGGAAGTTCCAGGCAGCCCCTTCTCATCTCTAGCAAAAGGAAACCCTGCAGCAGCGAGTGGCTGACAGGACCCAAAACACCGGGGTGTGGCCGTGCTGGCTGAGACCGCCTGGACCCCACAGGGCTCTGGCTGTGCCCCGGTGTCTCCCGCGACCTCACGGTGCGCTCATTAGCACACTCGTCACACCCCCACCAGCGCGTGATGGCTCCAGAACACCCAGATTTGGTGTAAGAAGTGGGCGGCGCCGCAGCTCTGAGACATCTCCACGTTTTCCAGGAATCCTGTGGATTCCTCCAGCCCCAGCGCCCCTGCCCGGGACGGGACTCTAGAGGGCGCCACACTCCCTTTCTCCAGTGGGAGCTTTGGGCTTCGCAGGAAATCTCTGGTCTTTCACTATTTGCCAACTCGCCCCTGAATTCCTTCTCACGATGGTGTCAAGAGCCTGGACGCTGGCCGGGGTGGAGGTCTCACTGGGGTTGGGGTGTCCCGTAGCCCCCCGCATCGAGGACATCTCCCTGCTTTCTCCTCTCGTCCTTCCCCCATAGCAGAGCGGCTGAGCCCAGGGCTGCTGCCCACCAGAGGACGGGGTACAGCCTGTGGCAGGAGCACCGGCCACCTCACTCCCTCCCTCTGGGTGGGGCAGCAGGACCCATAGCAGAGGGCCGTTATCTCCTTTGGGTGGAAGTTTCCAGACCGGCTCTGTTCTTTGGGAAGGAAATGGCTGGAGGTGCCATGCCTCCAGGTCCCAGTTCTGCCACCAAGGTCTCAGTGATTGACCTGGCTTTGGGCGGCGAGCGGACCATGGTCCTGACGGTCGCGAACTCAGGGCCCGTGGGACTGGGTGCCCTGTGCCTAGTTCACAAGCCTACAGCCTCAGGCTCCAGCACCATCCTCAGCATCCCATCGGGTCTCAGGCCTCCGTGGCTGTGGGCTCCCTCCCGGGCATGTCCAGGGCTGCAGCATCATCTTGGCAGACTTGGGACCTGGCGGACTCCCTGGGCTCTTCCCTGTCATCCTGCCCTTTCCTCTCCTGCTTCTTCTGTAACAAGAGGCAGGAAGGAGCCCGCGGGAGATGGGGAGACTCGGACCAGCCTCACCGTGTTGCCGCACACCCTTGCCTGCCCCTCCAGAAGCCTCTCTCGGGCCCAGGGGGACACACAGGTCTTAGAAATGGTTTATTGACAAATGGCTTCTGGGGAGGGGGCCAGGATTCCCTCTTAGCTACAGAAGGTTCCAGGGTCCAGCTACAAGCAGGGCCCTCGCACGGGGCTCACACAGAGCAAGGCCACTCAGCTGGAATGTGGCCCCTCAACACCACTGCGCCCAGGCTCCCGGACACTGGACCCCTTTGCAGGGGTCTGGGTGTCCCCTGAGGCCGGGGCCGGCTTCCCTCGGGGTGCTCGGTACTTGTTCTTCTGGCCGTAGAACAGGTTCCTCTGGAAAAGGTGGGGAAGGCGGCCCTGGTGCAGCAGCACAGCCAGGACCATCCCTGCAAGAGAAGGCAGGTCCCAGGTGGGCCGCGGGGCTCCTGGGCCCAAACACAGACAGGACACCCACTCCCAGGCCTGTGCCAGGACAGGCGAGCCAGGCAGCCTGGCCAGGAGCCCCAAGAACCCTGAGGCCCAGCTCCTGCCTGGTCCTGGTCTTCCCGCCCTGGTCATGCCCCTCTCTCTGGGTATGCCAGCCATGGGGACGGGGGCAAGCCGGTGGGGTTCCTTGTACTTCTGGACCACCCTCTGGGATGAGTGACTGGAATTCCCCTCCCCCCACATTGTCCTGAGCCACTCCCAGAGCTTCTGTGGCCATTTTCCTCCGGGACCTGATGTGGCGTCCCAGGGTGGCTGCTTGCAGGGCTGTGGCCTGGCGTAGAGGTGGGGGATGTGAGTGGACAAGAAAGATGTGGATGCCCCTGGGTGGGAGGCTGGGCCTGGCTAAATCCTCATGCGAACGTTCTCCCAGAACTCCAGGAGCAGAGACTCCTAAATCCCCGCCTGCCTTCCAGGTCATTGGGAAGGGCAGGTGTTCCGGGCAGAAGGGGAGAGTAGATCCTCTTCAAGTTTGATCTCACTCCTCTAAGGATTTAACCCACAGTGTGTGAGCTCCACTAGGGCTGGCCTGAGGGGGCCCTGCCTGTCACCACCTGCAGCTGCTGTGGCTCCTGACAGTGGCCCCTGTGCCTACAGCTTGCCTACAGTTGCCCCTCACTCGGCCCTCCAGGCCCACACTGGTCCTAGCTCTGTTCCCAGGAGGGCAGGCCCAGGGAGGCGGGATGACCTGCTCAGGGGTGCTGCCAGCAGGTGCCGGTGGCCGCTCACACCCAGGGAGATAGCCCCATGTCCACACCTGGCTACGGGGCTCCTGGCTGCAGCCTTGGAGCTCCCCAGGGCTCATGCTGATACTGAACTTGTGGATAAAGGGGTTAATGGAAGGACACAAGCCTGTTTTTCGGTTTCCTGAAGCTGCCCTAAGATGACAGGAAAGGGATGCTGTCAGAGGTGTCAAGCATCCAGATGGATGAGACGGGAAGAGACGCAGGAGCACAGCGTGGGGCTGACAAGCATGTGGACGACCAAACACTGCTGACATGGAGGGGCCGGATCGCCCCTCCGCAGGGACGAAAGCTGGGAAACAACCCAGTTCTTCCGCAGATGCCCCATGCTTTCAGAAGCTGGCGCCCGGGTCCCTGTGGGATGGGGTGGCCCTGGGACTCGCCTAGGAGGAGGGACGGCAATTCCGCATGGGAAGCTCCAGGGCCCCAAACCCCAAAATACAGAAGCAGCCAGTGCCCCCCTCCCTGGCCCTGGCAGGAGACAGGTTCCTCTCTAGAGGGGGCATGTGGACTCGAGTATCAGGCCCGCCCAAGCCTGGAGTCCCGCCTGAAACACGGATCCCAGCCTCCTCCTACTTGGCTCCTAGAAGCCGCAAATGCCCTTTGGGCTTCTCCACAGAGGCAGTTCTACAGTGAGAGGTTGCAGCCGGGTGAAGAGTATTTCCCCAGCGACACGCCCTTCCCAGAACACAGGATGTGCCCTTGTTAGAATACGGCCTGGGACATAAAATCAGTGAAATCACGGTGACGTCATACTTGAGTAGAGTGAACCTCCAATTCGATGACTGGTGTCCCTATATGAAGAGAACAGACAATGACACAGAGGAGGCGGCCAGGGGAACCGGCAGACATGGGAGTGCTGCGTCTCCAAGCCCGGGGACACCGGGGGTGCCAGAGGCCCCCGGAGCCCGGAAGAGGCAGGAGGCTCCTCCCCAGCAGCCTCCGAGGAGAGCTGACCCTGTCAGTGCTGCCAGCTCAGACTCCAGCCTCCAGAGCTGGCTGAGCATACAACCCTGTCACGTGAAGCCTCTTCGTTTGCGTCCTTTGCCTTGTAGCCCGTGAAGCCACCACAGGCCATGGTTGGGGCCTGAGAAACTCAGGACGAAACTGAGCTCCCACCCGGAACCCTGCCCAGGCCTCACCGACACTCAAGTGCAGGTCAGAACCAGGACACTATTTCAGACACAGGAGGTCTGAAGTGTACCTGCCAGGTCCCCGTTCTCAGGAAGCTACTGTGAGACGGGCACCAGCAAAAAGAAGGAATCAACCGAAACAGGAGGCGATGAGGAAAGCAGGAAACAGAAATACAACCAGGATCAGTGAAGGGCAGCACCATACCGGAGATGGACGCCTGCGGGTAACCCGGAGCTGCGGATCCTCGGGGGAGACGCTGCCCACACAGAGCACTGGTGCTGAACTAAGGAAAGCACCCAGAAGCCTGGGCAGGAGAGAGTCCAGGACCTCGTCACCCGCAGGAAGCAAGGCCTGTGCAGGAGCGGAGAGGCCTCCGGGGCCACCACAGCTCACCCGGGCCGTGTTTCCATGCCAGGGAACTAGAGGGGGCTCTGGAGCTGATCAGGAGGAAGAGGCCGACCCACCCGGAGTGAAGGATCCGCAGGAGGAGCGTGGGGAGGCAAGGAAAGAACATCCGCCCCCCACATCCCAGGAGACAGCCCAGGGTTGATACCTGAACTGAAGAGTCTCGGAGAAGCCCTGCAGGCCCAGTGTGTGGGGACAGAGAGGCCAACACGGAGCTGTTCCTAGCAGAGGGCAGTGCTGCCTCGGCAACGGGGGCAGGAGGGGGTTCCTGATGCACTTCGTATGCTTCCTAGGACCCTGCACATGCCTGAGAGACTGTGACCACATCAGAACCATGGCGACAAATCACGATGACGTCAGTGTCACCATCGCAGGGCCAGGTGCCTGAGAGACCCCCAGCTCCTGTCTTTCCCCCCAAGGGGAGGCTGAGGCATTGCCCCTGAGACCTCCCCAGTGTAGAGCCAGCAGAAGCTGAAAAAAGCTTCCAGAATTCCATAGGAACCCAGCTGCCCTTCTGGTACCTCAGTGAGGTGGAGCCGAGTGTCTGAGAGCAGGTGCAGGAGAAGGTGTGGGCTCCACCTGGGCCTCTGAAGCCAGGGGCCAGAATCCCCAGATCTAGGTCCAAGAGGGGGCTCCATGACCTCCCCATGCTGCTCCTCTGCTTGGATCCAGGATATAAGAAAGGAGGGGCACACACTGTGGGGGAACTCTGGGGTCCCCTGTGTGCATCAGCGAGTCCCGGGTCTGCCCCACCAGGATGCAAAGGGCCTGGCTGCTCCAGCCCCATGCTCACAGCCCTATAAGTGCACGATGGCACCCTATATCATCTAAGCGGGGCTCTCTGCCTCCTGAGGCTTTAGGGACACCAGAATGAGCCCCCCTCGGCGGAGTCTGGCTCTGGGTGTGTGGAGATGCCACCTGGGACGGGAACCCCAGGTGCATGGAGCCCCACTGCAGACACCATCCCCCGTGTGCCCAGCACCCCTTGCAAGGTTGGCCTTTCCCCAGCCTGTGGCCTCCTTACCTGGCTGCAGCTTGCTCGGCACCGGGACGGTGTCCACAGTGAGACATGCCGTCACAGCCCCTACCCCCCAAACCATGCCCACTGCAGAGACCTCCCCAGGAGCACTGACCAGGCACCCTCACCTCCACCCTGCAGGACCCCACGTGCCAGGATGCTCTGTGGGCCCCAGCAGCCCTAGGGACCCCACCCTGCCCCTGCCCTTACCTGTCAGAGGGCCCAGCCAGTACACCTGCACGTACTCCAGTAAGGTGTGTCCCGAGCAGGCAAAGGTCACAGAGGCGGCCAGGGCAGGGTTGAAGAAGGCAGACGTGAAGGGCCCGGCTGTGGGCAGAGCACAGACAGCCCTGGTCCCCAGCCCTGCCTGACGCCCCTCTGCAGGCCAGGACCTGATCCCCGCCACCGAATCCACACCGAGAGCCCCACTGTGTGCAGGCCTGGGAGCTGCTCTCGGCTCCTGAAGCCCCGCCTGGTCCCCCGCACCGATGGACACACGATGCAGCAAGGCCGGGTCAGCCAAGGTCTGGGTCAGGGGCAGCAGCTTGGGGGCCCCCCAGGGCCGTCCAACACCCTCGCGACATCTCACCGGGATCCCGTGCCCCGCCCATGCTGCCCTCCAGCACCCCACCCTGTGGGATGTGGCCTTCGAGAAAGACGGACAGAGAGAGATGGAGAGAGACACTAAGAGAGACAGATAGTGAGAGAGAGACAAAAAGACACAGAGAGAGACAGGGAGACAGAGAGAGAGGAGAGACAGAGAGAGAGAGGAGAGACAGAGAGAGAGAGGAGAGACAGAGAGAGAGAGGAGAGACAGAGAGAGATCTCAGAAATAAAGGAGCAGCAGCAGAGGAGAGAAGACGACATGGCTGTGCGATGTGAGACAAGGGAAGGCGGCGGCAGCCGGGCCGCTGTCCTGCAGCCCCAGGCCTGGGTGACCACCCCAAATAACAGAATCCACCAATACCGGGGACCTGCCTCTGGGCACGGAAGAGCAGGGAGTGGGCCTAGCGGAGGGCAGGGACCACAGGGACATGGAGTCTGCGGCCGCCCAGGTGTAAACCAGGACCCTGAGGATGGGCAGCTCCGTCCCTGAGACCAGGCGCCCTGTGCCTCGTGGAGGCAGGACCCTTGACGGGAGCTCTCCGGTGCCACCCAGGACAGAGGCCCGGGCAATCTGCCACAGAGCCGTGTCCCTGCAGAGCTCCCGCTCACCCGTGCCTCAGTTTCCCCAACTGTACGGGGCTCTGGTGGCACCTTCCTGTGGCCTTTGTGGTCCAGGTTCCGTGGTGTCTGCCCAGTGCTGGGTCGTGGGCAGTGCCATGGACCTAAGTGCTGGTCCTGTCCTGATTAGGACCTCGGACCCCCGGAAGGAGACCTGGCACCATTCTCCCTGCAGCCCTTCCTGTGGTGCCTGGAGCACGAGCCGGCTCCCCTGGCTCTCCCTGCAGCCCCAGCGCTGTGGACACCTGTCCTGGGAACTTGCTGAGCAAAGGCTTTCGTGGTGGTGGAGCCTAGCGCTCGGAGGGGAAAGCAGACATGGGGGACTGGATCAGACGGAGGGTCTGAGTGGAGGGAGCTCACAAGGGGGTGATGGGACCATGAGAGCTGGGTGCCACGGTTGGTCCAGGTGCAGGCAGAGATCGCAGGATGCAGGTGTCAGTAGGAGGCCAGGGAGGCCAACTGGGGCAGGTGAGACAGGACCTGTCGCTCTGGAAGGGGTGATAGAGGGTGCAGGGACTCCCACACCAGACCAGGAAACTGGGCTGGGCCTTGAATCGTCTGCCTCGGCTGTCCCTACTACCCCAGAGGCAGAACTTCTGGGAGGACCAAGAATAGCTGGGACTGGGGAGAGGTGCAGTGGGCAGGATGGCCCTGGCAGGGGACAGGCTGCTCCACCGCACCCCATGTCCAGCGCAGGCCCTCGTCTACCCGCCAGATCCCAGGAAATCACCGCCTCTTCTTGTGGGTTTGTTGGCCACCCGGGCCAGCAGCCCCCTATCCTGGGTGCAAACGGGCCTGAGTGTGCATGGAGGCCACACAGGTGAGAGGTCCTCAGGGGCCCAGGGGAAGGGGAAGCAGTGCTCACCCGTGTAGGCCGTGACGGTGACCAACAGAGCCACAGCGGGCCCGCTGTAGGCGGGAGGACTGTGCCGCAGGTGCAGGAGGGTCAGATGGAAACAAAAGGCGCAGGCGGCCTCCACAAGCGCCCCGTGGGGCACGGATGTGCGCAGGGCCGAGCTGCAGCTCTGGGCCATGAGGCTCTGCAGCAGGTGCAGGTCACTGAGCTCCCAGGCCCAGCAGAGGCGCGTCAGGGTGCAGGCGGCCTGCATGCCCAGCCCCTGTGCCGCCAGCTTCAGCAGCGTGCCAGGCAGAGACTCCTCGGCCATGAGGAACTCCTGCAGGGACACGGTGGGGTTGGCCGAGGCCCCGTCCAAGGTGACCCCGTGCGCCAGGAAGAGCAGGAAGAGCAGGGTGAGCAGCAGGTCAGGCCCAAAGTCCCCAGCCCAGGGCCCGAGCTCGACCAGCGTCCTCATCTCCAGGAAGCAGGCCCCGAGCTGCACCGCGCCCACCGCCTCCCGGGCGAAGACTTCATAGGCGCCCACTGGGAGCAGGGCCTTGGAGGCCCGCCTGGCTGCCTCACAGAGGGTGAAGGTGGCAAAGAAGAAGGAGAGGGACACGTTAAGACCTGCCATCGGCCTGGGCCCCCCGAGATGCTGTGCCTGCAGGACACCTGAGGGGACAGAGCAGGAGCTGGCCGGTTCCCACAACCCAGAGGGCCCAGGCGTGTGGGAGAGGGCACCTGGGCCTCTGGGAACACCACAGCTGCAGCCCCAGCTCCCGCCCCACTGGCTGCCACCCAGGTGCACAGCCAGGATGGCCACAGGGGCCCTGCCCCACAGCCTGGCATCATCCCGTCATGTGACACACCCGGATCCACTGGCCACGCTCGGCCAGCCCTGGGCGCTGGAGACTGGCCCAGCTCTTCAGAGCCTCCATCCGAGCTCCGCTCCTCCTACCTGCGCTCTTGGGTACCGGACCCCAATACCTGCTCCCTGCACCTGGCCCCTCTTGAGTCAGGGTCTCCCAGATCCTGCACCCCCTCCAGGTCCCTGCCTGAACAAGGGCCCCCATTTCCGCCTCCCTGCATGGATGCTGTGTCCCCATCTCAGTGAGGGCCCCAGGCTTATTGCACCTGCACTGTGTCCCCACTGGGGTGAGACCCCCACTGAACCTGCACTGTGTGTCCGCCTGGGAGGCCCCTCATGGCCCCTGCACCTGTTCTTTGACCCAGCCTAGGTGAAGCTCCCTCCTGCCTGCACCTGTAGATGTCTTCCCTTGAGTGAGTGCCCCCTGCTCCCTGCTCCTGGCTGTGTCCCCAGCTAGGCCAGGCCCCCTGCACGTGGCTGCGTCCCTGCCTATGGGAAGGTCCTCTCATTCTTGGCTCCCTGCACCTCCACTGTGTCCCCACCTCAGCAGGGACCCCCAAGCTTGTTGACCTGCCTGGGGTCTGGTCTGGGTGAGACCCTCCTCCACCTGCTCTGTGTCCCCTCTGGTCAAGAGTTGGCAGCAGCCCTTGCCCCAGCCCCACATTCCCTGCCCTGTACTGCCCTCACCTGCCCTCAGGAGAACTCAGGACCACGCCTCACATCAACGTCCCTCCCACCTTCCCGCCCCGAAAGCGCTTTCCAGAGATGAAAACCGAAAGTGCCATCGCCATTCACTTGAATTTCCTGCAGAGGGGCCAGCTACCCACAGCTGCGTGGAGAAGGCGCTGAGCCTGGGCGTCTGCAGTGGGAGATAGCTGGGCTGGGACCATCCAGAGCTCCGGACCCCGAGGGGATGGGACATGAGCCCTGTGGGCCCTGCGATGGGCCGTCTGTCACCCTGCAGCATGGATCCTGTCCACTGGGTCTGCACCCAAGCACTGGGACACCAGCCATGGCCATACGGGGTACAGCACGTGGGACCTGCTGGATGTCCCCCTCACAGCCCTTTCCCTCTCCCCCAGGACTGACTCCAGCACCCGAGGCCCTTCCCCCAACCTGGCCCAAAGCTCCCCTTTCTCTGAGACTTAGATTTCCTTTTGTTTTTGGAAACCCAGTTGGGTCCCACCTGGCGTCCCCCTGGCACAGCTGGGGAGACTGAGACCAGGAGGGAATGGACCTGCCTGAGGGCACAGAGGAGGCAGCAGCTCGCAAAACAAGGGGCGATTTTGTTTCAGTTTTGACCTTTCCAGTTCTGGGGTTCAGAATTTCCTCCAGTTAGGGAAGGTGTCTGGTCGCCTCCAAGGAGGAGGGGAGGCCCCAGGCTCTTCGACTCCCACAGGAAGATTGCCTGTCCCCCTCCCCAACCCGTCCACTGACCTCTCCCCAGAAGGCAGAGAAACCCCGGTTCCAGTAGGGCTGTGGCTGCCTTCGGTTGCCTGTTCCCTGTGCAAGTGCCCTGCCCTCTCAGAGTAGCAGAGGAACCTTCTGGAAGCCATAGAAGCCTGGCCTCTGCACAGGGAAAAGCCAGGTTTTCCCTTGTGGGATCCTGTGGAGAATGAGCTCAGACGGATTCCTCATATTCTAATCCGACACCACTGGAGACCTTGACTCCTCCTTCCAGAACGGGAACCCCCTTGTCCAGCGTCACGGATACCGGGCCCCACAGTCTCCCTGCATCTGCATTGACCCTCCACGGAGCTCACAGCAGGGAGGGTCTGCGTGGTCCACCTCTACCCCACGCACAGGCAAACCTGAGAAGGAACGTTTAATCACCATTCACAGCCCTTGCTTCTTTCTAGAGAAATAAAACAAACTTACACCAGAATATGAAAACAACGTGAAACACACAAAAGTTAAGTGTGAGCCCGTGCACTGTGACAGGTGTCAGCAGCGTGAGTCTCGCCAGCGTCAGGAGCTGGAACGTCTTCATCATCCCCGAGTCCTCTGGTCCTCCCTGCCCTTCCGCAGCGGGAGGGTCCACTCTTGTGGGTTCCCAGTCCTCCCTGAACTTCCCCAGAGGGAGGGTCCACTCTTGTGGGTTCCTGGTCCTCCCTGAACTTCCCCAGCAGGAGGGTCCACTCTCGTGGGTTCCCGGTCCTCCCCGCCCTTCCCCAGCGGGAGGGTCCACTCTTGTGGGTTATGTGATTCTAGCTTCCCGCTTTCTGTCCGGAGCCTGCAGAGGAATGGGACCACGAGCTACACGTGGGTTGGACCTGCCTGTTTTGAGAGAGGGCCCTGTCCCTGAGGGTTCATATCCCTTGAACATGGTTGAGAGTTTTGTTCCTTTTCATTGCTGACTTGAAGCCATGTCATGAAGAGCCACAGCTTGGCCGTTTTTCTGATGATGCCCATGTGGGTGGATTTTAGTTCTTACTACTATGAATAAAGCTGCTGTTAGCATTTTGGTCTATTCTTTCTGTAAACGCAGACTTTTATGTCTTTTGGGTAAATTCCTAAAATGCCCCGGGTGAGCTATGTCCACTGAACAAATCCCACATCTATAAATTTGGAAAGAAGACTTTATTTCCTATAAAGGGGTAGGGCCTTCAGGGTGGCCGTCCTGACACCCTGGGCACCTCAGCCTCTGGCAGAGCCCAGGCCGGGCACCTGGAAGGAGGGGGTTGGGGCAGGAGCTTCATGCTGAACAGGTCGGCTAAGGACACACACTCCATGGGTTGCTGGAGGAGCCGTGAACATTCAGGAAGGGGTCCTCACTCATGCATACTGAACAAACATGCATGTGACATGCGTCTCAAGTTTCCTTGGGGGTGGACACGTGATATCTAAATGTGTTCCTGTGAGGCCCTTGCCTGGAAAGGTGAAGCAGCAACACCAAGGCACTCGTTGCACGGCCCCTGAAAACCAGCCAGAACCAGTCCCTGCTGGGTGGTCCCCAGTCAGAATTACAGAAATCAGCCTCTTGGCCAATCAAACTTAGGGCTGGTGGCACAGAAGAGTGGGGCTGTGTGTCAGCATCTGGAGGGGGTGAGCTGCACCTGAGTGAGTGTGGCTTTCCTAGTGGCCAGCGCTGGTTTAGCTGCTAGAGAAAAAGAACCCTCCTGGCCGGCAGCCCCTGGTTTCTGCTTTTCAGTGTCTTGTGCGTGACTCCACCCCTGCCAGGCAGGGCCTCAGGTCTTGTTGATCATTTGCTGTCTTATCACCACAAGGAACCTGTTTTGTCAGTCTCCTCTTTATGTTCACCTTCATGCTGGTGAGTGTGGTGTCCCAACCACAGACGGAGGGGCTGTCACGCGGCGGGTCCCACCTCCCACTCTGTCATGGCGGGATTTTTGTCATGTTTTTCAGATTTCTCTGGAATCCCCTTGGCCAAGAAGGGTCCATTCAGCTTGTTGGTGCGGGAGCTCAGGATTTCATTTTTAGTTCTCACATGGCAGGTGAGTGAAAACGTTATAAGGGACTATCCAAACCTTTCCCGAAGTGGCTGTAGTATCTTAACTCTCACCAGTCGTGTGTGACAGTTTTGGTGTCTTTAAAAGTCGGTGGTGTCAAGATTTCACAACTACCTCTTCTGCTGATTGTGTGGTTCTATCTGTTCGTGGCTTAAACTTGCATTTCCCTCATGACAAAAAGTGTGAAACCATCAGTCATGAACTGTCTGTCCATTCCAATCTCTTCTGTTCATTTTTAAAGTGGGGCTGTGTATCTTTTTATTGATTTATGATCATTCTTTCTATATTCTGGATACAAGATTTTTGTGTGGGATTTGTTTTGCAGTATCTCCCCAGACTTCCTGGTCATTTTCTTTGTAGTGTCTTTTGATAACTAGAGCATTTTCCTTCGGATAAAGCCAAATTGATTATTTTTAAATGTGCTTGTCACTGCTTTTTCCTCCCTGCCAGGAAGTGTTTGTGCACTCTCAGGTCACACAAGAGATGGTAATTTGTCAGTGAGCTGAGGAAGGCAGATCTGGCCTCAGCTATGAGGGTGGGTAGCACCCAGCCCATTGCAGACCCAGACTCCGGAGGTTCCTCTGTCTTCTTGGGCTGGGGCGTCCATCTCCTCCTGCCCGCAGACACAGGAGTTTCTGGGTCCCAGGCCTTGCGCTCTGGGACTGACACCAGCGGTTTGGGCTTGGACTGAATGACGCCACCCGCTGTTCGGGTTCACTGGCTTAGGGACAGCGGTTTGTGGGACTTCTCAGCCTCCGTGATCAAGGAGCCGATTCCTGTAATAAATCTCCTCCTAAACGTATCGCCCAGCAGCTCTGTTTCTCTGGAGAACCCTGACTCACATATGGGGGCCTAGAGGTTTGGTTGTAGCAGGCCCCAGGCCCTGTTCCAGCACCTGGCAGTACCCCCAGCTGATGGGCCCCAGGTGGGGAGGGACAGCCGGCCTGAGGGAGGTGCCTCCTGGGCCCCACCGTGGGCTCCCGTGCAGACAGGCAGGGTGGGGAGCAAGGACAAGGCTGTCCCCTCCTCTGGCCTCCGTCTACAGGTGGGACTTCTTTCCAGCCCTTTCTGTGGGTGGGGGGTGCACACGGGCAGGCCAGCCCCAGGCGCCCTCAGGACCGCACCCTAGGCCTGCCCTGGGGGGAGTGGGGATGGGGCTGGGGCCTCACCTTGCTCAGGACCCAACCCTGGTGCAGCTCCACTCCTGGCTTTTCGCCTGCAGGACAGAGGGGCCTGGAGTGGCCTGGCCCTGCCGTGGGCAGCATGGCGTGGGCATGCAGGTGAGGCCTGCCTGAGGTGCCCAACCCCCTTTCTGCCAGCTGGGGCTTCCAGGTTCAGTGGTGTGTCTTCCTGTCTGGCATTTCAGAGAAGGGCTCTGCAGATGTGGGGGCTGGCTGTGAGGACACAGGGAGCCTGGGAAAAGGGTGGGAGAAGGGTCCCTGTGGCCACAGGCCACCCGAGGAGGGGCAGGGCCAGGCTCCTGTGGAAGCTGTTGCGGGCCCAGGGGTCTCTTTGTCCAGGCGGGAAAGGCTTGGAGCACAAGGCACAGGCCCTTCACCCCTCAGCCAGCCAAAGCCTTGAGGGCTGGTCACCCCCCGACGAGCTCAGTCCCCTCCAACGGTGCTGCCCAATACTGGGCCTCCCACACCGCGTCCCTCCCCATCTCCACCCTGGGATCCTCAGACACCCACACACACAGGCAAGGGGAGAAGCCAGGGCACCCCTAGGCTTGGCAGAGTGCAGGCTCCCTGCTATGTTGGCTTTGCTTGGTCCCTCCAGGGGAACCAGGAGCCTGTGGGTGAAGGAAGCTGACCCTGGAAGGGCCTGGGGACGTCTCTGGACCAGCCTCACCCTGGCTTTGATCTTTGTTCCAGGGCGCAGACTGACCACTCTGTTCCCACACCTGGCTCAAGGTGGGTCGAGGGCCTTCCCAGCCTTCTCAGAGCTAACCCAGAGGAGTGCACAGGACAGGTAGGCAGAGGGTTCAGGGGCCACCTTCCAATGGGGTGAGGCTGAGGAGAGGGTGCTGTGAGCTGAGCAAGGACCCCACTCCATTTCAGCTCGTCTCCCCCGAGAGCCACAGGGAGTGCTGGACCCGCCTGAGCGGGGGGCATATGGGGCTCAGCACAGCACTGTGGGGCCTGGATGAGAAGCCGCTGGTCTCTTCTGCCCCTCCCTGACATTGAGGACTGGAACCTTGGGGAGCCTTGGGTGAGGTCGCCTCCCAGGAAGTCCTGAGCTGAGACATCGCGGGCCCATTTTGAGGTGGCTGTGAGGGGTACAGGTGAGTGTACTTGGGGTTCCTTCAAGGCCAGGCCCAGCAGGTCACCTGCAGAAGGCCTTGGGCAGGTGCCCCCCACCCCGTCCTGGAACACCATTCTTCCCCATCGCCCCAGAGGACCAGGCCCAGGCAAGGCTGGGAATGCTTAGCCGACCTGCTCAGCATGAAGCTCCTGCCCCAACCCCCTCCTTCCAGGTGCCCGGCCTGGGCTCTGCCAGAGGCTGAGGTGCCCAGGGTGTCAGGACGGCCACCCTGAAGGCCCTACCCCTTTATAGGAAATAAAGTCTTCTTTCCAAATTTATAGATGTGGGATTTGTTCAGTGGACATAGCTCACCCGGGGCATTTTAGGAATTTACCCAAAAGACATAAAAGTCTGCGTTTACAGAAAGAATAGACCAAAATGCTAACAGCAGCTTTATTCATAGTAGTAAGAACTAAAATCCACCCACATGGGCATCATCAGAAAAACGGCCAAGCTGTGGCTCTTCATGACATGGCTTCAAGTCAGCAATGAAAAGGAACAAAATTCTCAACCATGTTCAAGGGACATGAACCCCAGGGACAGGGCCCTCTCTCAAAACAGGCAGGTCCAACCCACGTGTAGCTCGTGGTCCCATTCCTCTGCAGGCTCCGGACAGAAAGCGGGAAGCTAGAATCACATAACCCACAAGAGTGGACCCTCCCGCTGGGGAAGGGCGGGGAGGACCGGGAACCCACGAGAGTGGACCCTCCTGCTGGGGAAGTTCAGGGAGGACCAGGAACCCACAAGAGTGGACCCTCCCTCTGGGGAAGTTCAGGGAGGACTGGGAACCCACAAGAGTGGACCCTCCCGCTGCGGAAGGGCAGGGAGGACCAGAGGACTCGGGGATGATGAAGACGTTCCAGCTCCTGACGCTGGCGAGACTCACGCTGCTGACACCTGTCACAGTGCACGGGCTCACACTTAACTTTTGTGTGTTTCACGTTGTTTTCATATTCTGGTGTAAGTTTGTTTTATTTCTCTAGAAAGAAGCAAGGGCTGTGAATGGTGATTAAACGTTCCTTCTCAGGTTTGCCTGTGCGTGGGGTAGAGGTGGACCACGCAGACCCTCCCTGCTGTGAGCTCCGTGGAGGGTCAATGCAGATGCAGGGAGACTGTGGGGCCCGGTATCCGCGACGCTGGACAAGGGGGTTCCCGCTCTGGAAGGAGGAGTCAAGGTCTCCAGTGGTGTCGGATTAGAATATGAGGAATCCGTCTGAGCTCATTCTCCACAGGATCCCACGAGGGAAAGCCTGGCTTTTCCCTGTGCAGATGCCAGGCCTCTACAGGTTCCAGAAGGTTCCTCTGCTCCTCTGAGAGGGCAGGGCACTTGCACAGGGAACAGGCAGCCGAAGGCAGCCACAGCCCTACTGGAACCAGGGTTTCTCTGCCTCCTGGGAAGAGGTCAGTGGATGGGTTGGGGAGGGGGACAGGCGGCCTTCCTGTGGGAGTCGAAGAGCCTGGGGCCTCCCCTCCTTGGAGGCGACCAGACACCTTCCCTAACTGGAGGAAATTCTGAACCCCAGACCTGGAAAGTTCAAAGCTGAAATAAAATCGCCCCTTGTTTTGCGAGCTGCTGCCTCCTATGTGCCCTCAGGCAGGTCCATTCCCTCCTGGTCTCAGTCTCCCCAGCTGTGCCAGGGGGACGCCAGGTGGGACCCAACTGGGTTTCCAAAAACAAAAGGAAATTTAAGTCTCAGAGAAAGGGGAGCTTTGGGCCAGGTTGGGGGAAGGGCCTCGGGTGCTGGAGTGAGTCCTGGGGGAGAAGGAAAGGGCTGCGGGCGGGACATCCAGAAAGTCCCACATGCTGTACCATATGGCCATGGCTGGTGTCCCAGTGCTTGGGTGCAGACTCACTGGACAGGATCCATGCTGCAGGGTGACAGACGGCCCATCGCAGGGCCCACAGGGCTCATGTCCCATCCCCTCGGGGTCCGGAGCTCTGGATGGTCCCAGCCCAGCTATCTCCCACTGCAGACGCCCAGGCTCAGCGCCTTCTCCACGCAGCTGTGGGTAGCTGGCCCCTCTGCAGGAAATTCAAGTGAATGGCGATGGCACTTTCGGTTTTCATCTCTGGAAAGCGCTTTCGGGGCGGGAAGGTGGGAGGGACGTTGATGTGAGGCGTGGTCCTGAGTTCTCCTGAGGGCAGGTGAGGGCAGTACAGGGCAGGGAATGTGGGGCTGGGGCAAGGGCTGCTGCCAACTCTTGACCAGAGGGGACACAGAGCAGGTGGAGGAGGGTCTCACCCAGACCAGACCCCAGGCAGGTCAACAAGCTTGGGGGTCCCTGCTGAGGTGGGGACACAGTGGAGGTGCAGGGAGCCAAGAATGAGAGGACCTTCCCATAGGCAGGGACACAGCCCACGTGCAGGGGGCCTGGCCTAGCTGGGGACACAGCCAGGTGCAGGGAGCAGAGGGCACTCACTCAAGGGAAGACATCTACAGGTGCAGGCAGGAGGGAGCTTCACCTAGGCTGGGTCAAAGAACAGGTGCAGGGGCCATGAGGGGCCTCCCAGGCGGACACACAGTGCAGGTTCAGTGGGGGTCTCACCCCAGTGGGGACACAGTGCAGGTGCAATAAGCCTGGGGCCCTCACTGAGATGGGGACACAGCATCCATGCAGGGAGGCGGAAATGGGGGCCCTTGTTCAGGCAGGGACCTGGAGGGGGTGCAGGATCTGGGAGACCCTGACTCAAGAGGGGCCAGGTGCAGGGAGCAGGTATTGGGGTCCGGTACCCAAGAGCGCAGGTAGGAGGAGCGGAGCTCGGATGGAGGCTCTGAAGAGCTGGGCCAGTCTCCAGCGCCCAGGGCTGGCCGAGCGTGGCCAGTGGGTCCGGGTGTGTCACATGACGGGATGATGCCAGGCTGTGGGGCAGGGCCCCTGTGGCCATCCTGGCTGTGCACCTGGGTGGCAGCCAGTGGGGCGGGAGCTGGGGCTGCAGCTGTGGTGTTCCCAGAGGCCCAGGTGCCCTCTCCCACACGCCTGGGCCCTCTGGGTTGTGGGAACCAGCCAGCTCCTGCTCTGTCCCCTCAGGTGTCCTGCAGGCACAGCTCCTCGGGGGGCCCAGGCCGATGGCAGGTCTTAACGTGTCCCTCTCCTTCTTCTTTGCCACCTTCGCCCTCTGTGAGGCGGCCAGGCGGGCCTCCAAGGCCCTGCTCCCAGTGGGCGCCTATGAAGTCTTCGCCCGGGAGGCGGTGGGTGCGGGTGCAGCTCGGGCCCTGCTGCCTGGAGATGAGGACGCTGGTCGAGCTCGGGCCCTGGGCTGGGGACTTTGGGCCTGACCTGCTGCTCACCCTGCTCTTCCTGCTCTTCCTGGCGCACGGGGTCACCTTGGACGGGGCCTCGGCCAACCCCACTGTGTCCCTGCAGGAGTTCCTCATGGCCGAGCAGTCTCTGCCTGGCACGCTGTTGAAGCTGGCGGCACAGGGGCTGGGCATGCAGGCCGCCTGCACCCTGATGCGCCTCTGCTGGGCCTGGGAGCTCAGTGACCTGCACCTGCTGCAGAGCCTCATGGCCCAGAGCTGCAGCTCGGCCCTGCGCACATCCGTGCCCCACGGGGCGCTTGTGGAGGCCGCCTGCGCCTTTTGTTTCCATCTGACCCTCCTGCACCTGCGGCACAGTCCTCCCGCCTACAGCGGGCCCGCTGTGGCTCTGTTGGTCACCGTCACGGCCTACACGGGTGAGCACTGCTTCCCCTTCCCCTGGGCCCCTGAGGACCTCTCACCTGTGTGGCCTCCATGCACACTCAGGCCCGTTTGCACCCAGGATAGGGGGCTGCTGGCCCGGGTGGCCAACAAACCCACAAGAAGAGGCGGTGATTTCCTGGGATCTGGCGGGTAGACGAGGGCCTGCGCTGGACATGGGGTGCGGTGGAGCAGCCTGTCCCCTGCCAGGGCCATCCTGCCCACTGCACCTCTCCCCAGTCGCAGCTATTCTTGGTCCTCCCAGAAGTTCTGCCTCTGGGGTAGTAGGGACAGCCGAGGCAGACGATTCAAGGCCCAGCCCAGTTTCCTGGTCTGGTGTGGGAGTCCCTGCACCCTCTATCACCCCTTCCAGAGCGACAGGTCCTGTCTCACCTGCCCCAGTTGGCCTCCCTGGCCTCCTACTGACACCTGCATCCTGCGATCTCTGCCTGCACCTGGACCGACCGTGGCACCCAGCTCTCATGGTCCCATCACCCCCTTGTGAGCTCCCTCCACTCAGACCCTCCGTCTGATCCAGTCCCCCATGTCTGCTTTCCCCTCCGAGCGCTAGGCTCCACCACCACGAAAGCCTTTGCTCAGCAAGTTCCCAGGACAGGTGTCCACAGCGCTGGGGCTGCAGGGAGAGCCAGGGGAGCCGGCTCGTGCTCCAGGCACCACAGGAAGGGCTGCAGGGAGAATGGTGCCAGGTCTCCTTCCGGGGGTCCGAGGTCCTAATCAGGACAGGACCAGCACTTAGGTCCATGGCACTGCCCACGACCCAGCACTGGGCAGACACCACGGAATCTGGACCACAAAGGCCACAGGAAGGTGCCACCAGAGCCCTGTACAGATGGGGAAACTGAGGCACGGGTGAGCGGGAGCTCTGCAGGGACACGGCTCTGTGGCAGATTGCCCGGGCCTCTGTCCTGGGTGGCACCGGAGAGCTCCCGTCAAGGGTCCTGCCTCCACGAGGCACAGGGCGCCTGGTCTCAGGGACGGAGCTGCCCATCCTCAGGGTCCTGGTTTACACCTGGGCGGCCGCAGACTCCATGTCCCTGTGGTCCCTGCCCTCCGCTAGGCCCACTCCCTGCTCTTCCGTGCCCAGAGGCAGGTCCCCGGTATTGGTGGATTCTGTTATTTGGGGTGGTCACCCAGGCCTGGGGCTGCAGGACAGCGGCCCGGCTGCCGCCGCCTTCCCTTGTCTCACATCGCACAGCCATGTCGTCTTCTCTCCTCTGCTGCTGCTCGTTTATTTCTGAGATCTCTCTCTGTCTCTCCTCTCTCTCTCTGTCTCTCCTCTCTCTCTCTGTCTCTCCTCTCTCTCTCTGTCTCTCCTCTCTCTCTCTGTCTCTCCTCTCTCTCTGTCTCCCTGTCTCTCTCTGTCTCTCCTCTCTCTCTCTGTCTCTCCTCTCTCTCTCTGTCTCTCCTCTCTCTCTCTGTCTCTCCTCTCTCTCTCTGTCTCTCCTCTCTCTCTCTGTCTCTCCTCTCTCTCTGTCTCCCTGTCTCTCTCTGTGTCTTTTTGTCTCTCTCTCACTATCTGTCTCTCTTAGTGTCTCTCTCCATCTCTCTCTGTCCGTCTTTCTCGAAGGCCACATCCCACAGGGTGGGGTGCTGGAGGGCAGCATGGGCGGGGCACGGGATCCCGGTGAGATGTCGCGAGGGTGTTGGACGGCCCTGGGGGGCCCCCAAGCTGCTGCCCCTGACCCAGACCTTGGCTGACCCGGCCTTGCTGCATCGTGTGTCCATCGGTGCGGGGGACCAGGCGGGGCTTCAGGAGCCGAGAGCAGCTCCCAGGCCTGCACACAGTGGGGCTCTCGGTGTGGATTCGGTGGCGGGGATCAGGTCCTGGCCTGCAGAGGGGCGTCAGGCAGGGCTGGGGACCAGGGCTGTCTGTGCTCTGCCCACAGCCGGGCCCTTCACGTCTGCCTTCTTCAACCCTGCCCTGGCCGCCTCTGTGACCTTTGCCTGCTCGGGACACACCTTACTGGAGTACGTGCAGGTGTACTGGCTGGGCCCTCTGACAGGTAAGGGCAGGGGCAGGGTGGGGTCCCTAGGGCTGCTGGGGCCCACAGAGCATCCTGGCACGTGGGGTCCTGCAGGGTGGAGGTGAGGGTGCCTGGTCAGTGCTCCTGGGGAGGTCTCTGCAGTGGGCATGGTTTCGGGGGTAGGGGCTGTGACGGCATGTCTCACTGTGGACACCGTCCCGGTGCCGAGCAAGCTGCAGCCAGGTAAGGAGGCCACAGGCTGGGGAAAGGCCAACCTTGCAAGGGGTGCTGGGCACACGGGGGATGGTGTCTGCAGTGGGGCTCCATGCACCTGGGGTTCCCGTCCCAGGTGGCATCTCCACACACCCAGAGCCAGACTCCGCCGAGGGGGGCTCATTCTGGTGTCCCTAAAGCCTCAGGAGGCAGAGAGCCCCGCTTAGATGATATAGGGTGCCATCGTGCACTTATAGGGCTGTGAGCATGGGGCTGGAGCAGCCAGGCCCTTTGCATCCTGGTGGGGCAGACCCGGGACTCGCTGATGCACACAGGGGACCCCAGAGTTCCCCCACAGTGTGTGCCCCTCCTTTCTTATATCCTGGATCCAAGCAGAGGAGCAGCATGGGGAGGTCATGGAGCCCCCTCTTGGACCTAGATCTGGGGATTCTGGCCCCTGGCTTCAGAGGCCCAGGTGGAGCCCACACCTTCTCCTGCACCTGCTCTCAGACACTCGGCTCCACCTCACTGAGGTACCAGAAGGGCAGCTGGGTTCCTATGGAATTCTGGAAGCTTTTTTCAGCTTCTGCTGGCTCTACACTGGGGAGGTCTCAGGGGCAATGCCTCAGCCTCCCCTTGGGGGGAAAGACAGGAGCTGGGGGTCTCTCAGGCACCTGGCCCTGCGATGGTGACACTGACGTCATCGTGATTTGTCGCCATGGTTCTGATGTGGTCACAGTCTCTCAGGCATGTGCAGGGTCCTAGGAAGCATATGAAGTGCATCAGGAACCCCCTCCTGCCCCCGTTGCCGAGGCAGCACTGCCCTCTGCTAGGAACAGCTCCGTGTTGGCCTCTCTGTCCCCACACACTGGGCCTGCAGGGCTTCTCCGAGACTCTTCAGTTCAGGTATCAACCCTGGGCTGTCTCCTGGGATGTGGGGGGCGGATGTTCTTTCCTTGCCTCCCCACGCTCCTCCTGCGGATCCTTCACTCCGGGTGGGTCGGCCTCTTCCTCCTGATCAGCTCCAGAGCCCCCTCTAGTTCCCTGGCATGGAAACACGGCCCGGGTGAGCTGTGGTGGCCCCGGAGGCCTCTCCGCTCCTGCACAGGCCTTGCTTCCTGCGGGTGACGAGGTCCTGGACTCTCTCCTGCCCAGGCTTCTGGGTGCTTTCCTTAGTTCAGCACCAGTGCTCTGTGTGGGCAGCGTCTCCCCCGAGGATCCGCAGCTCCGGGTTACCCGCAGGCGTCCATCTCCGGTATGGTGCTGCCCTTCACTGATCCTGGTTGTATTTCTGTTTCCTGCTTTCCTCATCGCCTCCTGTTTCGGTTGATTCCTTCTTTTTGCTGGTGCCCGTCTCACAGTAGCTTCCTGAGAACGGGGACCTGGCAGGTACACTTCAGACCTCCTGTGTCTGAAATAGTGTCCTGGTTCTGACCTGCACTTGAGTGTCGGTGAGGCCTGGGCAGGGTTCCGGGTGGGAGCTCAGTTTCGTCCTGAGTTTCTCAGGCCCCAACCATGGCCTGTGGTGGCTTCACGGGCTACAAGGCAAAGGACGCAAACGAAGAGGCTTCACGTGACAGGGTTGTATGCTCAGCCAGCTCTGGAGGCTGGAGTCTGAGCTGGCAGCACTGACAGGGTCAGCTCTCCTCGGAGGCTGCTGGGGAGGAGCCTCCTGCCTCTTCCGGGCTCCGGGGGCCTCTGGCACCCCCGGTGTCCCCGGGCTTGGAGACGCAGCACTCCCATGTCTGCCGGTTCCCCTGGCCGCCTCCTCTGTGTCATTGTCTGTTCTCTTCATATAGGGACACCAGTCATTGAATTGGAGGTTCACTCTACTCAAGTATGACGTCACCGTGATTTCACTGATTTTATGTCCCAGGCCGTATTCTAACAAGGGCACATCCTGTGTTCTGGGAAGGGCGTGTCGCTGGGGAAATACTCTTCACCCGGCTGCAACCTCTCACTGTAGAACTGCCTCTGTGGAGAAGCCCAAAGGGCATTTGCGGCTTCTAGGAGCCAAGTAGGAGGAGGCTGGGATCCGTGTTTCAGGCGGGACTCCAGGCTTGGGCGGGCCTGATACTCGAGTCCACATGCCCCCTCTAGAGAGGAACCTGTCTCCTGCCAGGGCCAGGGAGGGGGGCACTGGCTGCTTCTGTATTTTGGGGTTTGGGGCCCTGGAGCTTCCCATGCGGAATTGCCGTCCCTCCTCCTAGGCGAGTCCCAGGGCCACCCCATCCCACAGGGACCCGGGCGCCAGCTTCTGAAAGCATGGGGCATCTGCGGAAGAACTGGGTTGTTTCCCAGCTTTCGTCCCTGCGGAGGGGCGATCCGGCCCCTCCATGTCAGCAGTGTTTGGTCGTCCACATGCTTGTCAGCCCCACGCTGTGCTCCTGCGTCTCTTCCCGTCTCATCCATCTGGATGCTTGACACCTCTGACAGCATCCCTTTCCTGTCATCTTAGGGCAGCTTCAGGAAACCGAAAAACAGGCTTGTGTCCTTCCATTAACCCCTTTATCCACAAGTTCAGTATCAGCATGAGCCCTGGGGAGCTCCAAGGCTGCAGCCAGGAGCCCCGTAGCCAGGTGTGGACATGGGGCTATCTCCCTGGGTGTGAGCGGCCACCGGCACCTGCTGGCAGCACCCCTGAGCAGGTCATCCCGCCTCCCTGGGCCTGCCCTCCTGGGAACAGAGCTAGGACCAGTGTGGGCCTGGAGGGCCGAGTGAGGGGCAACTGTAGGCAAGCTGTAGGCACAGGGGCCACTGTCAGGAGCCACAGCAGCTGCAGGTGGTGACAGGCAGGGCCCCCTCAGGCCAGCCCTAGTGGAGCTCACACACTGTGGGTTAAATCCTTAGAGGAGTGAGATCAAACTTGAAGAGGATCTACTCTCCCCTTCTGCCCGGAACACCTGCCCTTCCCAATGACCTGGAAGGCAGGCGGGGATTTAGGAGTCTCTGCTCCTGGAGTTCTGGGAGAACGTTCGCATGAGGATTTAGCCAGGCCCAGCCTCCCACCCAGGGGCATCCACATCTTTCTTGTCCACTCACATCCCCCACCTCTACGCCAGGCCACAGCCCTGCAAGCAGCCACCCTGGGACGCCACATCAGGTCCCGGAGGAAAATGGCCACAGAAGCTCTGGGAGTGGCTCAGGACAATGTGGGGGGAGGGGAATTCCAGTCACTCATCCCAGAGGGTGGTCCAGAAGTACAAGGAACCCCACCGGCTTGCCCCCGTCCCCATGGCTGGCATACCCAGAGAGAGGGGCATGACCAGGGCGGGAAGACCAGGACCAGGCAGGAGCTGGGCCTCAGGGTTCTTGGGGCTCCTGGCCAGGCTGCCTGGCTCGCCTGTCCTGGCACAGGCCTGGGAGTGGGTGTCCTGTCTGTGTTTGGGCCCAGGAGCCCCGCGGCCCACCTGGGACCTGCCTTCTCTTGCAGGGATGGTCCTGGCTGTGCTGCTGCACCAGGGCCGCCTTCCCCACCTTTTCCAGAGGAACCTGTTCTACGGCCAGAAGAACAAGTACCGAGCACCCCGAGGGAAGCCGGCCCCGGCCTCAGGGGACACCCAGACCCCTGCAAAGGGGTCCAGTGTCCGGGAGCCTGGGCGCAGTGGTGTTGAGGGGCCACATTCCAGCTGAGTGGCCTTGCTCTGTGTGAGCCCCGTGCGAGGGCCCTGCTTGTAGCTGGACCCTGGAACCTTCTGTAGCTAAGAGGGAATCCTGGCCCCCTCCCCAGAAGCCATTTGTCAATAAACCATTTCTAAGACCTGTGTGTCCCCCTGGGCCCGAGAGAGGCTTCTGGAGGGGCAGGCAAGGGTGTGCGGCAACACGGTGAGGCTGGTCCGAGTCTCCTCATCTCCCGCGGGCTCCTTCCTGCCTCTTGTTACAGAAGAAGCAGGAGAGGAAAGGGCAGGATGACAGGGAAGAGCCCAGGGAGTCCGCCAGGTCCCAAGTCTGCCAAGATGATGCTGCAGCCCTGGACATGCCCGGGAGGGAGCCCACAGCCACGGAGGCCTGAGACCCGATGGGATGCTGAGGATAGTGCTGGAGCCTGAGGCTGTAGGCTTGTGAACTAGGCACAGGGCACCCAGTCCCACGGGCCCTGAGTTCGCGACCGTCAGGACCATGGTCCGCTCGCCGCCCAAAGCCAGGTCAATCACTGAGACCTTGGTGGCAGAACTGGGACCTGGAGGCATGGCACCTCCAGCCATTTCCTTCCCAAAGAACAGAGCCGGTCTGGAAACTTCCACCCAAAGGAGATAAGGGCCCTCTGCTATGGGTCCTGCTGCCCCACCCAGAGGGAGGGAGTGAGGTGGCCGGTGCTCCTGCCACAGGCTGTACCCCGTCCTCTGGTGGGCAGCAGCCCTGGGCCCAGCCGCTCTGCTATGGGGGAAGGACGAGAGGAGAAAGCAGGGAGATGTCCTCGATGCGGGGGGCTACGGGACACCCCAACCCCAGTGAGACCTCCACCCCGGCCAGCGTCCAGGCTCTTGACACCATCGTGAGAAGGAATTCAGGGGCGAGTTGGCAAATAGTGAAAGACCAGAGATTTCCTGCGAAGCCCAAAGCTCCCACTGGAGAAAGGGAGTGTGGCGCCCTCTAGAGTCCCGTCCCGGGCAGGGGCGCTGGGGCTGGAGGAATCCACAGGATTCCTGGAAAACGTGGAGATGTCTCAGAGCTGCGGCGCCGCCCACTTCTTACACCAAATCTGGGTGTTCTGGAGCCATCACGCGCTGGTGGGGGTGTGACGAGTGTGCTAATGAGCGCACCGTGAGGTCGCGGGAGACACCGGGGCACAGCCAGAGCCCTGTGGGGTCCAGGCGGTCTCAGCCAGCACGGCCACACCCCGGTGTTTTGGGTCCTGTCAGCCACTCGCTGCTGCAGGGTTTCCTTTTGCTAGAGATGAGAAGGGGCTGCCTGGAACTTCCACTCCCCTCTGACCACCCTGTATGATTCCCGTCTCATGGTGCGTGGGCTTCTCCCTGGGGATGCCGGTGAGGCCACGTTTTCCTGGACGAGCGTTTGGTGGAGGGAGAGAAAGAAGAATCCTCTCCCCTCCCGGAGGTTGCCCCTTCACACACACACCCTCCTCCCCGAAGCTGCCCCTTCACACACACACCCTCCTCCCCGCCAGAAAGCCCCCTCCCACACAGGCAGAGAGCTGGCTCTTTCTGGAGCCCCAGGCTCCTCTTCCCTGCTGTGGACTGGAGACAGGAATCCCATGGGACAGGCCTGAGAGCCAGTCCTGTGTGGCATCCAGAGGCCCCGATGGGGCTGCCAGACCCTGCCAGGCAAAGGGCTGCTGAGCACACAGGGGAGCCGATGGGGTGGGGCCAACCAGCTCCCCTCACAGACGTTCTGCGTGGGGGCCTGGCCATGCCTGGGTGTCACATGGCAGCAGAAGCAGCAGCAGGGGTTGGAGCCCCAGGAAGGAGAGGGGATCCTCCTCCGGTGGCAGCACGAGGCCCCTGGGTGCCGGAGGTGTGTCTGTTTTGCCACCAGTGCCTGCAGCCTCTGCACAGATCCTTCCAGGAGTGGAGGTCCCGGTGCTCAGGCAGTAACTGTATCAGTAACTGAGCATGGGAGGAGCAGACACAGCCTTATCCCAGTAACATAACCAGGAAGCTGTTAGAATTACTCCAGCTTAGAATCTCTTTCTGACAATCTCGAAATTCTCAGCAAAATCCACAAACCCTGAAGCAAGGGCCACTGCATTGGACAGAAACAAGCACAATTTTCCTATAAGATGTTGGAGTATCCAGGTATTAATGCAGAAGTTTTGAAATTAATTTTTCTTACAGTTGAAGATACACTGATGGAATCCACAAACAGATGTTGTAAGTTGTGTGCAATCGTGAATTCACCTTCAGTCTCTCCTATGAGCTCCACAAGCACAGGAAACGTCCGAGGAAACATAATCACGATAGATTTGCATCTACAAGCACACTCAAACTTCTGCGAAAGTCATCTGTCTGAAGCGCGGACAGTTTTGGGACTAGCCGCTCATCTGCTCTCGATGTGCTGAAATCTGCGCCTCCGGTGGCTCCGCAGAGCAGCTTCCCAGGTCGCCACAGCCTATGAGACACTCCCAGCAGCTCCGCAACGTTCCCTCTGCAGAAAGAGCCTTCTCCACATTAAAAACTGCCAAAGTGACTTGGAATCGTGCATCTGCCTCGGGCAACCTACCTGCGTTTCAAGTAGATGAAAAGAAAAGCAAGTTGGTAAAATCAGGTTTCCCGTAACTACTGAAGGATGTGCAGAAAAGGGAGCCGGGACGGAGCAGTTTCGGCTGGGGCTCCTGGCCACCGTCGCCCGCCCTGTGGGGTCCCATGTAACAGGGGCTGAGGGCGCGCCCTTCTGCTCCAGGGCCCTACGGATCCCCGCCCGCCTCTGAACACGACCCACATTTTCCCTTGGGCCTGGGCCTGCCGCGCGAGGCCGCCTGGCCTGCAGCTCTGCTCCCCAAGGGCGTCCCGGATCCCACACCCGCTCCGGGAACTGGCGCAGGTACAGACGCCTGGCGAACTGCAGCTCTGGGGTGGCCAGGTCCTGGCAATGGCGGCGGGTGGCCTGGTCCGGGTCTGGCCGCAGCCGGTAGCCCAGGATGGGCGCCAGGCCGTGCTGCTGCGGCGCCAGCCGCGGGTCACGCTCCGCGCCCGGCCCTGAGGCCTCGCCATACAGGAGGCAGGTGCGCGCCTACCGGGCCCGCAGCGCCACCACCTCCGGCCGCAGCCCCCCTGGCACCCAGCCGCGCCCACAGCGTGAGGTTCAAGTGTGCACAGAGCGCCAAGTCCAGCGCGTTCTAGGCGCGCGCCCTGCGCTCCACGCGCTGCTCCAGCGGCTCCTGGGCGAAGGCCGCACGCCACTGGACGGGGAAGGTCACCAGGTCATCCAGGCCCCAGCACAGCGCGGCGCAGCAGCCCCAGGGACTCATCCAGGTGCTGGGCAATCAGCCCCAGATCGAAGCGCGTGGCCACCGCTTCCACCCTCGGGGCCAGGCGGCGGCGCACTGTGGTCGAAGCCCAGGTCGAAGGCCATGAAGTTGAGGCCCTAGTGGCTGTCTGGCCGTCGGGGTTCATAGAAGGTGCGGGTGTGGCCCTGGAAGTGGCGCAGGCTCCGGGCTTGGGCTCTCTGGCGAGGCCATCTTGTACCAGGAGAAGGTGGACTCCAGGACGCGGGCCGGGTCCCGCAGGGTGGTGAAGGCGGTGTCTCCGGGCAGGACCCGCCACACCTGTTGGGGAAGGGCCTGTGTGCCTAGGAGGGCTGCTGGCTCTGGGGACGCTCCAAGGGCTCCAAGGCAAGCAACTGGGAGTGAGTACCCTCCACCCAGCCCCCCAGCCCCCTCTGCAATGGGACGGGATCCACCGGGCTTTGCCTCGGAGGGACCTGAGTGGGCTGTGGAGGTCGCCTCCAGTGGCATCCTCGCAAAGGCGGTTAAATTATTGGAGAGGGCTGCAGGGTCCCAGGGTCTGGGGAATAGGGACCAAAGCTGGCCATGTCCAGGGTGTCAGCCATTCCCCTCTGTAGGCACCAGAGGCCGCTTCCTCTCCACAGTGGCCCTGGGTCAGGATCTGCCGCAATGGCCATGCCCTGCCTGGCCTCTTGCTCCCAGCCCCCTACCCTCTCGTAGAGCCTCCTCAGCTACTCAGGAGACCCTTCCTCTCCCTCCCTAGGACCTCCCTCCTCCCACCCCTCTGACCTCCACACAAAGTGTTCTCACCCAACCCCGTGGCACTCCTACCTGCCACCATGGTCACCACCTCACTGCTCTCCTGGTCACTGTGGTCACCTCCACACTGCACTCCCCCCATCTCCATGGTCACCTCCCCACTGCACTCTCCCGTCACCATCGTCACCGCCACAGTGCACTCCCCCCACCACCATGGTTACCTCCCCCGTCACCATCGTCACCACCCCAATACACTCCCCCCATCTCCATGGTCACCTCCCCACTGCCTCCTTGCCATGGCCGGGGGTGCCCTGCAGAAGCCGTGAACTCTGCAGCTCCCAACTGAACTCGGAGTCCCCATGTCCCCCACCCCAGTCACCACGAGACCAAGTCTGTCTTATGTCCTCAGGCTCAGGACTGCCACCCAGGCAGCCAGGCCAGACACGTGGGGGTCACACTCACCCCTGCCCTCCCCTGAAATCTCACCACCCCTAGGGTCCTCCCTGACCTTGTTCCCTCTGGCGGCCCAAGCCCAGGCCGCCCCCTGTCTCCCACGTTCCCGCATTCCCTCCTAATTGGTCACCCCTCCAGTCTTGCCCCTCTTGTCCAGCCCCATCTAAGTCACACTGAAATCTCACTGTGCCCGTTTTCCTCAAGACCCTCCTTGGCTCCCCGAAACCCAGGGGCTGAAGTCCAGGCTTTCAGACAGGGTCTGCAGGGTGACTGCCAGGGGACCTCAGTACATCTCTGAGTGTCCACTTCTCATGGCTGAAATGACCTGGGTTCCAGGGGATGTCATCAGTGAGCCCACTTAGCTGCTGCCTCAGCCGGGCAGGTTGCTGGGAAGTTGCCTCCTCAGAGGGGTTAGACCCAGCCTTGCTACCGAGCCTCATATCTGCCTCACCTGGGCAGACCGACCCTCTTATCAGGGCCCACACCTGCCCTGTGTTGGTGTCTTTAAGTGTAACCTTTACAGCTTTTGGAGACACTGTGATCTAGCTAAAGGAGTGACTCCCAAATGGTGGAACTGTGCATGAGGGAGAGAGGGATTTGGAGAGCAGTGCTTCCTAGGCAGGGGCTGGCCTCCAGGAGGGCTGAGTGCCCATGATTCATATGGAACACCCGCAGGCTCCTCCAGCTCGGGAGATCAGCAGCACAGACTTTGGGGTGGAAAAGCAGGCAGAGGGGTCAGGCGCATGCCTGCCTGGGCAAATATTGGCTTGTGGCCTTGCTTTCCTGGGCTGGGAGCCCATAAGGCACAGGTGGCCCTCAGAGAGGCCCTGGGGAAGGTCGTGCTTCTCCTGGGGGATCCCCACCAGGGTGGGCTGCAGGATGGGGACCCTGTTCGGCACCTGCTGGGGATGGATACACGGGGCATCCTGGTCTCCAGGCAACAGCTGAGGGAGGAGGGGAGCCTGCTTGGAGGAGGAGGCTGGCGATAACACTGACCTGGCCACCGCGCAAGAGGGGCAGGGCTCAGGGGCCAGGGATGGGGCCTACCCTCTGCTGAAGCCCCCAGATACAGCACCTCAGCTTTCTCTGCCCCACCCAACCCTCAGCTCCCTGGGATGGGTCTCACCTGACCATTGTGAGGCAGGAAGTGAGGCTCTGAGACACAGAGGGTTTTGCTCCGGGTCACTCAGCAGTGAAGTCGGCCGGTGCTGAGGGTTCTAGGAGGGGCTGTTTCCTCCCTGTCCTTGGCCCTCAGGACACCATCTTCCCCGTTCCTTCCATGCCTTGGCCCCAGACCTCCAGCAGTCTGTCCAGTGCAGCGGGTGGGGAGGAGGGGCTGGCCTGTGCTCATCGGGGTGCCCATGCTGCAGCTCCCTGGGTGTCTGAGGTTTGCTCAGTGACCACTGTGGCCACTCAGGTGGCTCCAGCAGGTCCTGTCCAGCCAGAGAGCAGAGTCGTCCCACCACGGGGGGTGTGGCTAGCGGGGGCCCTTCTGTGAGGTTCGGCCAGACCCCACTGCACCTCCCTCCACAAGCCCTTGACCATGCCTCTCTGACCCCCTCTCCCAACCCTCCCACCCTGACCCTTCACTTCTCCCCACTCCCTCCCACTGTGCCCCAACCCCAGCCCTCTAACTCACCCCTCTCTCCCTGACACCCTCCAGAACTCTCTGTGCATGAGGGAGTGCCCCCCAAACAAGCCCCTCCCCAGCCCAGCCCCCCTGATTCCTCCTCTTTAGATCCTCACCACCTACACCCTGTTTCTGGGGAGTTTTCCCATCAGCTGGGTCTGCCAAGGACTGTGACACTGGGGTCTGTGTGGGGCCGTGGCGACTTCTGTGAGAAACACCGAGCTGCCCCCAGGCGGCTCTGCCATGTGGCGCTCCCGCCGGACGCAGGCGCGGGGCTGCCGCTGCTCCCGGGCCTCCATGTCGTCAGTCAGGTGGGTGCCCCACATTCCCGTGGGTGTGCAGAGGCTTCTCACCGCGGCTTCAGTCCGCAGCTCCCTCACAACACGCGGTGCAGAGCATCTTTCCTGTGCTTTCTGCTCTCTGTGTGTTTTCTTTGATGAGGTTTGTTTGGATTTTTTACCTCCTTGCTCTCTGTGTGTTTTCTTTGATGAGGTTTGTTTGGATTTTTTACCTCCTTTTTAATTGAGCTCTTTGTTTTCTTGTTGCTGAATTTTAAGCATTCTTCCTATATTTGGATGCCAGTCCTTTGTCCGGTGTGTATTTTGCAAAGATTTTCCTCCACGTCTGTGGCTTTCCTTACATTCCCTTTGCAGAGCAAACCATTTTAAATTTTATACAGTCCATCTTACTGATTTTCTCTTTTATGGATCATGCTTTTGGTGTTTTATCTAAATAATTCAGAGCCTAACCGAAGATCACCCAGATTTTTTCCAATGTTTTCTTCTAACGGTTTTGTAGTTTTGCGTTTTACGTTTAGGTCTGGGATTCCTTTTGGCTGAACCTCTGTAGAAGGTGGGAGGTCTGTGACCACATCCTTCTGGTGCTTTGTGTGTGCCTCCTTCTGCATGTGGGCATCCGTTTGTCGGAGCACCTTCTGCTGGAAAGACTCCCCGTCTCCACTCACTTGCCTTTGCTCCTTTGGACCAGTTGGCGCCATTGGTGTGGGTCTCCTCTGGGCTCCCTATTACTCTGTTTGGTGCACCGATAGGACCAGTCTTGTGAATCCTGCATGATCCTGACTATGTAAGCCTTACAGTAAGTCAGGAAGTCAGGTCATGTGAGTCCTCCAACTTTGTTCCTCAGTATTGTGTGCCAGCTGACGGATCACAGGCTTCTTGATTTTGAGAGGAGAGCTTCATTTCTTACGAAGGGTTGCAGCCTGCAGCCTGGCCATCGCAGGCTGGGAAGCATAGCCTCTGGCAGAAACTGGAAAAAGGCACTTTAACAGTGGGAAGTGGGAGAGGAATCTATGCTGAACAGGTTGTCTACATACACATATTGAACAGAATTTAGGAGGAGCTATGAATATTCATGAAGCGGGAAGCACACGCACACATAGTAAGCACACATGCCTGCTACATGCATGTTCCCTTTGGGGCAGAGACTTTCATTTCAGTGCATTAATAGTAGGCCCCAGCCAGGAGCAGTGGCTCGCGCCTGTAATCCCAGCACTTTGGGAGGCTGAGGCGGGTGGATCACCTGAGGTCAGGAGTTCGAGACCAGCATGGCCAACATGATGAAACCCCATCTCTACTAAAAATACAAAAATTAGCCGAGTGTGGTGGCACATGCCTGTAATCCCAGCTACTTGGGAGGCTGAGGCAGGAGAATCACTTGAACCCAGGAGGCGGAGGTTGCAGTGAGCCGAGATCACACCGTTGCACTCCAGCCTAGGCAATAAGAGCGAAACTCTGTCTCAAAAAAAAAAAAAAAAGAAAAAGAAAATGTAGGCCCCTGTATGTCAAGAGGTGACACAGAGGACACACGGCCAGACCAGTCCATGGTCCGTGGTCTCTTACTGGGAAGAGATGCTAGTTGGTTGTTGTATTGAAACCAGAAAAAGGGATCAGGGGTCTGGCAAGTCTTTCAAAAGGGCTGGTTTCTGTTCCCCAATTAGGAAAGAACGTCCAGTGGCAGTTGGTGAGGAAGAGGGTATAACAAGGTGTGTCTGGCCTCCTGTCCCATCGTGGCCGGGAACTCAGCTTTCAAGGTTTCTCTTGGGTCCCCTTGGCCAAGAAGGGATCTGTTCAGTCAGTTGGAGGCCTTACAACATGATTTTTGTTTCTCATGTGTTGGCTATTCTATGTCTTTCCCCTCTGCGTATAAACTTCAGAATCAGTGTGTCAGTATCTGATTAGCTTGCTGGGATTTTGACTGGGAATGCATTGAATCTATAGCACCAACTAGGAAAAACTGACATCTTAACAACACTGAATCTTCCAATCCGTAAGCACAGAATGTCTCTCCATTCCTTTAGATGTTCTTCGATTCTTTTCAGAAATGTTGTAGTTTTCTACATACAGATCCTCTACATATTTTATTTGATTTATACTTACTTATTTCTGTTTCTTTTTTAATGCTATTATAAAAGGCATTTTTATTTAAAATTTCAATGATTTATTGCTGGTTTATAGGAAAGCAATACACAATAGTTATAAATTATTTAACTTTTGTGTATTAATTTGTATCTTGTGGCCTTGCTGTACTCACTTCCTAGTTCCAGGAGTTTTTTTTCTTTTTTTGTCAATTCTTTGGCATTTTTTACACAGAAAACTCTATCGTCTGCAAAGAAAGATACTTCCATTTCTTCCTTCCCAGCCTGTATACCTCTTATTCCCTTTCCTTGTCTGGTTGCACTTAGAATTTCCAGTAGGATGCGGAAAGGAGTGCTGAAAGGGAACACCATCACCCTCCCTCAGTCTAAGCGGGGGAGCTGCCAGTTTCGGGCGTTAAGTGTGATGCCAGCTGCGGGATTTTGTATATGTTCTTCACCAAGCTGGGGAAATTCCCATCTCTTTCTCGTTTTTCCTTCTCACCTCCACCCCAGAGTCCTTTGCTGTGGAGGAAGTTCTCGGCATGTTTTGAGATGATTACTCTGCCCCTCCCCCTGATGGGAACATGAGGGGATTTTTCTTTGCTCTTCTCTCTGAGAACTTGGTGGGGTTCATGGTAGTAAAACCCACGAGCACATGAGCGTCCCCCCAGTCTGGGGTGCAGGACCCTCTCTCTCTCCAGCTGGTCCACACACAGCCTCCAGCAATTCACTAGAACTGCCATCTAGGGCCTCCTGCCAGCAGCGGCTCCAGTGGCTTTTGCTCCAGGGCGCCGGTCTCCGCTGAGACTCTGTGCTGTCTCTTCAGAGTTTGGGGTTGCAGTATGCCCTGCAAGCTCAAAGCTTTGATCGGTGAAAGAAAACACTGATTTTCAGGTTTGTCAGCTTTTCTTGCTGTAAGGATGAGCTTCGTGACTGCCAAGCTCTTTACGCACCAAAGGCACTCACCTAATGTTGTTAACTTTTTAAAAATTGAGGATCCACATGAGGTCTCTTAAATTTCTTTTAACCTATTTCCCTCACCTTCTCATCTTGTAATTTATCTGTTGAAGAGCAGAGGTCGTTTGTGAGTGAAGTCTCCCACGTCTGGGTTTCGATGCAGGCATCCCGCAGTGTCTGTCGGCATAGCCTGTCTCCCCCGTGTTTCTTACAGCCGGATCTGGACACGTGATCAGCTTCAGTGCCAGGTTTTTGTAAACCACCCCTCAGGTGGGCTTGTGCCATTCCATCCAGAGGTAGATTTTGCCCTGCTGTGTCTTTGGTGATGTCACTGCCTAGCCGCATTCATTCATTCATTTGCTCGTGTGTTGGGGATTACACAGCCATGGGGTTTTAGGATGACCTTCTCTCTTCCTTTATAGGAAAAATACTTCTGCAAAGACAAACCTCTGCTCCTTGGCTACCTGGCTATGCTTAGGTACAGTTTCTAAGGGAAGACAGGATAATGCTTGTTTCTTTTTCCTGATTTACTTGTTTCCGAAATGAGTTGCATCCTCTGATGGTTACCAGTGAGCTATTTTGAACTATTTTTTTTTTACTATTTTTTAATTGTCATTATAAACCAATAGATGTAATCATATTACATGTTGTATTCGTTTGTTTTCATGTTGCTGATAAAGACATACCCGTGACTGACCAATTTACAAAAGAAAGAAGTTTATTGGACTTACAGCTCCACATGGCTGGGGAGGCCTCACAATCGTGGCAGAAGGCAAGGAGGAGCTAGTCACATCTTACGTGGATGGCAGCAGGCAAAAAGAGAGGTTGTGTAGGGCAACTCCCATGTTTTAAAACCATCAGATCTCGTGAGACCCATTCACTATCACGAGAACAGCGCAGGAAAGACCCGCCCCCATTATTCAGTCATCTCCCACTGGGTCCCTCCCATGACACATGGGAATCATGGGAGCTACAAGATGAGATCTGGGTGGGCACACAGGGCCAAACCATATCACATGTGTTCCAGTCATCACATTTATTAGCCTTACTGATGTTCAAAGTGTCCCAATCTTAGGCCAGTGGGAGCCTCTAAGTTGGATCCTGGGTCCTTTTGACACAACTCTTGAAGTCTGACAATGACTTTGGGTCCTATTGGCAAAACTCTTAGAGTGTGATAATGTTTTTGTTGAAAAGATTTTCATGATAATCTTGTGCAATTCTCATCCCCGCTCTGGAACTAGTGATTTCTCCCAGTGTTAGAGAGAAGTTCTATTTAGACAATACAATCTCGGTTCTAGGAATGTGTCACTGTTAAGGAGCTGGTTGTTGTTTCCAGGCCTTTTCAATAGATGGAACTAGGAAATGTGTATTTTTTAAAGAAAAATGAAATCTATCATATCTTCATATTGACCCTTCAGATTCAAATTCAGGCTATTTGTGGTTTTCCCATGGATTCTTTTGGGATTTCCAGATATGTAATTCTATCATCTGCAAAAGAGATAATTTTTACATTTCCTTCTCTGTTTTTATCCCTCTGATTACTTTCTCTTGTGTAAAGAAATTAGCTAGTAATTCAAAACGCCATTGAATAGTGGTGATGCTAGCATGCCGTTCTGCTCTGTTCCTAGCTTTTCTGCATCTGTGGTGATGACCATTTTTTCTTAGCTCTATTGATATGATGGATTTTATTAATAGATTTCTTGATATGAAGTGACCTCTTCATTCCCAGAGTAAACTCTACATGGTCATATCATGCGAGAGAGGTTAATTATTTGATGACATAAATGAAATCACTATTAGAGATAAGTGAAATGAATGGGAAAGGAGTTTCAAAGTGTGTTCTTGTATCATGAAGTCCTCAAGGTCATCCCTGGTTCAGAGACTTTCTGGAAGGATGCACAGGATCTAGCATACAGTGGTGCCATGGCTGAGACTGGTTACGGCAAAAGGCTCTGAAACCACATCTGTGAACGGAAAAAGCATGGGGTGCAAAAGGCATGGGGCGTGGTGTGAAGAAAACCAGGCTCGTGCTTCCAAGGCCTCTCTCCCCACAGAGTAACACAGGACGTGTTTCATTCCCAGCAACGCTGCATGGCCGTCCATATTAAGGGCTCCCCGTCGGGGAGCTCAGTAGAGACTCAGTGCCTGTGGTGTTGACCAGAAGCTGGCCATGCCCTGCCTGGAACACACCAAACTCCAGACTCAGAAGGAAAGTGCATCGAGGGCTATAGTATTTGTACAGTCTGGGCACAGTGAACCCTCATTGTCATTCAGGGAACAGTTCAAGTGCCAAGTTCCCAGAAGCCGTCTGAGGCTCCACCTCACAGCAGACATTTAAAGAATAGCAGGTGCAAGCCTGTTGGGCTAATTCTTTTCTGCAAAATGCCCAAGATTAGAAATTTTGAAAAATAAACTATATTTGACTTTAAAAGATATTCAACATAATTTTATAAGGCAAAATAAAATATTATCAAAACAGAAAAATTACAAAGTTAGAAAATTAAAACATATGACAAAGGAATGAGCTATCTGATATATGTGTAACTGACTGCAAATTAAGAGGAAAATTTGGCCAGAGACATAATAGGCAAGTCACAAAAGAAATAAAAATAATCTGGCTGGGCGCGGTGGCTCACGCCTGTAATCCCAGCACTTTGGGAGGCCAAGGTGGGTGGGTCACTTGAGGTCAGGAGTTCAAGACCATCCTGGCCAACACGGTGAAACTCTGTCTCTACTAAAAATCCAAAAAATAGCCAGGTGAGGGGGCAGGCACCTGTAATCCCAGTTACTCGGGAAGCTGAGGCAGGAGAATCACTTAAACCCTGGAGGCGGAGGTTGCAGTGAGCTGAGATTGCACCACTACACTCCAGCCTGGGCGGCAGAGTGAGACTCCATCTCAGAAAAAAAAAAAAAAAAAAAAAAAAAAAAATATATATATATATATATATATATATATATATAAAACACATGAAAATAATTTAGCAACACTAATAAATAAAATTGAAAAATGATAAGGTGCCACTTACCACCTGCCAAAGGGGGAGGACTAAAAAGACTCAGACATGCAGTGAGACGATGATGGGCTTTATGTTCAGAAGCCGTGTGTGTGTGTGCGCACATGTGTGCACACGCGTGCCACACACACACACACACACACACACGTAAGATGCACATATGAATTTATATAAACTCCCACACAGTAATTCCAGCTAGGACTTTGTCCCCAAAAGTAGGATAAGAGCATGGTTTCATGTGTAAGGACCCATGTCGCTCTGTTGTTTACTGTACTGGAAAGTACAGTTTGGAAGAATCAGGAAAGCACCAATTCACTCCACACACGAGAGGAGGAAGGTGTGGAGTGCAGAGCAGGCAGGAAGCTGGGGGGTGCTCTCAGGCCAGGTCCTGGAAGCCCACACTGCGGGGAAGAGGGGCAGCTCATGGGAATTCTTCTTGGGAAATACCATTTGCTGTGCAGTGGGATCCTCTGACACCCCACACACCTATAAAGTCAAGATCTCCTGGCTGGGGGCCTGGCGGGCTCCAGGTGGTGGTTGGTAGGGAGAGGAGAAGGCCACGGGGGTGAGGGGTTAAGTCCCTGCTTCCTGCGTCCTGGACTGTAGACAGGACATGCCTGCGCCCCTCTGGCCCTGGGTCCAGTTGGGTCTAACTGGCCAATGGGTGTCACCCCAGTAGGATGAGGAATCTGCTGGATCCTGTCTGGGTGTCCCCAAGGCCGGGGCTCAGCTCCCCAGAGACACAACGCGTCCAATGGACACGTGAGCCTCCAGACACCCACACTGTGGCTTGGTCTGCTCCAGGCTCCACGGAGCCAGCCTTAAGGTCTTGGGGAGAGGAGAGCACAGGCTGGATGGGCCAGTGAGGTTCAGTCCAGGGTTCTGGAACCATCTCAGGGTCTGGGCCTCAGTTTCAGGATCTGCCGCACAGGCAGGAGCTAGGGAGCCTCCCCAGGGCCTGGACTCAGCATTCAGACTCCAGCTCACAGGGGACACAGGAGGGGCCCTGGGCCAAGTCAGGCTTTTGGGGCAGCAGCAGGAGGTGTCAAGATGGGCAGGAGGCTGGAGCAGAAGGGAGCCAGGTGCATTACGGGCCACCTCTCCCTGGGGACTGGGTTGGGTTATCACTGGCTGTCTGCACAGGGGTGGACTCTGTCCTCAAGGCTGGGGCTTCCAGGCTTTTCTGCCCTCTACACATCCTGGAGGCTGTGAAAGCTTTAGTCGACACCCCTAAAGGACCGCCCCCAGTGCAGGAGTGACAGTGGCCATCTGCTGAGTTAAGACGTGAGTCTGTCTGTCCGTGTGAGTCCACTGTGCCACCAGCCCTCGCTGGACGGCAGCAGAGACTTGCAGGCATCAAAAGGGTCTGAATGGCTCCCAGGCCTCAGAGAACCACCAGCCAGGGCTGCACTGAGGCACCAACATGGACAGAAAGACCATCCCAGCCAGGAGAGAGTGCAGCTGGGGAGTGTGAACCAGGCCCCACAGGGCACAGGATGACCGTGCCCAGCTTAGCACTGCCCTGGACACAGAAGTGGTCCCAGGTCCCAGAGCCCGGTCACACCGCTGGTGGAAGGCACCAACCATGAAAGCCCAGCGCCACTCAGCCCACACTCCTGGTTCTACTCCCTCGTCTTCCAGAACCTTCGGACGATGGGTGTCATCCCTGGGGCCCCAAGAACAAGGTCAGGTGGAAGCAGAGGTAGCGACAGGTTTCTCCTTAACACTGGAAGGCACAGCCAATTGTTACTTAATGTTTTGTTAGTTTCATTCATTGTTTTAAAAAACAGAAACCTTCTACAGCACTTAGTCTGTGTCAGGCCCCGTCCTACGCCTTTTCCAAAGCTAACTCATTTATCCTCCTCAACCAGTGAGGAGGCCGCTATGATTCTGCCCAGTCACTGAATTCTGGTTTGATTTGCTTCTCACTCTTAATTTTTAAAGAATTACACGGGTAACACAAATTCATTGTAGAGAAACTAGAAAATCCGATGAATAAAAAGGTTTTTTCTTTATTTTTCATTTTAAAATAATGGTAGGCTCACAGGAAGTTATAAAAAAAAAAAAACAGCACAGAGAGGAACTGTGTGCGCCCTTCACCCAGCTGGCAAAAAGTTCTGTCTATAATCTCAGGACTGGAAGACTACGACCTCTCAGACAGGAGGAGTCCACACAGGTTGAACGGTATCTATGTCAGCCCTGACACAGCCCCTCCCACCTGTAGCCAGAGGGTGGCCCCACACAAGGCCCCGGAGCCCCCGTGCCAGCCAGTAGGGTCCACCTCCCAGGCCCACTGAGAGGCGTTGCCTTCCGAGCAGGTGCCACCCTCACTGAATGTCCTGGAGATGGCTGTCGCCTGTGACAAAGCCACTCACCTCTGGAGGGCCTGGGGGCTCCTAAGGACTGGGGGCCCTGCCCAGAGTCCCCCAAAGTGCAAGGCTGTCACCCCATCCTCCCATCGGCCATCAGTGTGACGCTGGTCCACAAACTCCTGCCATACCTTGGACAAGACTAAGGCCCTCGTGTGCAATGGTGCGGCCTCTGGAACTCCAGGAGGCTCTGAGGATCTGGGCCCAGGCGCAGACCCCATGGACTAGAGACTCTGAAGGGTCCAGGCCTGAGGCTGCCTGGGATGGGTGCAGTGGCCTGGTATGAGGGTGGTAGGTGCTGTGTCCCTGGGGAGGTGCCTGGGGCTGGTTCACAGGGGTGCAACCGGTCACGGGAGGCAGGTGGAGGTTGATCCTCCAAGACCAGCACCCTGTGTACACTCAGTCTTCGACACCTTCCCCACCACCTCCCCATGCCCACCTCGAGAGCCAGCCCCTCCCTGCCTCATCACTGGGAGAGGGGTACTGTCTCTGGACCACGCTGGATGCATGCACCTACAGCCATTTTCCGGGGCCCTGCAACACACGTAACACGCAAATAAAGCCACAGCAGAGCCCATGGGACTGTGTTGAGTAAGAGCCACATTTATTTCTTAATTGGACAGAGCCTCAAGTGCACGCACAGTACAGGAGCCTAGGGCTAACACTCGGGTGTAAGACATCGGGACAGGCGTCGTGACGTCGGGACGGCAGCTATGACATGGGGTCTGGGGTGTGCCCACAGCAATCACATATGTACAAGCCAGGGACGCGGCCTCTGAGCCACAGGGGAACCAGGGGACGGACTAACTACAGGAAGCACAGGCCCAGGGAGAAACGCAGGTCGCCACAGCTGCTGTCCGTCTGGGGGACCGCACGGCCCGGCACCGGGGGTAAGGGAGTGTGCCTTCCGTGGTCCCCACATGGGTGAGGCTGGCATAGGACCAGTGCAGCAGCACAGTAAACACCTGTGACATCAGCCCCACCAGGGCCCCAGGTGCTGGGGACTCCAGGGACCAGGGTTGACAGGGAGGGCCACCTCATCACAGCCGTCCTGGGTGGGGGAGTTTGTGCCTGTGCAGCCGGTGGATGAAACATTGGCATCTTCTCAGCGATGACTCCCAGTGGGAGGCCTTGGACTTGGCACCCCTAGGCACTGGCCGTGTCCCATCAGATCCCAAGTGCTGGTCGGCCTGGAGCCCGGCATCCCCATCTATCTGGAGCCGCAGCGGAAGGAGCTCCCCCTTTCTGGTGGAGGATGGCTGCCCCCAAACCAAAACAAGCCCCCAGACTCGGCAGTATAAAGCATTAAATGAAACCATCTGAGGGAGACGGCTTTCCAGATCTGTCTCACCTCCCCCACTTAGCAGGAAGCAGCAGCCACCCTGGGCCTGGCTGTCTCCCAAGCACCGCACCCCATGAGCACCTCCACACCAGCCCTCCACCTCACAGATGTGGAAACCGACTCCTGGGGAGCTCAAGGAAGGCAGCTAACGTGGTCCCTAGGTGGTTTCTGGCAGAGCGAACTTTTCAAGAAGCCAGGTGTCCTGACTCAGGCGGCCTCCTCTCACCATCAACTCTGAGTTTCTGGGTCCTGGCTTAGGCACTCCTCACTAGAGCAGGCCCGGAAGGAGGGAGTCGGCGGAGGCTGCAGTGTGGCTCTGGGTCCTAGCCAAGGCCAACACGGCACCTGGCTGAGAGGACACAGCCAGGCAGTCTCCATGGCAGTGGAGGCTTCTGAATTTAGGCAGCTCCCAGGCACCTCCACTCAGCCCACCCACGCCGCGAGTGCTCTGCAGGTTGGCTGGCCTCAGACACCTGCGACCTGGGGGGTGCGCCCAGACCCTTTGGAGGCCACAGCCTCAGGCTGGCTGACCTGAGTTGGCCGTGGCAGGGCCTGTGCCTCCTCTAGCCTGCCTGGGGCCCGTGGGGCTCCCCCTCATCTCAGACCAGCGTGTCCTGCCCTGCCTCTCCTTCCTGCCTCCAGGCAGCGCTGGATGCCGGAGCAGGTGCTTCTGCAAGAAGCTGTTCTGCATCCTCTCCTTGCTGCATCTTGGTCCACTGCCTCCAGAGGTCACCCATGGGGAGCACAGGCCACCTGGCTTCTGAATTTTATTTTGGGATGTGAATCCTCACCTGGGAGATTTCCAAAGAAAGCTGCTGTGTCCTGTGTCCTGCCTTCCCAGGCGTGGCTTCCCGAGCCCTGATTCTCCCTCACAGAACCCCCCCATCAGCCCCTGGGAGAGCCTCCCAGGCAGGGGATGAGGGTGGCGGTGGCCACACCGCACCTGAGCCCAGGTACGAAAAGGCGAGCCCACAGTCCCAGCTCCCAAACAGGCTGGCCCAGGCAGGCAGCCACAGAGACTGCAGCCAGCATGGGCCCTGGCCTGCCCTGCACACCACTCTCGGAGATGGAACTTCAGGGGCCCAAACAACCTTCCCAAAGGAAAACCTCATGCCAGAGCCTTCCCATGTGGTGTAGAAGGCCCGTGCTCCCCCACTCCTGAGCCGCTGTCTCTCCCCCAGGCATGGGATTGGGGTCTCTGAGGCTCATGTCAGCATCACGTGGGACAGCCTGGGAGGGTAGGGGCCTCAGAACCAGTGGGGTGCTGCGTTTCCCCCACTCCAGGAGGCAGGATCTGATGAAAGTGCTGGGCCCTAGGTCTGGAGCACCAGACCCGATGTAACTGCTCCCACGGGCCACGGCGGGAGAGGGGCTCTGTTGCTTGGCTACTGTCTTTCCTTGAGCTAAAAAGAGACCAAATCGACCTGTGGGTGTGGGTGGGGAGGGCCCTAAAACCTCCCTAGGCCTCTGGACATGACTCCTATGACCAGACTCTCAGCTTGGGGCTGACCCCCGTCCTGTCCTGGGTGGCCCTCGGACATTGGTGTCTGCAGAGGGGGTGAAATGGGACAAGAACAAAGGGACACCGCAGATGCAGCAGCGAAGAGCTCCTTGAAGACAATAACCACCAAGCCAGCCACCCTCCATTGCCGACCGACCAGGATACCCCCACCCCATGGGATTTTCTCAGTGGGACTCACAGAAACTCTCTGCCCTGGGAACAAAGAGAGGAAAGTCTTTGCAAGAAACCTGCTAATGGCAGCATTTCTTCCCAGAAGCTACCTTGACTCACTCCATTTCTCGCCGCAGCTGAAGAGGCTGCGCCACAGCCCTCGACACCTAGACCGTCGCCCTGAATTCCGATCTTCCCTGACTTCCTGGTCTCAACCCACCACCCTACCCTGATGGTCCGGAGACAGCACGCAGTCCCAGAGTCTGCACACTGGCAGGTGATCCCGACCCCGCTCCCTCCTGGTCCCCGCCCAGGACAGATCACAGCCTGGGTGCCGTCTGCCTCATCTCAGAGCCAGAGCCGAGTGTCACCCCTCACCCTTTCCTGGGGAAAGCTGCCGGAACTCTTCTTGGAGTCACTCCTCAGGTGGCCGCCCAGAAGAGATGTGCGTTCTCCCTCCCACCAGAGGAACTCACACCACCCTCCATGCCGCGCAGACTTCAGGCACCAAAGACACCCCCCCACTCTCCCACACATACACCCAGGACCCATGTGGCCATGGAGAAGCCTGGGGCCCAGGCGATACACCCGTGTGCTAGCCCCAAGGTGCCCCACTGGTCCAGACAGCTCCTCACTGCGGCCTTCCAAGGTGGCTGTCCCTGCCCTGCCTGTCCCTAGCAGGCTTGGGAGACACATGTGGGAACAAACAGGGTGGAGGTGGTTGGGGGTTCCATCTGAATATTACAGGGCTATGTGGAGGCATTAGAAATAAATACTTATAAATAGAACAAGTCTTATAGTTAATTTCCGAGTTGACTGTTTCAATGTCACTAACTAACGTATATTAATTATAAGTCTGTCTATGCTTAAAAAAATATTAGAACGGCAGCAAGAACCCCCGTAACCTGTGCCCTTGGCCCCCCCAGCCTCTCCCAACTTGTTCCACCAGAGCACATTCTGCAAGAAGAACTGACACGCACAGCCTCTGCTGGGAGCACAGCTGGTCGTGTGGCACAGGTCCCCGGGCCTGGCATGGGCGTCCCCTGGGGGGTCGACCCGGTCGTGGGCTGTCTGGCAGGAGAGGGGCTGGGCGGCAGGTGACAGGACAGACGAGGATGAGGGAGGGGATGGGCTGGGCCTGCCGGCTGTCACGGGAGGGCTCAGGTTCAGACCCGCATCTGGGCAGACCTCCTTCTGGAGAGCTTGGACCTGCAGAAGAGTTGGGAGAGGCGGCGTGGTCAGGCCAGGAACACCTGCAGGCCATATCCACCGTGCCCTGCACAGGCAGGCAGCCGTGAGGGGCAGCCACAGACCCCATGTCCCCGCTGGTTCCCTCACCACCTGGGGAAGGGACTGAATCTCTGCTTCTGGTGTGTAGGACTCAGCCCGCCCATCCCCTCCTGCACCCCGCTTTTCACATCCCTGCTGTGGGAGGGACCAGCTCCTTCCGCAGCCTGCCCAAGGGCACACGGTTTCCCCATGCCGAGGCCACCGGGTTAGGATGTAATTTTGAAAGTATGGCCTGGGATTTATCACTCCACAAGAAGCCACAACTCAGAGGGAGCATTAATAGCCCTAAGGGCATCCCCAGCCCACATAAGTGAGGGCAGGCCGCGCTGCCTTCCACTGGCCGCACTGCTTCCCCAGGCAGCCTTGCGGGCAGGACCCCTGGCAGAGCAACCGCACCCTGCGGCTGGCCCTACTGAATGGTCCCCGCCAGGAGGGGATTGAGGGCAGGACCCCTGGGAGAGCAGTCTTGTCCTGCAGCAGGGCCCTATCAAATGGTCCTGGCCAGGAGCCGGTTGAGGGCAGGACCCCCATGGCAGCAACCTCGCCCTGCAGGCGGCCCTACCGTATGGTCCCGGCCAGGAGGGGGTTGAAGGCGTACAGCCAGTCATGCATGTCCTTGTCGCTGGCGGCCTGCAGCAGGATGCCGCGGTGTTCCGTGCACACCGCGAATGTGTTGGGTGTCTGCAGAGGGAGGCAGCTGGTGAGGAGGTGCCAGGCTCCGTGGTCAGCACACCACCCTCCTGCTCCCCAGGGCCCAGGCAGGCAGGGGAGGGGCACTGCCAGGAAAGTCCCAGGGAGGGGACACGGAGGGGACAAAGAGGGGAAGGCTGACCCAGCCAGGGCTGTGACTGCCTTCTGGACGCATCTGCGGCCGGTGGTCCCAGGACACCCTCACCACTGCTATGCCTCCCCACGGGACGTGACTGCCCCTCATGGCCCCTGCTCCCTGGGACCCTGGCTGGGCTGCTGGTGCAGATGTGGGTTCACACCACCCACTCCCACCACAGGGAATCAAAAAACCATCTCGTAGACACTGGGGCCGCCTCCAGATGGCTCAGAGAAACTTCTCCTCCAGCCAGCCTGAAGGAGTCCAGGCTCCTGAACTTGTCCAGGGCCATTCCAGACGGAGGGGCTGGGCAGAGTGGGGGCAGGAGGGCTCCTCTGAGCCCTGTGGCTCGCCCATTCCTGCAGGGCTGGTGCCACCCACCTTGGGTGACTCCGGAGGAGGGGACATGGCTGTGGCCATCACACAGGAGAATACTAATGCTTGCCCTGACCGGAGTCCATCCCCACTAGCTGTCACCAGGAATATGCGCCTCATGGGCAGGCAGAGAGGCCTGGGGCAAGGACAGAGGATCCCTGAGGCTGAGTCCCTGAGCCCAGCCTCCGTGGAACAGGACGGAGTCTGGGGTGAGCAGATGGGCCTCCTGCTCTGACGCAGGGCTGCAGAGGATGGTGGCTCAGCTCCTGCCCTGCTAGGGTTCCTGGTGCCCGAGCCTGAGCCGGGCCCAGCCGCACCTTGAGCATAGCCTGCTGGTCCTCACTGTACTCCACCTGGGCAGTGGCCAGGTTGAGCACGAACCGCTCCACGGTGTCCTTGTCGCTGTTGTACATGTAGGCATAGGGGCGCCGCACCACCACGAAGCGCCTGGCCCAGCCTGACGTGTGCGGCTCCAGGAAGTGCAGGTACCCCTTCTTGGAAACGATCGGGCTGAAGGCAGAGAGAGCTGCTCGCTGGGGCCCTCGGTGGGGGCAGCGACTGACTCGGGCACTCACCATCTACCACCCAGAGCTGGGACGCAGCAGTGCCAACCACCTCCCCAGCCAGAAAGTGGGTCGAGGCATCGAAGGGCACCTGGCAGAACCCCAACCCAGCAGGCCGGAGACCAGACCACCAAGCCAGCTCTGGGCCTCAGTTTCCCCACCATAAAATGGAAAAACTTAAAGAAATAAGCTAAAGTTGCTGAAGGCTGTCACACTGTACCCAGTGACCACGAGTTCCCCACCTGGGCCTTGGCTCTGACCCCACCCACTCCCCTGTGCTCTGTGCTGGTTCCCAGCCTAGGCATGTGGGTCACAGGGCCCTGCCTGACCTCCCAGCATGGAGCTGTCCCTCCATGTGGGTCAGGGGCAGCCTGCCTGAACCTCCAGTATGGGCATCAGGCAACCTGTCTGTCTCCCCAAGTATGAGGGTCCCTGTGCCCCCAGTATGGGGAGCAGGGTGGCCTGCCTGTCCCCTGTCAGCACAGAGCTGGTGGCGGTGCTTTCCAGGGAGGCCCCACACACCTGACTCGGATCTCCTGGATGTCAGGGACCAGCAGGCGCTGGGGCTCCTTGTCTGTCTCTGTTGCCCGGGCAGGGGAAGGGAGCTTCTTGGAGTCGGCCTCTGGCAGCAGCTCGGGCTCTGGGCTGGCTGGCCGGGAGCAGGGCTGCGGGGTCCTGGGAAGCAGAGGGAAGTGCTGCCCACTGCAGGCCTCCCTGGGCCTGGGGCCGTCTTCCCCCAGGCTTCACCCTCCTCAGAGCACCTCAGAAGGTGCAGTAGGGCACCTTCGCAGGGTCTCTCCAGCTGTGCCCACAGTGGGAGCTCCCGGGGCCCGTCCACCAGGATAGCCAAGCTTGTGCCCGATTCCAGGAAGTGCTGGGCTTGGTGGGCAGGGTCCCCCAGGAACCTCGGGGCCCAGCCAGGGAGCCTGTGCCCCACTCCACGCCCTTCTCCCAGTGGCTCTCCTGCCCCCACCTCCACCCTGTGAAAGCAAGTCCAGCATCTCTTCATCTCCACAACTAGACTGAAGGTGACACGAGGTTCCAAGGAGCCACTGGAGCAGAGGGTGCCGATGGCCTCCCGCATGGGCCCCCCACATGGGCCAGGCCCCACGCGACTCGACCTGGTGGTCAAGGAGGCCTGCAGAAGACAAGGCCAGCTGATGCCACCGTCTTTCTTATTTAAATGAAAATCTGGAACCCTTAAGGCGCTTAAAACAAGAGTGAAAAGCATCTGCCTGCTTATGAATTGTACATAAGGGGTTCACACGAGGTCTCTTCCAAATGCGGACCTGCAGGGGCCAGGTGTCCCCTCCACAATACTGACTCTAACGGCTCTCATGCCCTCTTTCGTAACCTTTTCTTTTTCCATTATTTTATAAGCACTGTCTCAGGAAAGGGGAGCTTTAGCTTATTTTCCACCCATTTCTGGTCTTCTTCAGGGAAGAGAACACACACACACTAGGATGGAGCTGGCGGGGCACAGGCACCCTCTGAGAGGGCTGCGGACTCCACTCCTCCAGGCCCTTCCCTCAGCCTGTGGCCACCCCAAGGCACTCGGCCATTGGGGCCCCCTGTTCTGTGCTCTCTGTGCCCGAGTCACGGCCATGGTCATGGGTCAGCCGTGGTGCCAGAAGCCACTCCGGGAGCCTGGAGCTCACTCACCTCAGGTCAGTGGCACCGTACCGCCCTTCAACCAGAGAGGGGCAAGTGGAGGAGGGGGTGAGAGTGGCCACCCCTAGAGGGGACATCGACGGGTCCCGGAGCAGGGTGACAGACATCTCGGAGAGCTGCGGAGGAGAGGCCTTTTTCAGGGGACACAGGGAAGGGGGGTCTCCGGCCTCTGTGGGAGCTGCTCCCTGTGCCTGCGCTTACCCCACACCTGCTGCTTAGGGCACCCCACCCCTCCTACCAGCAGCCTTGGCTCAAAGTTGGCCAGCTCAAGACCCCCGGCCCCCTCCAGCCCCTGTGGCCCCTGGCCGGCCCCTCCCATCACTTCAGGCTCTGGCCTGACCCAGGCAGCCACCCTGCCAATGCCTCGAGGAGTGGGCTGGGTAAGCTCTGCCCTGCCGCCTCCTGCCCATGCCAGCGTGAGGTGGCGCTGGGTGATGCCATGGGGACAAGGAAGGCCATGGGCCAGGGCTGGAGCTCCACGCATAATGCAGCACAGCAGCAGTTTCCCAGGCTACAGGGGTGGGGTCGGTCCCAGGAGGAGGAGGGACAGCCAAGTGGGAGCTTGACTGACTGGGCCAGAGGCCACAGGGTGATGGCCAGACAGGGTGGGGGCCAGGAAGACAGCAGAAGCCTGCAAGTGCATGGGTGCATCCAAGGCCACAGGACCCACCCGGCCCCTCACTCACATCCCCACCTCCCATGGACCCCAGGCCGACCCAGGGAAACCAGCCACTTAGGTATGAGGTGTCCCTCTGCACTGAGACGTGTTCCTAGGAAACTCTTAACTGCCTTTTCCCACTTGGAATGGGAGTTTTCCTCAGGGACCACTGCCTATGGGAGCCCGAGCCCTGCGGGGCAGCCTGGTGCAGCCCCTCTGCACCCACCTTGCTCTCGCTGGCACTGACGCAGACGTGGCTGTGTGTGTACTCTCTGTTGAATGTGTGCGTGAGCAGGCGCAAGCACTGTGGACAGAGCACACGCGTGGTCAGGGGCCAGGCCTCCCGGGACCCTGCTCAGACAGCCTTGCAGGCTCTTCTACCCACCCCTCCCCAGACACAGGTGGGTTCCGACGCCAGAGCACAGTGGGTCAAGGTGGGCAGCACCTCCACCCCGCCCAGGTCATCGGGTGAGCCCAGGAAGTCTCCCAGGGTCAGGCACCGGCTGAGGGCCTGGTGTGAGGGCCAGAGGCTGTGCTGCCTCCAGTGCAGGAGGCGCAGGAAGCCTTCCCAGAGGCCCGTTCAGCCGCCAAAAGAGCCACTTGTGGGTGGAAGTGGTGAGCTCCCCATCAGCACAGGTATTCAAGAGAGTGATTCATCGCTTGGGAAGGGAGGCTGCAAAAGGCACCCAACTTTCAGTGCAGGTGGGGTGCAGTCAGTGGGCAAGGGGACCCTAGGGACCCCTCAAGCTCCTAGCTCCTGGTGGTGCTAACCAGAGCAGCCATGGGCAAGGCCGGGTTGCTGGAGTTGCCCAGAAATGACTCAGGGCCCTTGAGGGCCTGGGGCTACGGCTGTACTGCCCACCAGCTGGACCCACCTTGACGGCCAGCTCCCGCTGCCTCTCGTTGGGAGCCTCCAGGGGTGATGGGCGGCCCTCAGCCGAGAGCGGGGAGGAGGCGCTGGAGGAGCCATGGGACTCAGAGTCCTCGCTGAAGGCCGGGGACAGTGCCTCCGGGACAGGCCGCTGGGCGGTCTCCAGCTTCTCCCGCAGGAGCAGGTAGTGCCTAGTCTTCTCCACCTTCAGACAGGACACAAGGCCTTACCTGCTGCACCTCAGGGGTGACCTCCGGAGTTGTGCTCAGCCTCAGCAGCAGCATGACCCTCTGGGCAGACCCCGGAGAGCCCACCCTCCCCTGGGCTAAGACTGAAGACTGACAGCCCTCAGCTGTGAAATGAGGGAACAGACCCTGGCGCCCCGGGGCTGACAGCCCTCAGCCCCCACCCCAGCCCTGCCACCTTCATGGGCAGCAAGCAAGCTGCTCCTCTCAGACACATCCATCTCACGCGCCAGGTTCTGGGGCAGGGCTGTGCTGCCTTGCAGTGCTGGAGGCCTCAGGAGAGGGCCGAGGGGTGGGCAGAGCCCTGGCCTCACGCATCTCACACGTCACGCGTCACGTGTCACACACACACTCGGCCCGAGGCAGTGCCTAGATGCTGCATGTTGGTTTCCCTGATCAAAGCCGCAGAGGGCAGCCCAGCCCCGCGACTCTCCTTCCGGGTCCCTTTCTGGCCTCTGTCTATATGCCCGATAGTCTTCCTCGGCTAATTCCAGAGCATGCCTCTGTGCTACACTGGCCATGTTTCTGTCATACACCACGCAGCCCCGCAGTGCACACTGGAGCATCACATGCTCCTCCTGCAGGTGGCTGTGACTCCCAAGCAGCTGTGCTGCCCCCCAGTAGGCACCAGGCCCTGGGCCCTCTCCAGCTTTTGCTCTGCACACAAAGCCACATGGACACCACCGTGCGGGCCTCATCCTCTGAGGCTGCCTCACCTCCTGCAGGAGGCTCAGCTTCTCCAGCTCCCACTGGTGGTCCAGAATGAGACTGTCACTCCGGGGCCTCCAGCCTGCCAGGTTCTCCTCGCCCCGGACATAGGCCACAGATGTGTCCAGGACTCGTCGGCGCCGGCGCTGCATCCCTGCATGGGGCACGTGGACATTCCACCCCTACCTGATGGGTGGCTGCTCCTCCCACCCATCCTAGAGGTCCGCCCATCTGTGAAGCTGTCTCCCCTCTGGAGTGGAGATGGGCTTCCCCTGGTCCTTGGTCCACCCTGGGGCCCAAAGAGCCATGTAGGCCTCTTCCATAGGAAGTTATCCAGCCCGGCGTCCCATGGCCATCTCGGCTGTGCCCTGGGAACCCAAGGAAGCCAGCAGGCCTGACTCTCCTCCCTCGCTCTCCTCCCATCTCAGAACAACTCCAGAAGCCACAAGGTGAGTGCTTGGGTTCTGTGAGGGATCCCCCTGCAAATGGCAGCTTCGCTGTGGTCACCCCAAGTGGGCAGAGGTTGAGCAGGCCAGGAACCCACCCAGTGAGAGCAGGGCAGATACCTACCTGGGCTGCCCGCGTCAGCCACGTGGCACAGGCTGAGCTCGTACACACCAGTCACACGGTTACTGTGGGGAGTAGAAGGAGTGACATGCAGTCACCAGGCCCCGCAACAGGGACACACAGCCAGCCTGGCTGCTGACTTGCCCCACTATCAAACGCACAGTCAGCCTGGCTGGGGTGATGGGGTGTTGAGGTCCCTGAGCTACAGCCCCTGTTCAGAGTCCTCATCCCAGACTCCCTCCGGCCCCCAGAGAAAAGATGCATTGGCTGGTCTTGCTCAGGTGCCCATGGGGCTGTGACGTGAGGCCAGGCCCCCACAGCAGCCTCCACTTTGTCCCAGCCCAAGTGGGGTACAGGCAACATGAGCACAGCATCTGGCATCTCCAGTCCCTCCACGGCGTCGAGAGCCCCTCAGGCCCCATACCCCACAGAGCAGCCCCACTGTGCCCCGGACAGATTCTGAGAGCACCTCGGCCACCCTCCCACAGACAGGTCGGTGGCATCCCACAATTACTGAGTGACCTCCAGAATGACCACAGCCAGCCCTCAAGGACACTGGATCCTGACCCCCAAGCTCTTTCCTCCCAGCTGTGCCCAGTGTGAACCTGGACACCAGGTCCATGTGGCAGACCACAGGGAGACCCACTGAAGGTGGCCACGGGTGCCCGGTAGCCTCGGCAGCCCTGCTGTCAGGGCCCTGACATTCCGGCTCATTCTCCCCCACCCCCAAGAATCAGGAGCGTGTTCAGCACGCAAGCACGGCTGGTCCTGGTGTTCGGTGTGTGGCTCCCCAAGGTGCTGACAGCCTCCAAGAAGAGCCACCCAGCAGGTCCTGTGGGAAGCTGTGTCCAGAGCCCCCTTCCAGCCACCGCCCACTTATCCAGCTCCTCCTTCAGTGCCTTGTGGGCAGTCAGTCCCATGGCACAGGTTCCGTGGTCCTCAGGGAAGAAGGTCACCGGCGGCGGGGGGGGGGGGGGGGGAACGGTGTGGCCCCAGGATCACCCACAGGAGGCCCCAGGTGGGCACCCTGGGCCTGCCCCTCCTCCCATCCGCTGCAGGCTGGCCCTCAAGTCCCTCATAGTGGTGTCAGTGTCCCCTGCAGGAACCATGGCCTCCACAGAGTCTTCATCTAGGGTGAGCAGGAGGGGACTGAGCGCAGGGAGCCAGCCAGGAGTGTGGCTGGGCCTCGCACAGGGTGAGCTGCCGGGTGGCCCAAGGACCGCTGCCAGGCAGAGCCCTGCCTGGCCCGCACCGAGACCAGGGTGGGAGTCCATGTGGTCCTCACCCCTGGGAGCTTACCTCTCTGAGGCCCGAAGGCTCCCACTGCCAAAGAGGTTGCGGATGGAGCGCGAGGCTGGCAGCTTGGCATCACGGGAATAGAAGACCATGCAGAAGTCCTTGGTGACAACAGCCGGCTGGGTGCAGTTCTCCATCTGAGATAGGCGGGAGCAGGACTCAGGCACAAGGACACCCCGAGTGCCCAGGTGCCCTTCCAGCCTTCTCCTGGGGGCACAATGCCCAGCACCGACAGGCAGCCCCAGGGCCTTCCCAGGGCCTCAGGTGTGGCCTGGACGCAGGCAGGAGAAAGTCTCTGCTCCTGCCCTCGAGAAAACCCCACTGGGGACAGGTAGCCACAGCTCTGTCCACCCCTGGGCTGCCTGAGGGACTGGTCTCCATGTGTGGGGACCCCGAGGGTCCCAGACATAGGCTCACTGCTCGGGCCTCAGCTGCCTCACCATAAAATTGGGGTGACCCCTCCCCGACCCTGGAATGTCTGTGAGGATCAAACCAGGTCTTGTTTGAATGTGCACATTTTAACCCAAACACCACAGAAAATGACTTCCTGGTGGATGACACGCTAACTGCTGAACAGCTGGCCCCTTTGTCTTCCTGAAGTGGGGGCAGCTGCTGTGCATGGCTGAAGAGTCCCAAGCACTCGCTGGGAAGAGCTCTGCCAGCGCCTCCTCACGGCAACCTCACCACCATCTGGTGAGATGGTCACACCATCCCCATGTGAAGCTGGAATAATTCGGCTGTAACTAAGGAGAGGGGATGTGCTTGCAGATGCCCCTGCCCACTGCTCCCCACCCTCCCTCTCCCTCACTACTATGACCAGCAAGAAACGCCCACACTTCCAGTCACCTCTTGCACTTGGAAGGGAGGCCACAGCCCAGGTCTGGCCACGGCCTATGTACTGCAGACTCTGGGGGTGCTGTGGGGATGGAACACTTCTGTTTTTGTGCTGCCCGGAATGCAGACACAATGTCTGGTGGTGCTGCAGCCATCTTGCATCCCAAGGACAACACCCACACACTAAGTATGGTAGAGTGAGTTAACTGCCATTAAAAGCACATGGAGGATGGGTGCGGTGGCTCACACCTGTAATCCCAGCACTTTGGGAGGCTGAGGTGGGTGGATCACCTGAGGCCAGGAGTTTGAGAACAGCCTGGCCAACATGGCAAAACCCCATCTCTACTAAAAGTTCAAAAATTAGCCGGGCGTGGTGGCAGGCACCTGTAATCCCAGCTACTTGGGAGGCTGAGGCAGGAGAATCGCTTGAGCCTGGGAAGCGGAGGTTGCAGTGAGACTGCGCCATTGCACTCCAGCCTGGGCGACAAGAGTGAGACTCGGTCTCAAAAACAAAAAAAAAACAGCACATGGATTTATGGATTTATGGATTCAACCTTGCAGTCCAGTTTTTGTTTTTGTTTTTTAAAAGGCACACAAATTTAACCCAGGGACTTGAGAACTAGAGAAGTCGTCTGGGTCATATGGGGTTGTCCAGAGCTTACAAGAACCTCAAGCTTCAGGGGCTGAGTGGTTTTGGTGGAGTGCCCTGGCATAGGTGCCTTGCCTCGATATAAGCGGAGAGTGTCATGTAGATTTTCTCTCGATAAGGGGTGACCCGGTTCAGCAGGAGAGAGTTGTGCATGGAGCTGTCCCACGCAGCCTCAAATTGGTAAAAGGTCCTGAAAGGAAGCAGAGACAAAGTAGAAGTTGATGGCGTGGGGGCTGCTTTCAGCCAGGCCGGGGACATGCAGACAGACAGAGCGACAGACAAGGGGCAGCCGCAAGGGAGCGGCTGGGGGCACAGGCTGGAAGCCCGGGCGGCGGTGCCAGGAAGGACAGGTCCCTCCTTACTCAGGACCCAGAGAGTAGGGTCTCTTGGACGCCCCGATGAGGGTGAGCCCAGCATTTTCCCAGCTCCACCACAAATGGTGCCCCAGCTGTCACGCTGAGGCTGGAAGGAGAGGAGGCGGCAGGGAATGAGAACAAGAAGGGCAGAGAGGGAAGGGAGGAGGGAGGCAGGACAGGGAGCTGGGATGTGGGGAACACAGGGAAGGGAGAGGGGAGGGCAGGAGGAGAGGACTCAGGCAGGGAGGAGAGGAAGGACAGAGGCAGGGAGGGAGAGGGCAGAGCCTGCGCGGGCCCACCCCAGCCTCAGTCTGAGTAAGGAGGCGCCACCATCTCTCCCTGGACCTGAAGGGGACCTGCCCGGGTTTGCCAAAAACCTCCATGGTCCATCTCCTCTGACAATGGACTCACCCTTGGTCCATTGGGAAGAGGAAGGCCCCGGGGGGAGGATGCTTGGCATGGAGGCAGGGTGGCTGCTGCAAGGCCGTGTGCAAAAGCGTCTCTGTTAGCACACGGGAGACAGCGGCGGCCTCGCTGTGTTCCTAATCTCCACCCTGGAGTTATGATGAGCACGGCCTGAGCCAGCCACCCACAAACCCTGTCCCAGGGTGGCTCAGGGCCAGCCCCAGGGGCCTGGGATTTTACATCCCCATGGGGTCGAACCACGTTCCGCAAACACCTTGGGTGCCCTCTGCTCCGGAACAGGGTTTTCTGTTACGTGAGAGTTCCTGTTTTCAGCCTTCTGGATGGCAGTGACTGAGCTACTTCCTCAGGCCTGGTGCTCACAGGGAGGACTGGTCATACCCGAGGTGGACAATTTGCCTGACTCCAGAATGTGGCTACTCTGCAGACCCTGAGCAGCACGTTCAGCTCGCCCACCCCACCATCCACCCAGCCTCACCCAGCTCCCCTCCAAGCATCCTCGCAAGGACACAGTTCAGAGACATCAACACACACAGCTGGGCGGCCACGCAGGCTCCAAGGCGGCCGGGCCCCTCCCGAGACCGCGGTGGAGCACAGGTGGCACCAGGCTGCCCTGTCTACTGCACACATGGTCTGGGACGCAGGGCATGGATCTCACAAGTCGGGGGTGTGGAAGGAAGCAGAAGGACCAGGGAGGGCTGCTGTCGGACACATGTCACCGAGGAGCAATCCTGGGAGAGTGAGGACAGCGGGTGGTCAGAGAAAGGGCATAGAAGCAGGCAGACGCCGAGGAGAAAGGAACTCGGAAGAGCAGAAGAGGACAGACCAAGCAAGGGCGGAAGAGAAAAGTGAGCTGTACCTAGTGTCATTTCCCAATGAAACGCTAAAGGTGGAGGCAGCCAGGACACACACGTACACATACAGAAGAAATGGAGATGTCAGAACAAGCACCGGCACAAGGCCCAGGGCAGAAAACTTAAGAGTTCGGCAGGTGCACGCCGGATCTCACGGCCCCCAGGCTCTCGCTGCACACAGGGCTGGGGTGCAAGCCCCAGGTGGAGCCCCTGGCCCTGGCCCTGCAGACACCCCCTTCCCTGGGGTCTGCAGTGAGAGCCTTGCGTCTGTCCTCAGCTGGGCCAGGTGGATGCCCAGAAGCCAGGACAAAGGCCTGGAGGGATTTGCTCCTCTCCTGGAACATTGCAGGATCCTGTGGAGGGTCAGGCCTGCAGGCCAGGGCTGGAGCCACTGCAGCCTGGCCTGGAACAAGTGCCTCAGACCGCTGGAATGCCACAGAGCCACTTCACAGCTGTGTGGCCTCAGGATGTCACCAACAGCTCTGTGCCCCATTTCCTTGTAAGTACCATGGGGCAGTAATTGCCCCTACCTCAAGATGTCTTGCAGATTAAATGAGCTAATACTAGAGCACGATGAGAACAGAGCCTGGAGCTTGTACACATCAGCATCACTATCTGGTACACGTCAGCATCCCTGTCTGGAACACGTCAGCATCGCTGTCTGGTACACGTCAGCACCGCTGTCTGGTACATGTCATCATCACTGTCTGGTACACATCAGTGTAACTATCTGGCACACGTCACTATCTAGTACACTCTAGCATCCTCATTACTTCTATGCACTGGGTAAGACCCAGCCTGCAGGTCCCACCAGCCCTGTCTCTCCTGCTGGGCCCAAGCATTCGGTCCTGTGCTGGACCCTCTGTCTTCTGCCTCCAAAGTCCCTAAAGGGCCTCAGCTTGCTTCTCTTCCCCTTCCTTCTCTTCCATCTCCGTGTGTGCAGACACAGCCCACCTGCCCCTCACCCCTGGGCCCCAGGATCAGAACCAGCAGGTCTTTCCCAGCATCAGCACCTACTCCCTTCTCTGTGCCCTTCAGAGAGCACCAGGTCCTCCCAGCCCAGGCACTCCTCATTCATCAGGAACCACGTCCCTGCCCCATCCTGGGGCTCCTTGGCCCCTGAGTGGGACACAGCAAAGGAACAAGCCCAGTGAGGCAGGCAGGACTCCAAGGCCCAGCCAGGGGCTGCTCCTTAGGAGCAAGTGGACTCTGCTGGAGCCAGGCCTGGAGCTGTAAGTAGAACATGAACCCACTTCCACATGAGGCCCACAACAGCCCCCTTGGGGGTCCTAGCAGAGAATTTCTCAGTTCAGGTAGTATGTGGCTTTGCCCTGCTCAGACCCCAGTGGACTAGAATCTCTCTGAGAACCTGACTGTGGTGGAGTCTCACCTGTGAGCTGGGGAGAGAATGGTGGGAGGGAGCCTTACAGGACTGTGTGCACAGCAGGGATGGGCCCTTTCCAGACCACTGTCCCCTCCCCCAGGTGCCAAGATGGCTAGCCGGACCAGGGTCTGACATGGGCACAGCCATGGTGCTGCCCCTGGGTCATTTCCAAACTGCTGGTCAGCCCCAGAGGCTTCCCACTCTGCCCAGGGGAGCTGTACCCTAAATGCCTCGCAACCAGCCCTTGGCCCACATCCTGCCTGGCTCCACCTGGTCACGGGCAGCAGACCTTGGAATCTCGGGCCAGGAGGGTCCCTGGCAACACTCCTTAGTCCCCCTATGCCCCTCAAGCCTCTACAAAGGGAGGACAAGTCTTACCCAGATCCCAAGTGAGATTAGAGGAGACAACAGCTGGTGGATCAGGGAGGAGCAGGCTGGCAGAGTAGCAGCTCACCCACACAGGACCCACATGGGACCCACATTGCCAGTTGGGGCCCACCGGGCTTGCAGGGCACAGCATGGGAACCACTGATGGGTGCCCTGTGATCATACAGCAGGAAACCAAGACCCAGGGAGGCTGAGAGGTGGCCAAGATCACCCTGCCATGGCAAAAACTGGAGGATGTGGGCTGGGAGGGCCTTGGAGACCACTCCAGGACCCCCACTCCAGGAGCAGGCACGAGGTTGCTCCAGGCCCTGTCCCCTGAAGCCTCCCTCACTCTATCCCACGTGACAGCACCCAAACCCTCAGAATCATCACAAGAGGAAACATGCAACCCAGATGTGGAGGCCCAGGTTCTCCAGGGAGGCGATCTAACAGGCTGAGGCCACAGATGGCAGCCAGGGCTGACCCTCCTCGCCCGAAGGGAACATGATCCCAGCAGGAGACTTGATCCGATGTGAACACACAGCTAAGAGCAGGGGATTGTGCTTGAACCCCGACCTCAGGGATACGGTTCACAGGATCTGGACATGACACAACACAGTCATGTGGCACCATCCACCAAGCAGCCCAAGAATGGAGCAGAGAACACAGGCAGCCCATCTGTCTCTGGGATGAAAGCTGGATGCAGCATTCGCACAGGGCCCAGCCAACTGGAGGAGGCTGGGCCAGGCACCCCTGAGGGCCGCAGCATGAGCCTGCTCTGTAGCCTCTCCACCTCCAGCCTGAGTCCTGGTCAGTACTGGCCCCACCCTCCAAGCCCCCTGAGGGCAGCTGCAGGCTCCCTCCCGGCCTGACTGAGCCCTGCCCTGGGCTCTGTCCTGTGGGGAAATGTACAGCTGGGAAGGCTGATGTTGCCCTTTAAAGCTCGAAACCTGGCCTGAGGGCAAATCTGCAGTAGATCCACACAGAGACAGGAGAGATTTTACAGCTAGGCTAGTGAGAAGGAGGTGGGTGGAGTCAGGAAGGTGCCTGGAGGAGGGCCCACTGCAGCTGGATTTCAAAGCCCACCAAGGACTTAGACATAGGGGCTAGGATGGTGGGCATGCCAGATGCCAGGTATGCCAGATGCCAGGCACAGACTAAACAGAGGCAGGGAGGGGGTGGGGGCGCAGCTGGAGACAGCTGCATCCTGTCCCCACAGGCTTGAGGAATGCACGGACTTTGAGCAACATCGGATGCGGCTCTGGCCCTGGCTCCACCAGCAGCGCTGGGCTGCAGCCGCTGACACAGCCAGAGCTGGTGCCCCGACCGCATGCCACCCCTGAAGTTGTGCCAGCTGGGAGACAACCAGCATGTCACTGCTCCCCACCACCTCCACCAGACAGCGTGGCCCTGGAGGTCGCTGTCCTCAGAGGAGGAGAATCCTAGACCAGATCTGGCCTCAGAGGCAGTGCAGGTCAGGGGCTCGGCCCTGACCGGGAGCTGCCTTTTCCACTCTCCCCTCCACCTCTGCTCATGGGCTCCTTTTGTGCCCCCAGCTCAGGCAAGCTCACTGTTTCCTGGTGAGCCCTCCCCACTGGGAAGACCCCCACAGTCCCCCTCGCCCTGGCTGACACTGTCGCTGGACTCTGGCTCCAGAACCAGGGCCAGCAGTCCCCATCACTGCTGTGCCACAGGGCCAGGACACAGCCTGCTTGGTTAGTGTCTGCTATGGGGATTGGGGGGTAAGGGATGAGGGGAGGAGGGGAGGAGGGGAGGAGGGGAGGAGGGGAGGAGGGATGAGGGATGGGGGGAGGAGGGGAGGAGACTAGGGGAGGAGACTAGGAGAGGAGCCAATGAGGGGAGGAGGGGATGACGGGAGGAGGGAATGAGGGGAGGAGGGAATGAGGGGAGGAGGGGATGAGGGATGGGGGAGGAGGGAAGGAGGAAGAGGGGAGGAGGGGAGGAGAGAATGAGGGGAGGAGGGATGAGGGGAGGGGAGGAGGGGATGAGGGATTGGGGAGGAGGGGAGGAGAGGATAAAGGGAGGAGAGAATGAGCGGTGGAGGGGATGAGGCGTGAGGGGAGGAGGGGATGAGGCATGAGGGGAAGAGGGGATGAAACATGAGGGGAGGAGGGATGAAGGGAGAAGGGGATCAGGGGAGGAGAGAATGAGGGGAGGAGGGGATGAGGAAATGAGGGGGTGAAGGAGTGAGGGAGAGAGGGGAGGAAAAAATGAAGGGAAGAGGGGCGGAGGGAATGAAGGGAGGCATGATTAGGGCGTAAGGGGAGGAGAGGGTGAGGGAATTAGGGAATGCAGGGACGAGGAGGTAAGGGATGAGGGGGTGAGGGGAGGAAAGGGTGAGAGGAGGAGGAATTGAGTGAGGAAATAGGGTAAAATGAGGGGATGAGGGAATGAGGGAGGGATGGGGGATGAGGGGGGTATGAGGGGATGAGGGAGGGATCAGGGATGGATGAGGGAATGAGGGAGGGATGAGGAGATGAGGGAATGAGGGGAGGAGCTAATAAGGGGATGAGGAGTTCGGGGGTGAGGGACGACAGGGTGAAATGAGGGGATGAGGGGGGATGAGGGATGAGGGAAAATGAGGGAGGGATGAAGGGATAAGGGGGAATGAGGGAGGGATAAGGGATGAGGGGATAAGGGATGAGGGGATGAGGGAGGGACGAGACGATGAGGGGGAATGAGAAAAGGATAAGGGGATGAGGGTATGAGGAAGGGATGAGGGAGGGATGAGGGGGAATGAGGGAGGGATGGGGAAGAGAGGGGATGAGGGAGGGATAAGGGGATGGGGAAGGGTAAGAGATGAGGAATGGATGAGGGAGAGATGAGGGTATGAGGAAGGGATGAGGGAGGGATGAGGGGGAATGAGGGAGGGATGAGGGGGAATGAGGGGGGGATGAGAGGGTGAATGAGCTTCCTGGCCAGGCTCTGACCCACCTGGACAGACTTTTCCTGATTTTGCCTTTAATCCCACAGGATGTGGCTCACATGAGTGTCTTAGTCACACGTGAAAGATCAATGAGTGCGTGGGTGAATGTTGCGGCCCCACCAATGGCACAGCAATGCCCAGAAAACAGCTCCTAAATTAGAGCCCAAGCTGATGGGCTCCCCAGACCCAGATCTTTCCGAGCATGGGGAAACTCCCAGAGGCAGGCCAGCTGACTCCAGGACTAGCTAGCACGATGCCATCTCCTCCTCCTGCAAGCCCGCCAGACTCACTGCAGGGAGAGGGAGGCCCCTGCTCAGGCCCTGCAGGGCCGTGCTCCCTCCTCAGCCCAGCCACCATCACAGGGGTCCCTTGACAGGGTTTCTGCTGCATCCAGGTCCCCAGGGAGGGCTGGTGCGGCAGCCTTCAGAAAAGATCTGTTCATGGAAAGAGGTGTGTGTGCACGTGCTCAAGGGACCATGCCAATGGGGACTCTGGCCCGGCCACCCCTGGGCAGAGTCTTCTCCTGGCCACAGTCCCTCTGCCACAGTTGTCAATCATCTGTCCTGACCCATCGCAACACGACCTGACAAGGATGTGGCCTCAGAAAGTGCTGGCCAAGCCCCACTGCCCTGGGGCTCTGTGCCAGGAGCGGCCTCACACCTCACAACTACAGGGCTTAAAGGCCCATCATTGGTCTGAAAGGCCTTCTGCTGCTCAGTTCACTTCACAAACGCCACCCCACAGGATAACTGCCGTGACGCTGGCCACAGTCATGCAGGGACCCAGGAGCAGGCAGCCTTGATTTTCCATTCGGAACGGACTCGAGTTCTCACCAGTGCCTGGATTAGGGACTTGGAGGCCCTCCATCCCCAAGGTCTCGCCGACTCCCTGCCCCAGGCTGGCACGGGCAGGGGCCTCACTGCAGCCGGGGAAAAGGGAGCCTCCTGCTGGACAACCTGAGTCTGGGACTCTATGGTCTCTTCATGAATTCACCACCCGCCACTTCCACAAAAGGATGCTCGGTGGCCACGGCCAGAGGAGCGTGGCTGGAGCCGCTGTCCCTCCTCCTGGCCTGGCCAGGTGAGGGACTCACGAGAGGCTGTGGAATGTGCCGGAGTGTGAGGGTCTCCTGGGCTGGATCCTGTCTGCCCTTCCCCAACCCCTGTGCTCATGGCTCTGCCTGCTACAGCCCCTTGCAGGGAGAGGGGAGCGGGGCTGGTCCTCACAGGGTGGTGCAGCCAAGGGCAGCGGGCCAGCCAGCAGCGTGCGGGACACCGAGCCCATCCACAGGGCAGGGTGTGGCGCGGGGCAGGCAAGGCTGGGGCAGGAGGAGCAGGAGGCCAGCCAGTGTCTACTAGGGAGCAGGAAACTACAAAGCAGCCAAAATCAGGAGTGGGGGAAGAAGGGACTCAGCCAAGAGGACAGGGTGGGAAAGCAATAAAGAAATCAAACCAAGATTCCAAGAGAATAAAAAGAAAGAAGACGGGAGGAACAGGAGGACAGGTGAGCACGTGTGTGAGGAGTCCAGGAAGCTGGAAGTTAACTTCTCAGGGGCATGGGGGGCGGTCAGGGGAGGAGCAGGGAGGAAAGAAGAGGCTGAAATGAAACCAAGGGTAAACCAAGGGTCACAGATGATACCTAGGTATGTCCGAATCAAGAAACTGCCTGCAAAACACAAACAATCACACGGTTAGTGAGGGCCGGGCAGCGCAGCGGGAGCGGGGTGGGGGACAGGCAGAGGGAAGCGGCCTGTGGCCACAGGCCCACTCTGAGCCAGGGAGGCTGCAAAGCGTGGGGCCTGGGAGCGGGCAGGAGGCAAGGCCATGGAAAAGCGCATGGAAGGCCAAGGCCCCAGGCTGGAGCCAGAAGCCGGGGATCCTGAGCCTCCGCACGTCAGGGAGAGCGGCCTTGGAGCAGCCCGGCCCATCATGGGGCTGAGGACGCCAGCACCGTCCATGGCACAGGAAGGCCCACTGGCCTGGTCAGCCAAGCCACAGGACGGTGCCTGCCTGGGGGTGCCAGCAGAGGACAGTCCCCAAGACTGCTCCAGGGCAGGGCTAGGGGTGGGAGCTGCCAGCACGGGCAGGAGCCAAGCGAGGGCCAAAGCCGCTTCGGGGAGGCCGCGCCCACGCAACGCGCCTTCCTCCTTTCTCAGACCCAGGGCCTTGACCCCAGAACAGGGCTGCCTCAACCCCAGAGGCACCCTGGGACCGGCCTCATGTCTCAGCCCTCAGGGTGTGGGGCCAAAGCCCCTTCAGTGACAGGTTCTCAGGCATCCAGGAACAGGGTGGCCTGAGGTCCAGCCATGAGCCGCTCCCTCCTACGTCACCCATGGCAGCTGGTCTTCTGAGGAAGACCTCAGAAACTCAGCCCTCTGTGCAGAGAGATAGCAGGTGGGGTTGGGGGGCTGGAGCCCCTGCCCACCCCACCCCAGGAGCTGCCTGGGCTGAGGGGGGTCAGAGGTCAGGAAAATAAGGTAATGAGGTCATCTCCCAGGCTCCAAAGCACATCTCACATGGCAGACCCGCCCTTCCGGGCCCCACCCCCTACTCCAATTCCTGGTCCCCCATGGCCCAGGCACAGCAGCCCACACTCTGCAGGCAGCGCCCGTGCTGGGGGCTCCAGGCCTTCTCCACACCTCACCAGGGAGCATTCTCATGGCGGCAGGAGAAGCAAGGCACGGGGAAGCCCCAAGCCCCGGCCCGTCCCACCTGGTCTGCCTCACCTCTCCCTCTCCCAGACGTGCTCCCCCCTCATGGCACCACCTCCACATAGAACACCCCCCGGATTCTCCACCCTCCTATGGACATGAGTGCAGGGCAAGTTCCCTCTGGAAGGCCACAGGCAGGGCTGGGACCAGAGCTGCATCCACCCTGCCCAGGTCTGTGCCCAACCCCCACCCCCCACTGTTCAGCGCTGTGCCCACCCTGACTATCCAGCTGCCCCCTGCCCTGGCTGCCCCTGCAGTGCCCTCCTTACTGCAGTGCTAAGCCCCGATAGCCCACTTTCTGGGTGTTGCTGATGAAACCAAAGCTTTGTGTGGACCCAAGTCAGAAGAATAGGAGACGACGCCCGCCAGGACCCTCCTTCCTTATGACCCTGACCCTCCTTGCAGGGAGGCCCTCAAAGACGTTTTCCTACAAACACAGCCATGGAGACACCTGCGGCTTCAGCTCTGAGGGTCCACTCTGGGCTTGTGCATCATGAGCCAGGTCGAGCCCCCAGGGAGCAGCCAGGACTGGACACTGGAGCCCCCGCCTCACTTTCCCCAAGCCCCTGGAAGGCAGCGTCTGGGACGCAGTGGAGCCCGCGGGACGTCCCCACCCACCAGGGCTGCCCCTGGCAGTGCTGAGCCACCTGCCCAGGCCAACCGCAGGGGCTGCCTCCCTCTCCCATCCCCTAACCCCAGCAGACCCCGATAGGGCTGCCACAGACATCCCAGAGCGCCAAAACCCCAGCCTAAATGCGGTCGGGCTGGGACCGCCCAGACTGTGGGGTCTTGGCCGTGCAAGGAGTGTAGGAAGGAGCAGCCTGGTGATGAGGGGCCTGTGCCAAGCAGTGCCTATGGGCGCCCACCCCAGCTGCTCCACCTCTAGCCCCAGGATGCCTGCCAGAGGCCACTGACTCATCCACAGCAGCATGGTCCTTGGACATACAGCCACTTGTCCCCACACCACGCAACCACAAAACTCCCGAGGACAGAACTCAGCTCATCTTCCAACCCCTGCGCTGGCCCCTCTGCTTGGTGATAAACAAATGGGCATGGGGATGCCTGAACCAGCAACGAGGTGCACAAACGAGGAGCCGGGGGTGCAGAGGCCACCAGCCCCTCACCGCACAGCTCCTGCAGGTGCCAGGAGGGAGGGCCGGGAGAGCGTTGAGCGGGTCACCTTGTGTGGCTGAACCCTGTGCCGGGTTGGCTGAGGGCCTGGCAGGCTGGGAACATGCCCTGGGCCCTGTCTCCAGGGAGTCTCCGACTCACCGGTCATCTTGGGCTGGGTGGATGTATCCGGAAGAGAGGATGTTGAGAGACAAGATGTTGGGGTCGATCAGGGACTCGTCGGTCTCTGGAGTGTTTCGGATGCGGCCTGCAGAAAAGGCAACGGGCCACAGGTCACTTCCCAGGGGGCAGGTGGGACCCTGGGGGGCTGCCTCAGGTGGGGGTCCTGTCAGCAAGCCAGCTCCCCACATGGTCACTAGAGCGTCTGTCAAAGGCGGTGCCAGGGGGAACAGGGAGGCCCTACAGGGTCCTCAGCAACCCAGGTGCCATGTGTAGTTGCTGCTCCACGGTCTTTCTTGTCTGTCTCTCGGCCACAGTGAACACCCCCGTATACACACACTGACAAATGCAGGTGCTTAGCCTGGAAACCACCGGCCTTCCTGACTGCTGGAAAAGGAAGGCTAAGCAAGACACAGAGGAGGAATGTTCCTGCTTCTTCTTACACCAAAAAGTCATGATAATAACAAGGAAAGGGAGGGAGGGAGGGAGGGAGGAAGGGAGGGAGGGAAAGAAGAGCAGAGGAGGGGAGGGATGGGAAGGGATAGGAGAGAACACTTTCTGTGCCATAAAACCTCTTCTTACAAGGGGCATTTCCAGGAGAGCCCGCTAAGTTGCATGCACTGGGGGTGTCTGTCTGTCTCTGTGAAAGAAACCAGAGCCGTTATCAGGCAGGAAAACTGTCTAGTGGCTTCACCTAGTAATTTCTTGGCCAGACAGTGACAGTTCTGCTCATTCAAAGGAGTAAACAAACACATGTACATTTTCTTTGTTGCGCCAGGAAGGAACGGCAGCCTTCCCTCTCCGCCATGCATGGACAAGATAAAACCCAGGACACGCTAGGATTTTGTGTTGATGGGTGCACACTGGGCCTGCCCCATCCCATTGCTGGAACTCTGACCCATGACTTTGCAGCACTTAGGTCCTGGGAAGAGGCAGGTGGATCCCAGCAAAGTGCCCTTCCCCACGCCAGGGCCCTCTGGGTCCATGCTGGGCAGTGCCCATGGCAGGGAAGAGGCTCAGCTGCAGAGATCGCTGCCTGGGCAGAGCCACTCTCAGCCCTCGGGGAGGGGAGCGCAGCTGCTCTCAGCCCTCGGGGCCTGCACTTAAGCAGTGTTTAGCCTGCTCTGCGTCTGACCAAGTACCTGGCCCACAAAACTGACACCCATGAGCCCGCTGGTCTGGACAGAGTGCCAGGGGTTGGGCTGGGGTCCTGACCCTCTGTTGTCTGCACTTTGACTCCCTCCCCTGCCTCAAAGGGTGCACCCACCCACTGCTCATGGACACCCGGGGTCTCTCCTCGACTTTCATCCCTTTCGCTGACCCTGTGCCCAGTCCTGTCCAACTCACAGGGCTGGAAAGTCCCATGGCCCTCTTGGGAGGGATGCTGAGCTTGGAGAAGGCTGTGAACAGTGAGATTGGGTCCCAGGTGAGGAGCAGGAGAGAGGCTAGGTGCTCCCCAGAAAGTGACTTGGCTGCTCTGTGCCCTGAGTCCAATCACAGGGCTGCTCAGTCACGAAGCCCAGAGAGGCTGAGCCCAAACCCCTTAGCCTGAAGGGGAGCATTGGGGTTCATACCATATCTCCCCAGATCCCTTTAAATAGCATCCCTGATCACCCAACCCCACATAAACAGACACTCCTGTTGGCCTTTTTAGAAAGAAGGTGGGGAGAAGGTGGATCTGAGCAGGCGGGGCCTGAGTGGTGACAGACCCAGGCCCGAAGGATGCGTCCTTTCAACCATGCAGATCCAGCTTCCCCTCTTCCTTCTCTCCTGTCTGCCTTGAGGGAAGTGAGACCAGGGCTCAGAATGTGAGGGCAGTGCTGCCCCAGGGATCGTTCCTCAACTACCGTGTGGCCGGGTCCATAAACCAGCTGTGTATTTGCTTACGTTCTGCCTATAAATCAATTCACTCTTCTTAGGCTTGCCCTAAACAACCTCTGAAAGGAGGGTTTGGGTGCTTGTTCCATGACTTTCTGATTCATGTGAAATTAGACACAAAACTTGTAAAACATAAGCATGTATCCTGGTGTACCTGGAACCTCCTGTCTACAGTCCTGCACTGGGACACAAGGTGACGGGTCCAGCCTCAGGGAAGTGACCTTGAGCAGCCACCCAGCCCGGCCATGGCAATGTCTGGGGCAAGGCAGGGCTGGGCTGGCCTCATGCTAGTGACACACTTGAATGGATGACTGTCTGCCTCCTTGAATGAAAACTGAGAAGACAAATTCTTTCCGCTTTAGCAAAGGAAACATTTGGCGGACCCGAATTCGAAACATGAGGTCATGGAAGAAAAGAGTGTAAGATCCTTGGTGATGGTTATGGGAGGAATTGTGTCCCCGAAAAATATACGTGGAAGTCCTAACCTCCAGGACCTTCAAAGGGGACCTTATTTGGAAGTAGGGCTTTGCAGAGGTGATCAAACTGAGTAAAGATGCAGTCAACCCTGGAGCAGGATGGGCCTCTAATCCAACCTGCCTGGTGTCCTTAGGAGAAAGGGCCACAGGAAGACACAGGACAGGAGAAGCCTGCGAAAATGCAGTGATGCGTCTGCAGGCCAGGGTCGCCCAAGATGCTGGCCACCACCAGGAGCTGGAAGAGGCAGGGAGGGATTTTCCCCAACAGGTTTCAGAGAGAGAGAGCGCGCCTCTTGCCGGCACCTTGATTTTGGACCTCTGGCCTCCAGAAGTGTGAGATGATAAATGTCTGCTGTTTTAAGCTACCTGGTTTGTGGTATTTTGTCATGGCAGCCCCAGAACTCCAATACACTGATTAAACAGAAATTTGCAGATCGTCACCCAGGTCCAAGGCTCTCCTTTTCAGGTGAGGAAGTGAGTCACAGAGAGATTATGTGACCCGGCCAGGGTCACGCAGCAACAGACGCAGAGGTGTGGTTAGAACCCGGGTATCCAGCTCAGGGCCTGTACTCTTCCCACCAGCTCAGCCCCACCCACCAAGGCAGCCCCCACACCGCACTCACCCACGACCAGCTCGCGCACTTCCTTCCAGCGGATATGGCTGCCTGTCTCATGCAGTAGTGTCACCGTAATCCGTCGCTGGATGCCCTGCCGGTGCCAGGTGAGAGGATATGGTCAGACGGCTCAGGGGGCTACGTAGGGTGAGGGAGGGGGACACAGGCAGGGTAGGGGCAGGGAGAGGCTCACACCTGGTGGGGTGGGGGAGGGGACACAGGCAGGGTAGGGGCAAGAGGGGCTCACACCTGGTGGAGGAGGAAGGTCCCCATGCATGGCATGCCCCCACGGTGGTCCACCACGGCCGGGATGTAACTGGAAGAGAGAGACACATGTGAGGAGCGGCCAGCCCCTCCTCTCTGCCCTCCCCGCAGCACAGGACACAGTGGACGGGAGCAAAAACAGGGAAAAGTCAGCAGCTCCCTCTGGTGAAGATCAGGTGGTCTGATCCATGGAGACCACGGTCAGCTGAGCACAGAAACCCACCAGGCCTCCTTGGCTATCACCTCCCAGCCCTGCCCACTGGACTGGCAGGGTGTCCAACAAGGAGACACGGTATGGCACAGCCTGGCCCCTCTGGGCTGGATCTTTGTAAGTTCCCAAGGGTCCTCTGCTTCCCCTCATGCCCTGCAGATCCGCAACCCAAGGCCAGAGGATCCAGAGGAAATCCCAGCAGATGGGCTCGTCTTCTCCAACATCTAAGGCTCCTGTCCCACTCTGGGCAAGGATCCGAGTCTCCACCAGGCCCCACTCTGAGCTGCCAGCCACAGCCCAGCTCCCAGCTGCCCCCAGGGCACCAGGCAGACCCCCACTGGCCTCCACCCTGGGGCCCTGGAACCTGCCTCCCCAGGGCCTCAGGGCTCCCCTCCCACCTCCCTCAAAAGTCCCTTGATCACTTTGTAAGTGCTGTCTGCCTCCCTGCCCTGCCCCTGAGCCATACCCTGGTTTGCTGTCCTAGTGCTCAGGACCATGGGGACACTAATTCAGGTGCTTATCTGTCCAGCACCTCCCTGCCCCTCATGCCAGCTCCTCCAGGACTTTGTCTGCTTTTACTCCCCAAGACCTAGATGAGGCCGGGCCCACAAGAGGTCTGCAGTGAACACCCGCTGGAAGAACGACTCTGGATGCTGGCAACCCTCAGGCAGCTCAAGTCCTCGTCCCTCTCCGCGCACCCCCCGACACACACTCACGCCCTGGGGGCCCCAGCACCAGCACTCACTCGCCGTTGGCCTCCAGCTCACAGATCTCGAAGTAGACCAGCAGGTCGTACTTGCAGTGGCAGGGTCCCGGACAGGGCCGCGTCAGTGTGCTGAGCTTGGTGGCGGGCACTGTAGGGACAGGAGGGAGGCATGCATGGATGGGAGACCTGACCTATCACGTGCCAAGGGCACACTCAAGGAGGAGATGCCGGGGCCAAAGGGACTCAGAGGCAGCAAGGGCACCTCCCCCTCCTCAAGGGAAACAACCAGCCAACCCCAGCCATTCCCAAGATACACCGGGTCCTGGGCACTCTGTGGCCTTAGCACGTCACATGGACGCTCACGTTCTCTGTGCCCCGGCTAGGAAAGGCACATGGCCATGTACACTCGGCACAGCTCATGAGGAGGACAGTGGTCAAGACCCCAAGAACCAACAGGGCAGCCGCACATACCCTTGTTCAAAAGCCCCACAACCCTCACGGGGCCGCTCTGCCATGCTGCCAGGCCCATTGCCTACACCACACCTTGGCCACAGCCTACTACACCTGTCCAAGCACATTTCACCAGCACCCAGGCCTGGCCCGAGAGGACCTGTCCCTCAGCTCCCACTGACCCTCCACTCGTGTCCAGCTCCTGACAAACAGCCTCTGTCCTCACATCCTTCACCCACCTCTGTCTACCACTCCCTTCTCTGAGACCCATCACACAGGTCCTCTTCTAGCAAGTCCCCTCCTCTGCCTCTCCTACAAATATGGATCTACAGGTCTTTCTTGCAGGCTGTGGGGAGGACTGAATCTCAGGGAACTCATACTGCGGGCCACAAAGCCTGTACAGACCAGGGACTGGCTCTGCAGCAGCTGGAGGGTGTCCTCCCACAGTGTCCTCAGCCCGCAAACCTTCATCTTACAGGGGTTCCGAGGACAGGGTCCTTGCAAGGCAGGCACAAGAGGCTGACACCTGGTCACCATGTGTGCAGACCCAGTGCCTCCACCCACCAGCTGCAGAAGCAGCTTCTCACACAGGCCCCTACCCTCTGGGGTGCTGGTGCCCGGGACCACACTCCCTCCTTCAGGAGGGTTTCTGGGCTATGAGAGACTCGGCCACACCTGCTGGGCCTCAGTCTGGCTGTCTTCAGCTCTCCCCCGACCATGTCCCTGGGTTTTGGTCTTGCAGGAAATAAACTCCACTCTTTTAACTAAAAGCCAGTGGATCTCAAGTGCTATTCCATGACCCACCTGTTCCCACAGGCAGAGGCTCCAGGCTCCAGGCAAAAGCTCTGACAAATACTTCTCCCCGACTGACCCCACACTCTCGCTCCCACCTCCAGCCTCAGACCCCCGTGAAGGAGCGTCCTAGATTGCCTTTCATCCCCAAATCTCCACCTCTCTGCGTTCAGCTGAGATGCCTGAAGTCCCCTCAAAGCCCCCGACCCTCTTGCTGCCTTCCTTCCTTGGCTCCCCACACCTCTGCCACCAGCTCCAGGCTACTCTCTGGGCACAGGGCAGACCCTTGCTCCATGGGGACCCCGTGAGGCCTGACAGGCTCAGGGTGGCGCCAGAGTGCCTGGGAGGGCACAGCCCAGTCACAGAGGACAGCATTCACTGCGGGGGCCCAGCCCACTACAGCACCCACAGTGAGGGGAGCTCACTGCCCTGAGACGGCTCCAGAGACCCTTCCTACCTGGCTTGGACAGTGGCATGACCCGAGGGAAGTGGCGGCGCGAGGGCCTCAGGGGGCTGTGGAGAAAGGACCAGTGTGAGGTGTTTGCGGGACCCTGGGCGGGAGGGGTCAGAAGGAGACAGAAGGGCTACAGGCCCCAGGTGCCCATCCCGGCCCCTCCCACCCTCTCTTCTCCAAGACCGTCCACCAGCTTGGGTGGGAGGAAGAGGAGGGACCCTTGGGACCCCAGCTCCCACCCCAGAGGCCACAGGGAACCAGGGCAAGGGTCAAGCTCTGGCTCCCAGTCCAGAGTCCCTCAGGCACTCGCGAGGACAGACAAGCACCCCCAGAACAAAGCCTTCATTGCCCTTCTCTTTCCCTGACACCCTGGAGGGCCCCTGAGCTCCCAGTCCTGCCTGACAGCTGAGGGGAGATGGAGATGGGAAGAAAGGGCCCACCCGAGGCCTCTCTGCAGTTCTCTCTGCACTCGAGGTGCCCAGGAGGGGTCGGCTTGGCCCAGGGTAGACACTCCTGTCCACCTTCAAGGGTCTGGGTGAGATGGCCTGAGTGGAAGTCCTGACTTCATGCCCCAGCCCCGCAAGTCTCTCTGAGCCCCCATTTTCCAGGCCTCAGGAGGCTGCGTGGACTGAGGGAGCTAGGCCGGGCTTCCCCAGGGTGTGGCACAGCTGGGCCCCTTTCCTGGGGTCCTCGGTGGGCAGCAGAAGTGGTCTCCCCGGGGCCACCCCAGCATCCTACAGCTGGCAGCCCCTGCACACTGCCCAGGCCAGCAGGAGGTCAAGCAATGCTCACAAGGAACTCTCTGCAGTCCCGAAGGAGAGAAGCTGCAGGCAGGCCCAGAGCTCTTAATTGCTCTCTGAGTCCTGCCAGCCCTGGGCAAAAGGCCTCCTGGATGGGCAGGGGAGGTGGGTTTCAGGGGGTGCATAGGCTCTGCAGCCTCAAGACAGCTGGATGAAAAGATCTGGGCAGGGGCTTTGAGGACAGCAGCCCCGAACCCCCCGACCCAGGGCGCTAACCTGAGCACGTCCTTGCAGAGGGGCGGGAACGGGTGCTGCTGGTAGTGGCCAAAGACCTCGAAAACAATGGGCTGGCTCTTGATGTACTCAATGAAGGACTTGGTCACCTCCACTGCGATCTGGTGGGCAGGCAGGTGGGAGGACAGGAGGGCACGGCCAGGTCACATTCAAGGGGGAAGGAGAGTCACATCAGTGAGCTAAGCGCTTCAGGCCCAGATCTGGGACCCCTAGCTGGGCCCACGTCTGCCCAGGGGCAGCAGCCTCCTCTAGGCCCTTCAGCCCAGCCCCTCCTCCCACCACGTGCCCCAGACAGACTCTGGAGTGTGTCCCTCGGGCTCTCTCTCCAGGACGAACAGGGGCCGCGTGGCTCAGCTGCCCTTTCAGAACACGGAGCTGGGAAAGGTGACAAAGGGCAGCGCTGGTCTCTTCAGGACTCCCCTTCTTAGGTCCTGCCCCACTCAGCAAGAGTTATGGGTTGGACCATGTCCCCTCACCAAATTCGTATGTTGAAGTCCCAACCCCAGGACTTCAGAATGAGAGTATATCCTGGGATAGGGCCTTTACAGAGAAAACGGAGTTAACGAGAGGTCATCAGAGTAGGTCCCAATCCAACATGGCTGCTGTCCCTATGAAAAGCGGAAGTTTGGGCCCAGGCACACGCAGAGGGGGAGGGCCATGTGAACAGACACAAGGAAGAGGCGGCTGTTCTATAAGCCAAGGATAGAGGCCTAAGAAGGGGGCAATCCTGCCCACACCCTCATCCCGGGCTTCCAGCCTCCAGAGCGATGGGAGGCCACATTTCTGTTGTTTTTAGATGCCCCCACCTGTGGTGCTTTGTGACAGAAGTCCCAGCCAACTAACCCACTGAGTCTCCAGGTTATCACCCCTGCCAAATCCACACCCGTGGCCTGGCACTCAAGGCCTGGCTCCCTGGTAGCTTTCCTTATCACCGTTAGGCACTCTTTCCCCTGCTGCCCCAGGAGCCCAGTTCTCCCGCCTGGAGAAGGAGCTGCTCCGCCTTAAAGGCCCCTCCTCTCCATCATCCTAGCAGCCCAGCTGCCATCACTCTCCTGCCTGGAGTTTTCCAGACCTCTCGGGACGTTGCCGGCACCCTGTAGCCCCTGTGGCCCTGCCTCCTTCCCATTCCCAACACCCAAGCCAGGGCTGCCCTGGCTGAGCACCCCCGGCCCTCAGTACAAATCCCAGGCCCCACTGCACCTGCATCCGGCTCCCCATCGGCTCTATGCTCACTATGAGCAGCTCCCAGGGGCTCTGAGCGGCCCCCATGCCCCAGCTGTAAATCCATCAAGGGTCTCCCACTGCCCAGAAATCGCTCCTACACCCTGCCTGGCACTGGAGTTCCCGGTGCACAAGGCAGTCCTGGCCCACAACTGGTGTTCAGAAGAGGGAGAATGAGCCATGCTCAGAGAGGCCCTGGGAGGGTCAGTCAGTGGCAGGGATGGGGAGAAGTGCCCAGGAACGTACGTTCTGGACGTGGTAGAAGCCAAGTGGGGGGCCTCTGCCTGTGTTCTTCAGGGGCTCTGTGGAGAAGGCCTCGTCGTGGCGGTGGATGAAGCTGCAAAGCAGAGGAGATGCTTTGGTGTGGGGTGGGGGACTTGGGATGAGACCTTACCAGGTGGAACCCACCTCACACGAGGGCGCTGGGGCGTTCAGGGCCTGCGGGCTGGGCCAACACAGCACCAACATGGCCTGCTCCCTGCCCAGCACCCAGGCACGGGAGCCTTGGGCACAGAGTCCCTGCGCAGCGCAGGGACACAAAGGCAGCAGGGCCTCACTTGAACTGGCAGAAGATGTCGGCATATTCGGCAGAGATGCTGGACGCCTGCAGGACTGTCACACGGAAGGTGAAGGTGTTGCCCAGGCGGAGGTGGTCCAGGGCAGCATCCAGGGGCCCATCCAGGGCGGCTTTCTCAGAGCTGTCTAGGAGGAGGCCTTCTGGGGGCACTGCTGCTGGGAGTCAAGGAGAGAGTCATGGACCTCCAGGCCATATTGTCTTCCAGCCACAGGCCTGGGCCGGGCTCAGGAACCAGGTCTCAGCATCCCCTACGCCCTGGGCAGCTGGGGTGGGCGACCCACCTGAACAGGTGTTGTTGTTGACTTCATCGGCTGAGGGCCCCACGTCTGCACCCTGGCCCTGGCCCTCCACGATGCGAAGCTCTTCCTGGGAGGTTCCCGAGCGGGACATCCCCACCACGGGGCAAGACTCGGACTGGAACTGATCAGAGGGGGACCAGAGTCAGAGAGAGCCAGGAGCCAGCCGAGGAGGGGCACCGTAGACCCTGCCACAGGCCCACGGGAGGGCTGTGCCACCCAGAGCCTGGGCTGGGGCCTCCATGAACCCACGCACCAGACCTGTGCCTGCCTTGTAGGGGGGCATCCACCTCCCCAGGTCTCAGTTTTCCCTGCTGTGGATGTGTGTCTTTGGATTCTACAGCCTATGGCCATGGGAGTTCTGAGCTGTCCTGGAAACAACTCACCACCTGCCTCTCTGCTCTGGTCTTCAGTTCAGCCGGACCCCCGCCTGCCAGGGCCCCTTGTCCAGCAGGTTAGCTCTCTCCCCTCCCCTTCTTGGGCATCCCCAATACTGACAGCCCCTCCAAGAGAAAAGGCATTGGGCAGACAGACCACCCTCGCTCAGGGAGTAGGGCACCCAGGTTCCAGGTGACGGCACGGCCAGGTGGGCAGGGGTGAGAAGCGAGTCTAAGAAGGTGGGGACAGGAGCCACCTGAGTGTGGCATGGGGTGCACTTTGGGGACCTTCCTCCACCACTCTCTCAAGAGCAGAAGAGGAGACTGAGTGGTCCAGGTGCCACTGGACACAGCGCCGGCCCTTCACATGAGGACCGCAGGTAGGCAGCCTCAGGGGGGCAGCCCAGGAGCAGGCGAAGGAGCAGGCGAAGGGGGCAGTGGGAACGCGCCGTACTGTGGGGACCCAGAGGAGAGCTGGTCCAGAGAAGGGAGACAGGGTGGGGGTGGCTGCACCTCAGTGTCTGTTCTGGAGGCTCGTGTTGTCCACCTGCTCTGCGCCCCGACTTGGACCCTGGAGCGGCCGTGGTGGGAGATGGGCGGATCCAGGGGTCAGGGCAAACCCGGGAAAAGGGGCGCAGTGTGCTTAGAGATGGGGCAGGCTCAGTGCTCTGGACCAGAGGGAAGAACCCCAAGAGGACTCAGGGCCCGTGGGATGGGACACAGGGGTGTTAGAGGAGCAAAGTGCACAGGACTCCAGTGAGCGCCAGGCACCTCCAGGTCTGGGACTCGGGAGGGAGCTTGGTACCTTTTCAAAATGCTGGTCATCAAAGGAGATTTTAGCAGTTCCCGACTGGCGGACGCCAGAGCCATAATCAGGGGCCTCTTCATCGGCTGCAGGAGAAACAGAGCAAATGGTTGGAGCCCAGCTTGTCCCCTGAGGTGGGTGTGGGCAGAGCCAGGCTGGGCCACCCCGCAGTCAAAGTGAGGGCACAGGAGCCAGAGCAGGCAGCAGACCCCTGACCGAATCTGCCACCCGTGGCTCAGTGACAACCAGGGCATGTCCCGGCACACTGACCACCCGCCTGCCCAGGGGCCCCAAAGCAGCCACGGCCTCATCACAGCCCACCTTGATAGGAGTCACAAAGTCTATATTTTCAAAACCAAATCTTGCCCGCATTCCCAGGTGCTCAGGCAGAACCCAGGTAGCCCCTCCCCATCCCCATGTGCAGAGACCACCCCACCAGCCCTGCTGGTCCCACCTCCAGAATCACAAAGTGCCTCTGCCACCATCTGGGTGAAGCTACCACCTGTCACCTGCCTAGACATTCAAGGGCCACCAACCGCCCCTCCACGCAACTCCCCAGGCCTGCCGGTGCATGCGCCCACACTCCCCAGCCTTCAAAGCTCTCAGTGGACCTGCTGCCTAAAGCCCTGAGCTCTGTCCTGCCATGGTCTGTGACAGTCAGCGCCTGCTCATGCAGGAGTCAGTGCTGAGGGAACAGCAAACTGACCTCGCCCGGGTCACGGGCAGGGCTGATGAGACTTCTGACACCACCAGTGCAAGGGCCGGTGCCTTTTCTAAGTTCCCTTCTCCACCACCACAGCCATTAGACAGGGAAACAATTAGGTATCACCCAACATAAAATGATCCAGTTGTAGGATGGCCGGCAGGAGGCCTGGCGACGCAGCCCAGGATAGGAGCACTTCCTAGGCACTATCCCAGTCTGGTTTCCCAGTATATGACATGGGATAGCAGGGGCTGTGGACCTGGGCACACAGACCTGGGCTCAGAGCTGCTGTACACCTTCCTAACTGGCGACACTCATCTGAGAGGTGGGGGTACCTCTCAACCCCATAGGGTGCAGGACAAAGGTAGAGCTTTGCACTGAGCTTGAACTCGGATCCTGGGAAATGGGAAACCTCCATGTGGACCCCAGAGAGCTCCTCTGACCAAGGGCAGACCAGGACGGCAGCTGCCCTCACAAGGACATGGGCCGGCCCCACGGCCTCTGGTGCAGCCCCACTCTCAGGAAGTGGCTGTCAGGGTGGGGGCCAGTGGGAGGAAGTGCTCAGGATGGCTCCGCTCAGCCATCCTGACCACTTGGTGGGAGCTGCTGGCACAAGGCAGGATTGGGAGGACCTGGTGAGGTGGGGGTGGCACCTCCTGGAGGGGAGACAGAGGTGATAGGTGTTCCCAGCTTCCCTGAGTATTGCAGCCCTGGTAAACACCCCACCTTCCAGCAGCAGGGCTGGGGCCCTTCCCTGGTGTTCACCCTCACTCCCCAGCTGGGCCCCCTGATTCTCAGCACTGTGGTATCACAGTGACTGGATGACAAGCAATGACATGGCCAGTGGGAGGTGCTATAAACAGCATTTAGAAATTATGGGCTAGGCTGGGCAGGGTGGCTGGCCAGGCGTGGTGGCTCACGCCTGAAATTCCAGCACTTTGGGAGGCCGAGATGGGCAGATTACTTGAGGTCAGGAGTTCGAGAGCAGCCTGGCCAACATGGTGAAACCCCGTCTCTACTAAAAATAAAAAAATTAGCTGGGCGTGATGACGCACCCCTGTAGTCCCAGCTACTCTACTCGGCAGGCTGAGGCAGGAGAATCGCTTGAACTGGGAGGCAGAGGTTGCACAGTGAGCCGAGATCCAGCCACTGCACTCCAGCCTGGCGACAGAGCAAGACTTTGTCCAAAAAAAAAAAAAGAAAAGAAAGAAATTATGGGCTAAGGAGAATTTAACATTAGAGTCAAATTAACTTCATTAATTAGGTGGGATTAAAATCACCCAAGGCAGCCAGGATAGCAGAGCCGGGAGAACCAGACATCTTGCATCTTGCAGGGGATATGAGGTAACTCAGGGTGGAGAATATGAGCCATCTCGGAGTTGGGGGACTTGCCATCTGGGGAGGGGTATGGCCATCTCAGCCTGCTCCAGGTCGCTCCTCTAAGCAGCCCCAGCCCGGCAGCCAGGAGCCCCCCTGCAGCCATGGATGCACGTCCTCTCTGCATCCATCTGCCTGTCTGTGTGTCTGTCTGTCTGTACTACTCCCTCCCTAGGGTGCCCAGGCAGCCAAGGCCTTTGAGAGGAAAAAGAGTGCTCCTTGGTGAGGGGAGACCTTGGTGGAGGAGCCCGGGGCAGGCAGGGAAGGGAGTGGGACCTTCCCTCACGGCACAAGCCGCCTGTTGCCCTGCAGCTTCCAGGCAGCCAAGCGCTCTCACATCTGTGTTCTCAAGTACCCTTCAACATTCCTATCAGGTGGGGAGCATTACAACGGATCCCGTTTACATGTGAGCAAACCAAGGCTCAGACACTCTGGGGCTGCCCTGGTGCCTCTGGCCATCCGGAGCAGGCTGAGCAGCACCAGTCTCCACCTCCCACAAGGGAGGGGCTTGTGTCTTCAGGCCCAGTGTGGAGGGGGACAGGCCTGTGCCTGAGAGACCAGGGAATGCATCAGGGAACCAGAAGCACCCCAGGGAGGGCTGCCCTGAGCAGGGCCCAGGGGCCAGGGACTGGGCCTCACACGCCTTTCCTGGGGCTGCAGAGACAGCCGGGTGGGTGGAATGTGTTGACAGAGAGCACTTGCTCTGCAGCAGGCTGGGGGAGGGATCCAGGTGGTCTTGGGTCCATATGGGACTGCCTGATGGGAAGGTGGAAACCCCCAACCAGAGCAGGCTCAGATGGCACTGGGCTCAGCCTGCACAGCCCCCAAGGCACCTCCAGCTGACCCTGGGGAGTCCAGAGCCAAGAGCTGGGCAGCAGGGGCTTCCCCTCCAGGGCCCACTGCGGGGCAGCAGCCCGGGGCGCCAGCCCAGGACAGCGTGGAAAAACAGCTTCAGGTTGACCCCAGGGAGAGTGGAGGGCCAGCTGAGGCCAGCTTCCCACTAACCACTACATGATGCCAGAAGGCCCTTCTTGGGCCCACGCCTCTGCCTGCAAAGGTCAGAGCCAGCCCCAGGGGCTCCAATGCCACACACGGCCTTTGGCCCACACGCACCTGAGATGGCCTGGACGGCCACGCGGAGGAAGCCCTTCACCTCGCCCTTCTCGCTGACGATTGCCACACGGTGTACCAGGGGAACGGGGTACAGCAGGTTGCTCAGGTACACGAAGGCCCTGGGGAGAAGCAGAGGCGGCGGTCATGGGCCACCCCTCCACGCATGTTCTGAACGGCAGCGGTGGCAGCATGGCCTGGCTCACGACACAACATGGAGCTGCAAAGCAGAGGGAAGCCGCCGGACAGGACAGCCAAGGCCAGGACAGCAAGAGCGGGCGGGGACAGGCAGGGCAGGCACTCACAGGAGACAGGAGGTGGAGGGACAGAGAGGAGGACGAGGAATGAGCTGCGGAGAGCAGAGGCACAGTCCAGCTGGGCCCGGACCTGGCTGCCTGAGAAGGGAGCAGCCGAGGAGGGAGGTTTCAGCCTGCTTCAAGGAGGACGGGGGCCAGACCAGGACCCAGACCACACTGCACTGCCCCCCTTTTCACACTGGCACTGATGGCCAGCATCGCTCTGCCTCCTGCCCACTTCCCAGGGGTCCCTGATGCTCACGGACCCCGCAGAACCCCTTCCCCAGACAGAAACTCGGCAGGTGGGAGCTCCGAGGTGAGTTGGCCAAGATGAGGCACCCCCAGCCCAGGGCCCAGGGAGGTGCTGAATGGAGCCCTGAGGACACCCCCAGGGCCACGGTGCGGCCCAGCCTGCCCTGTCAGAGACCCAGAGCACCAAGATCCCCCTTTCCTAGGACCGGCCTAGGCAGAGACCACGAGTACCTACGGTCGCCAGATAGCTGCTGCGTTCCCTGTGCTGACCAATATGTGGGCAGCTGGGAGGACAGAGAGGACCCTGGAAGACCCCACGCCACACAGCCAGGCGGAAGGATACCCTGCTTCCTGCTCCAGGCAGGTGTGGCTCTGAGCACCATGACCTCCAGCATGGGAAAGGGCCGTGCCTGGGGCCCTCGATTCCAGAGCAGATACTGATGAGGGGATGAGTGAGACTCAGCGGGCTGTGAACGCCCAACACCTCTCTCAGGTGGGCTCCTGACCTTGCTCCCTCCACACCCTAATACCCCTGACCTTCCTGCAGCAGCAAGTCAGAAACCAGCAGCACAGGGGCCCCTCCTACTCATCAAATCCATCAGTTCCACCTCAAAAGTCTTCAAGAAGCCCCCCTCAACTGTCCCATCACCACCAGCCACCCTGCCATGGCCCCCACAGCAGACAGAAAGGTCTTAAGGCACCAGTCAGACACATCCCCCCATGCCCTTGGTGACACTCAAGCTCCTTGCAGGGGTGTCCATGCCCCATGTGGCCCTGGGGGTCCAGGCCCTGCCTCCCCAGCACAGTCAAGCTCAGCCTTGTGGCCCATGGGTCCATGGATGCCCCGGGTGTCTCTGTTTCCAATGCAGAAGCCCTACCCTCCATCTCATCTGCGGCCTCAAGCCTCCTCAGAGGCCCCAGAATCCCAGTCACTGTCAGGACCTTCCCCTTGGCCGTCTCGTTCATTCTGACTTTACACATCCTCATGGCACCTCCCTCGCTTTCTGAGTGGCCCTGCTAAGCTGAGACCTCACCAACGCCCTCACTGCAAAATGGCCCAGGCTCGCAACAGGAAAAGGGTCTTGCTGCCCTCCAGGGGCCTGAAAGTCTCCTCAGGCCTCTCTCCGGGGGTAAAGGAAGCCCCTGGTGGCTTTTTGGGCCCTCTCCCCAGCACAACGCCCCCTCTGAAGATGCCCCCCGAGAAGCGAGTACCCCACACCAATGGAGCCCATCAGGGACTTGTTACCCACAGGGCTGCAGGCGGCTCTGCCTGACTTAGGTGTGGGGGCTGGAGCTCCACTGCCCTGGGCCACCCACCCAGGTTATGTCCAGAAGCGCCCATGGAAGCTCACCCTGGCCCTAGTCACGAGAGGACACTGAGGCCCACAGGGCGGGGCCCCTCCCCACAGTCCTGCTGGGTGCTCCGCAGGCAGGGACTCACCAGCATCCCCTTGGGAGGGGGACGGCAATGCCTTCCCTCCCCAGGGCACCCCGGGCTCCTGGACAAGGGTCTCTGCTTGACAGTGGGGGTGGGAAAAGGGGCTGCTACAAACTGAGCAAAGCTAAGTTGTCCAGGAGTGGGGGTGGGGAGAGCCAGAACTTGGGCCGCCAGACAGCACGGCTCTTCCCCGTGGCTGGCGCACCACACTGGGGGAGACATAATGAGACCAGACGGGACAGCCCATGCTGTGGGGCTCTGAGCCAGCCCCTGCCCTCCAGCCCCCACCCACCCCACATTTTCCCAGAGCTAGTGCCCACTGCAAAAATCCCAGGGTTGGAGGGCAGAAGGGCACTGAGGATGAAGAGACTGCCCCCACCCCACTCTGCAGGAAGCCCATGGGGTGGTGCTCGGAGAGGGGGCAGGACCTGGGACCACTCCCACTGTGGGCCAGGTGAGGACACTCAGGCACGGGGTTCCTGAATCCATTGGCGCAGCTCACAGGAAGGAGAGGCTAGAGCTGTCCAGGGCCACCCAGACAGGGTCAGACACTACCTTTCCTACCCCCAAAGACCCATCACCACAGCTGCCTTCCCAAAGCTTAGGGCAATTCCACAGGGGCTGCTGGCAGTGAGCAGAGCCCTGGGCTCTGGGGCCATCCACATGTGCCACTCATGGCACCACAAAGGTGACCCACCAACTTCTGAGCTACCCAGGACCACACCCAGAGGGAGGAGACTTCTGCACCTGAGCTAGAGAAGGGGCCACTCCCTTCCCACTCTTAGCTCTCAGGGTCTCACACTGATCCCCTCCTCACTCTCCCCCACTGCCCTGAAAGGCCAGGTCCAAGGGGGTCTGAGGCAGTGCATAGAGAGGTAAACTGAGGCAGGGGCCAGGCCCATCCCAGGTCACATTGTGAGGCTGTAGCAGGCAGGCCCCATCCTGGCTCTCTCCACAAGGGCTCCCTGCTGAACAAACGCTGTGTGGAACTGACTCTGAGGAGACGCCTTCTGCCATGTTGCCAACTGTGGGCTCAGGCTCCAGCAGCACAGCACAGACTCGAGTGCCCCACAAATCAGACAGGGGCTGGGCTCGAGGAGGAGGCCCAAGCCCCTCGCAACCCCAGGCTCAGATCATCCCATTATGAAGCAACATGGCAGAAATCACAGCAGCCGGCATCTGTGGAGGCTCCCTAGGGGCCAAGCACAGTGGCGAGCACACAGGGCCTTTTGCTCTTCTACCTCCTGGGAGGCAGTGCACCCCCATCTCCTCGCCAGGGCACGTCCTAATAAACAGCCATCTCAACTCAACCAGCTGCACCCTTCTTTCTTAGAGATGCAAAAAATCCACCCAGGGTCTCAGCACATTAGAACGATGAAATATGGTACTTATACCTCATCGCACAGAGGACGACCCTGAGGCAAAGAGATTAAGGAAGTCACCAGGGCCTGGCAGCAAGGGCCTGCAAGGGACTCATCTCCAGCTCAACTGTGTGGACACCAAGCTCCACCACCTACTTCTAGGGCCAGGGTTGGCTTCCATGGGCACCTCCTCACCCACTCTGAGTGGGCAATTCACCTGGGCACCTGCTTAGTTATCACAGCTGATTGATTAAGCAGATCGATTGTTTCATGCTTTTTTGGACTGTCCTCATGCTGGGGGCTGGGAGGACCCAGACACTGTAGCATCACAGACTGCTGCTAACTGCTTTCAAACAGATGGGCAAGATGCAGCCCAGACTGTGCCCCAAAGGTGGGGACTGCTGGGGGTGGGGCCCCGAGGGACATCCAGGTAGAGGTTATACAATGAAAAGGACCCCGGAGGTCTGACACCAAATGCTCCCCCATCTCTACAGCACCCTGTGAGCATCCTCATGGCACTGACCTCGGGCCCCAGGCCACCGGTGGGACATGTGGATCTGGCTGTGGCTCTAGTGCTGGGTGCTCTCCTCTCCCCACTGCCCGTCCCAGTCTGCCTGGCTCGGTGATAGACTTGTTCAGCCAGAAGGGACCTCTAGGGCCCTGAATCCACTGCCCCAGTGGCAGCACCAGCCTCAAGAGAGCTGTGAGCTGGGCCCGGAAGGTGCCCCTCCACTCTGCGAAGAGCCCATGCCAACCAATGCACCCGAAGTGTGAGGTGATGGGGCAGAGCACTGGTGCCTGGCATCTTGGAGCCTGGCGTCTCTGCCCAGTGGAGACACCCTCCAGGGCCGCAGGTCTCACATGCTGGGCAGGCCATGCCCCCACCTGCCCTCTAGGTGCCAGAAATAACCTGACATCAGTTGGGAACCAGAGCGTAGCCCAGGCCTGTCCCTACCAGCCACAGACACACCCAACGCAGAGTGGCTCTCAGGATCTCGGGCCGAGAGACGCCATCCGCAGCCATGCTACAAATACCAAGACAGAGGGGCCCCAGCCCACCAAGAGCACCATGTGGGACCCAAGGGAGTGGCGTGGCCTTGCCAGTCCAGAGGGCACAGAGCTGACCCAGAGTGAAGCCCTCGAGCTGGAGCAACGTTTATCGACCCAGCCCTAGACACCTGCGCTCCCTCCCCAGCCCTGCTCCCCTCCCAGGGACCCTTATCCCAGGCAGTCAGCCTCTCGCCCTGCTCTCTCTGCAGCTCCTGTGCCCACCCACCCTTCCTGTGTTTCCTACCCCTCCTATGCCAGGGGAAATCAGAGCCCCAGGCCCACTCCTGTTGGAATATGGGCAGTGGTCACCAACCCACCTGCCTCCCCAGGTCACCTGGTGCCCCAGACCGCCAGAGGCAGAGGCCCCTGGGGGCTGACCCTGGCCTTGGGTGAGGAGCCCCAGTGCAGAACACAGGAGGCCAGTGCTGGATAGGCCTTCCGCAGAGGCCAGGGTACCTTGAAGCAGACTGAAACCCAGCCCAAGAGAGGCAGCAGCAGAGGCAGACAGAGCGAGGGCTGAGTGTGGCGGGAGGGAGGGAGGAGGCAGGTGCTAACCACAGATTGGTGAGGTGCAAAGACGCATGCTGGGACCCAGGGAAGCCTTTCCAGAGGGGACAAGAGTGGGTGCCCCAATTTCGCTGAAGCTTTGGAGAGAGAGCCAGCAGCTACCAGAAGGTTAAAGGAAAATCAACGAGGGGCCTTCCCAGGGCCGGGCCTGCACAGCTGCTGCATGGGAGAAGCCAATTCTTGCCAAACCAAAAAGATCAAGATGATTCCCAATGAAGCCCTTCACAGACCACCCCGCAATATGGGGGCCAGGTCTCTCTTTGATGACTTTTGTTTGGTTTGGTAGTTTCGTAAAATCTCAAATCCACAAAAGGGGAAAAAAATGTTGGAAGGACCCAGCTCTTTCTGGCTGAGACTGCGAGAGCCCCACCCCACTTCTCCTGATGTCCTCATCCCCCTGTGCGTCCTGATCCCTCACCTACCTGACACCCGGAGCCACTCCTGGGGCCCAGGAGGTGCAGGGGGCCTGGCCCTACGGCCCGGGGCTTTCTGAGAGAGGCCTGCATGGAACTGGCCTTGGGGTCCACTGCTCCCTCTTGGGCCCTGCAGAGTGGGAAGTACAGGCCCAGAGCATCTCGGAGGGAGAGTGCCACAGGTTTTTATCTGGTAGGCCAGCTTATCTCACCTCACAGCCTAGTAACACTCATGAAAAATTAATCAGAATAAATCCATGGCACCTGCCCATGAGGACCTGCTGTCTTCCAAGAGGGAGGGTGAGGCTTTCCTTCCACCATCTCCACCCAAGGACAGAGTAAAGCCCGTGTAAACCCTGCGATCTGGGGCCACCCTTAGCCTTCAGCTGTCAGCACTGCTGCTCCAAGCTCCAGACTTTTGAAAACTTCCACTGGCCTAGCCCAGGGAAGCAATCTTAATCGCCAAAAAAAGGTTGCTATTAAGAATTATCTTATGACATTCATATATGTAAAATATATAAATTCAGCTGTTTCGTGAGCTGACCTTCTGACTACTACAGCCAGGTTTCTAGATCTTTCCTTCACCTGACTTCCCTTCCATGATAACAGAAAGGCAGCTGGATTTGCCAAATCTGCCAGCAGGGTGGGACGTCTGCTCCCTGGGTCTGGGCTTCCCCAGCCTCCATTCTGTCTCCCAACCGTGGCTTCTCATCCATTTGGGCAACGTGATAACCAGCTTCTCTCTGCAAAGGGCACATTCCATGAGGGCATTGGGCCACATGCCGCCATCTCTGGCCATGACAACCGAGGAGGTCAGGAGGGATGGAGTAGTCCTCACCTTTAGACAGGCATGTTTTGCCCAGGCCCCATCATTTCAGAGGGAGATGGGAGGGTTAGCAGCTGCCTCCCACTCCTAAAAGTGGCCTCAGGATGGCTGCCTCTGAGTTCAGCTCCTTTCCCCAAAGAGAGTGGAGAGCACTGAGAGCAGCCGGGAGCCTCTGTCTCTTCTGGATGACAGCTGAGCTGGGGTGAGGCTGCCTCCGCTAGGACAGTGTTGATTCCCAGGAGAATGACAGGACGGGCATCCTGCTTGGGGGCGGCTGGCCCTCACCTATCAAATGCCCCTTGGGCCCTGCACTGGGACTTTCAGGGAGGAACTCGGCCATTGGGTGCCTGAGCCACTCCGGGGTTCCTACGGCCTCTCTGCAGAAATAGTCCCACCTGCCTGGGGCCACAGCTGCAAGCTCCGGGGTGCACTACCTCTTCTGTACCTGGAACCCAGACTCTTCCCTGCCGGCCCAAAGCGACCGTCTCCAGGATGGGTGAGCAGCCCCACTGCAAGGATGCAGGGCCCGGGGGCCCTCGGGTGCTCTCCTCAGGAGGCCAGCCCCTCCACCTGCCTCGCCTGCCCTGGGAGGGCCCGGGCCAGGCCCCAGCGGTTCCTCTGTGCCCGCAGCAGTGCTCCTGTGCAAAAGAGCTGGGTCCTCCCCAGCATGCTCTCCTCGACCTCACCAACCTTCCTACTAAACTGAACAGGGGGGGCCGGTCGTAAAACGGGTCCCGGCCGTCGCACAGCGCGTGCTCCGGAAAGACGTCGTCCTCCAGGTCCTCCTCCTCCTCATCCTCCTCCTCCTCCTCCTCCTCCTCCTCCTCCCCCACGCTCTGCTCCTCGGCAGGCTCGGTGGCGTCGGAGTCGGGGCTCGAGAAGGTGGGGGAGGGGGTGAGAGCAGCCATGCGCTCGCTCATGCATGTGTTGAGAAGAGGGTAGCTGTTGCAGCCAGAGATGGCTGAACTGAGGTTAGTGCGACAAGACAGAGAGAAGTTAACACCAGCGACTCGCAGGGACGAACAGGGGCCGGGGCCGGGGCTGGGGGGCTTCTGTTTAAAACCAAAACCAAACACACAGACCATCGAGAATGCTGCTTTAAAAGATGAGAGAACCAAAACTGTGCCCCCAGGCTTGGAAAGAAATCACATGTATGGCCAGCAGGAAGGTTCCGGAAGGTTCCGGAGGACACCTGCAGGTGGGACTGAGAACAGGGGTCTCGGCTGGGAGTGGCTGAGGCCATATGAGGACCTCGAGAGTTTGGCCACGTTGAGGCCTCAGAATACCACGGTCCCATGGGGTGAAGGGGGCTGGGTGCAGACCCCAGACTGGAGACCGGGGAAGGAGGCAGCCATTTGTAAGGCTCAGGTGACACAGCCCTGCCTCCATGTTCCCACCCTCAGGACCAACAGGTGACCTGGAAAGTTTGCTTGGGAGCCTCACATATTCATACACATGGACCCATGGGTTCTGGCGGCTACAGCCCTGCAGTGGGTTTGGGTGGCAGTGCCAAGACCCCATCCCACGTCCCCTGAAATAACAGGCCCTGTGGTGTGTGGAGAGGAATGGCTGGGAGGAACCTCAGGCCAGGGAGGACAGGGCTGGGAATATGGGGCTGGAAAAGCACTTGTCAGGGCCGCTCCTTGTATCAGGCCAGGGCCCACTCCTACCCCCACTGCCATCTCTCTCTCTCAATCTCTCTCTCTGCCAAGGAAGGGAGGAGGCGCCCACCTGCCCACCAGCCGGAACCAGGGGAAGCGGTCATAGAAGGGGTCTCCGCCGGTCACCACGTTGTCACAGTCCTCGATGACACTGGAGGGCACCTCTGCAGCGCGGTCGTACATCTCCCGCATCAGGTCCAGACGCTGCCTGCAGGGACGGCAGGGGTCAATGTGGACCCAGGCCCAGCGCTCAGCAGCTGGCACCGCACACCCTTATCTCCTGGGGACAGTGGGCTCAGCCTAGCTCTGGCCACCACATCCAGCTCAGGGTCATCAAGGTCCAGGGGGCTTGCTAGACAGACCCCCTCTGTGACCCTTAGAGCTGGTCAGTCACAAGTAACGTACTCAGCTAAGCACGCAAGGTCACCAACAGCTCCTCCCAAACTCCCTCCAGGGGGTGGGCTGGGGAACAAGCAGTGAGGGGCTAGAGGGGCTGGCGGCACTGGGCTGCTGGAAAGCTGGCGGAGAGGTGGGAAGAGAACCCAAGTGAAGCTCAGAAACGGGGATCAGGCCACAGAGGCGCAAGAGCTCGAGGAATAAAGGGCAAACTGGGGGTAGGGACACAGAAGACAGAGAAAATAGCCTACAAATTATTATTCCCAAGAAAAACTTAATGTAGGACAAAGGAAAAGCAATCATTGTGCCCCTAGATCTCAGGTATAAGAGAAACCACATCAACAGTGGCTGTCCGTCCTTCCAAGCCACGTAACCTGGGAGAACAGGGCAGAAGAGTGAGGAGGGTGAGTGTGGGAGTGTATGCTGTGTATATGTGCACATCTTCATGAATGCTTATGAGTGTGTGTGTGTGTGTGTGTGTGTTTGCATGAATGTGTATGTGTGTATGAATGCATTAATCATATTTTTATTTTCTGTATCTTGTGATGTTTTGACTTCCTTGGGGGGCACTGCAGGCTGGGGAGGGCTGCCCAGGTCCTGATAATTCCTAGAGACAGTCAGCAACTTGCCATCACCCCTGCCTTTCCTACACAAACCAACCAATCCCAAGTCTGTACCCCAGCCACCTCCTTTCTCTAACTTTTTCACACACCAGGCCAATATTCCCCCTGGCCTAAATCACCCAGGACAAGGTACCAGACAACTAGGGACAGCCCTATGCCCCAGAGCCCTGCAGAATTATTCAAACTAGCCAAGCCTAAGCTGTCTCCCTGCTCTGCCTGGCCTTTCCCACAACCCCAGGCTGTGGCCTGGGCCTTCCCCTACTCCTACTCCTCTCTGCCTGGTGCCTCCCCCTGTAGCCCTGCAGGGTGGGGCGTGCCATGCTCTGCTTCCCAGGGGCCTGTGAGTGACATTCAACTCCCCCACTGATGGCGCTGACCTCACATGGTGACTCAGTCACCCCCGTAACTTGAGGCCTGGCTGGGTGCAGTGGCTTGCACCTATAACGCTAGTACTTTGGGAGGCCAGGGTGCAAGGATTGGCTGAGGCCAGGAGTTAGAGATCAGCCTGTGCAACAGAGCGAGACCTCATCTCTACCACAAAAAAAATTCAAAAATTAGCTGGGTGTCATAGTGCACTCCATTCCTGTGGTCCCAGCTACTTGGGAGGCTGAGGTGGAACAATCACTTGAGCCCAGGAGTTTGAGCTGCAGCGAGCCATGATCACACCACTGCACTCTAGCCTGAGCAACAGAGCAAGGCCCTGTCTCTTAAAGAAAAAAAAAAAAAAATTAAGGGCTCAAGACAAATCAGCGTGAGCATGTGGGGACAGCAGAGGCCGAGCTTTAGGAAGGACACCAGCTCACGTTGGGCACAGAGGGGCACAGCCCAGGCTTCCTCCTCACCACCCCCACCTCAGCTCCTCCTCCACCTTCCACTGGGCTCAGCTAAGGGATCCACCTCCCGGCAGCTTCCTGAATGGAGGAGCAAGGGGGCATTCCTTCCATCCCCCACCACCTCTCCCAGTCCCTCTGGGGAGCCACCCTTCAGGCCCTGCTGTACCCGCTCTTGGCGCTCCGCCAGCCTGTTCTGTCGGTGCCACAGCCTGCCCTCCCCTCCACTGCACCGTCCTGACCCCTGTGGGCCTAGGGAGCATTCCCCTCATCTGTCCTTTCCTCCGAAAGAAAATGTCCAAATCTATTTTTATGTATGATTGCTGCATTGGTAGAAAGAGAATGAGGATTCTACAAGGCTGGACTCTATTCACATTTTTCTTCTGATTTTAAAATAATTGGAACAGGAGGAACAGCGGTGTCTGCAGGTACTCGCTGTGAAGCCTGTGCCTACCACCGCTCCTGTGGCTTCAGCCCTGCCCAGGAGGACCCTCCCACCATCCACCCAGCGGCCCTCCAGCCCCACCTGAGCTTCTCCAGCGTCCAGTAGTGGGTGGCCCCGTTCTTCTGGTCCTGGACCTCCACGGCCACAATGGTGCGGGGGAAGGGCCGCGTCTCTCGGTCTTTGGCGGCCTCTGGGGGCAGCAGGTCGGGTGGCAGAGGGGAGTAGAGTGTGTCCGTCAGGAGGACAAACTGGAATTGTACCTGTGACAGGGGAAGATGACCACTCGTCAGCTCCTTGGGGGACAGGGTGCCAGGTCCCCAAAAAGGCTTCCTTCCCACCTTCTGGAGATTTCAGCTGCCTGCCCCACAATGGTTCACTGGAACCTTTCAGACAGCCGCCAGGGGGGACCACCTACTTCCTGCCTGCCCACCCGGCCGCCGTCTCCCGTGAGCAGCCAAGTCCCACCTGGCCAGGTCTGGGCTCCCTCACTGCCCACCCTTCTGGGGGGCCAGGTCAGGCAGGGCTGCTATGCCACCCCCGGGGCCGGCAGAGAGCCAAGTGCTGAGTCCCAAGTAGCTGTCCCCGTCATGAGTGAGGTGACACACTCTCTCCAACAGGAAACGGTACAGCCAGTGGGCAGCCCACCTTCTTTTTCAGCTCCACGCTGATGGCATTGGCCTCCTTGAGGAAGATGGCGTTGCCCCACAGCAGGTCCCGCAGAGACGTGAACTGGTACCACTTCCACTTCCGGAAGGCCCAGAGCGCCAGCTCACACTCCCGCTCTGTCCACTGGACTGTGGGGAGAGGTCACACGTGGTCATCGCAGGAAGGCCATGACCCTGCCCACCATGCCCCGCCCTCTGGAAGGTCAGGCTGGTCGGCCACTCCATGGGGCTGCCTAAGCTGACCCTGTGCTCTGTGTACATCACGGCCGGGTGGTTATCAGGTAACAAGATGGAAGGCTGGAAGGTTACTCCCCCTGTGGTCACTGAGGCCAGAGGTGGACAGGCCCCTCTCTCCCCAGGCTTCCTCTCACTCTGGGTCTGGGCTGGGAGAGCTCTGTGCTTGCCCCCCACCCCGTTTCACACTAACTATTTGGGTACACAGAAAGAAGAAACCGGCAGAGAGCTCTGTCACAGTGAGCAACATGAAAAGCTCTGCATGCCCCAAAGGAGAGGCCGCCACGAGCAGCCTTGTGAGTCAGGCTGAAGATCAGAGTGGCTGGGGGAGCAACACCGTCAATGACAGCCACACACCATCTGGGGCCAGCAGTGGGGAGCAGGGCCCACAGGAGAGGAGGCAGGAGGGCAGGCCAGGTGCTCCCAGGTGGCCCTGGCCCGTACACTCTCTCCCCGACCCATGCCCTGTCTGTCCACTGGGCCCTTGAGAGAAGGACAAGCAGGGACACAAGGAGGGACTTGTCCTTGTGCTGAGACCCCACCCCTCCTCCCAACACAGCACTACACGCCTTTGGCTGCCCCCAATCTGGCACGCCTGAGCTTTGCTGTGGGAGGGAGCTTCGCTGGGTAAATGAGGCCAAACAGGGGAAGATACCAAGGTCATGCCAGCACAAAGCTGCTGACCACCTGGCCAGAGGCTGAGATGGGTGCAAACCCCTCCCCACCTGCATGTGGGCCACCTCTGCCCACAGCTGCGGGAGGTCAGCTGGGTTGGCCCCCGGAGCACATGCTCACTGAGGGAATCCTGAGGTGATGTGCACAGTGGACTCTTCCTCGGGGGCCCCATGAGCCTTGTGGTCAGCAGGATGGGAAGAGTGGACGCATGAGCATGGTGAGCCCCTACCAGCCCCATTCCCCATCATCATCCAGCCACTCCTGTTAGAGGCAGCATGTGTGTGCACGTGTGTACATGTGTGCACGTGAATGTGTGCATGTGTGTACACACGCCAGTGCGTGAGTGTGCAGAGCTGCTTGCCAGCTGTGGCACAGTATCCCCCCTCCCCCAATGCTGCTTCCACGGTGCTTCCCAGGGCAAGGAGGTCTTTCCCTAAAGAGACAGGTCCAGACCCCAGGGCAAAAGTGCTGACCAGTGACCTCCAGGGAGAGGCCCAGGGCTGCCCACCTCCATGCTGAGACCCTCCTGACGCAGCAGGTGCTGGCCCAGTGACCCCTCACCTTCATCCTCGGGCTCCTCCTCCTCCTCGTTCACCTCCGGGTAGTACCTGGAGTCCATCTGCTTCTGCAGAGCCTCCAGCTTGCTCTCATAGTCCTGCAGAAAGCAAGGCCTGTGACTCCACTACGGCCCTACCTGCCTGGGCCTCTCACACTGCGCCTAGACAGTGGGCCTCACCACATCCCACTGTTTAGATGCAAGAGATGGGGCCAGGCAAGCAGGGAGGAGTGGGGGCGTGGGAGGACAGGGGTCCCCTGGTGTGGGTGGGGGCTGGGCAGGGAGGGCGGGGCCACGTCACTCACCAGCCGCTGCTGCTCCAGCAGGTAGGTGGCCTCCTCCCGCTCGCGGCGGTACTGGTCCTCCAGTTCCTGGAGCCTGCAAGGGGGCATTGGGGTGAGCACGGGAGGGCAGGAGGGGCAGCAGGCAGTTGGGGGTGGCCTCCGCCTCACCTCTGCTCCATCTCCTGCTTCATGTCGATGCCCTGCTTCTCCAGCAGCTCACGCTGGGCGAAGGCCCAGTCCACAGGCTCAGCTGGCGTCTCCGCACAAGGCGTGCGCTCACGCTCCTGCCGGGCCTGCTCGGGGTGGTTGAACCGGAACACATGGCTCTTACCCATGATGATGCGGTTTCCTGGGGAACAGAGGGACAGGTGGCCTTGAGGGATGGGGATCTTCAGGTCCCTGATGGTCTCAAGCGGGGAGGCGTGAGGAGAAAGGGGAACGGGTGCAGGCACCCCACCATCCCCAGCTCCCAGCCACTCCTTCTTCAGCCCTCGCTGGGACCTGAATGTGTCTCCTCACTCTCCCCATAAATCCACCCTTGGCCACTCTCCACTCAGCATCCAGTGACATTTGCAAACCACAGATCTGGGGCTTCTGCTGTGCTCCAGTGTCCCCGCCCCTCCCCAGGCCAGCCTTGTACTTGCCTCCTGCCCCCAAGCCCCTGTGCACACATGGGAGCCAGGACCCTCCTTCTCACATCCAGTCTGGGGCCGGTGCCCCCAGAGCTGGACTTGGGCCCTCCACAGAGCACTGCTGCAGGGCACAGGACCTTTCCTTTCCATCTGTCTCCCCGACTAGACTGGAAGCAGGGCTGGGGCAGGTCCCCTGTGCCCAGGGCTGGGGTCCAGGGTCCGGAGTCCAGAGACCACAAGAAGGAAGCAGGGACGGCCACTAGCAGGCACAGGTGGCTGCAGAGCCTCAGCATCAGGGCCACCGAGGCATGGGCATCAGTCCAGCCCCTCCCACCCCAGCACCCGGCTGGACCCCCCTCAGGGCTGCCCCATCTGCAGGGCCCTCCAGGGCAGCACTCACTGTCTTGGGACAGTCCTGCCTGCAGGGGCTCTCTTTGGATGGCCTAGTTTTCCTCTGACTTTCCCTAGTAGCTGCAGCTCTGTCTTGGGGCCCCATAGAGCCGGCTCTGCCCTGCCTCCCACCCAGGTGGCCCGTGCCTGCAGGTCTGTCCCCCCTCAGCACCTCCTTGCTGGCTGCTCTCAGCTGGCCACTTCCTCTGTCCTCCCTGTCCACAGGCCGTATGCAGCCCACCTCGGACACTGGGAGGGAAACCCCAAGCTAAGGCCTCTCTTAGCCTAGGCCCTGCCCTGAGCCCCACAGGCACCAGGGCCAACCCCAAAACAAGCAGGGAGAATGGGCACAGCTGTCTCTCTGTCCGTCTGACCAGCTGTCGCCCAGGCTTAGCCACACCGACTCCCCATTACAAGGCCACCCCACGAATTCAGGACATTCAGTGTGTCCTGCCCTCCTGCCCAGGGACCCCACAGGCAGGACTCCTGAGTCCCGAAGACTCCTCCGAAAGCCTTCGGGGGTGGGCAGATGGGCTAGAAGTGGGGCCACTGGGTGTCACCTGCCCCTCCTCACCCCCTCTGCTTTCCCCTAAGACAGGGTTAGGAAAGGGTCTCCCCTGTTCCAAGCCAATGGTCACTTTTATGTCAGCCTGGCCAGGCCACAGCACCCAGTGATTCAGCCACACCCTCCCTGGGTGTTGTGTGGAGGTTTCTGCACATGTGCTCCACACCTGCAATCAGCTGATGGAAATCAAGGAGGCCCCCAACGGTGGGGTGGGCCTCATCCAAGCAGGTGAAGACCTAAGAGCAAACTGGGGCTTCCTCTGAGGAAGAAGAAACCCAGCGGATGGAGTCCACTCCTGCCAAGTTCCCACCCTGCCCCGAGTTCCCAGCCTGCCCCGAGTTCCCAGCCTGCCCTGAGTTCCCAGACTGCCACCTGCCCATGGATTTCAAACTTCGCTGACCAGCCCCACCATCTGATAAGCCAATTCCTTGAAATAAATCTCTTTATACCTAGACATGGTTGTACGTTATCTCACTACATCTCGGTACATGTCTACAGCCATGTCTGTGCATCAGGCTGCTGCTGTTTCTCTGGCAGAACCCTAACTGCGTGGGCAATAGTCACACACCACTCAAGAGGGCCCCCTGTCTGACTGTCTGACTTCTCTAAAGAAGGGACTTTATGCCACGTGTGCCTGCACGTGTTTGAACATCACAGACACTGCAGTGTCTGGGAACAGAGCCCAACCCCACCCGGGGTGCTGCATTCAGAGACTGGAGCAGCCCACCCCACTGAGCTCCACAACACCTCAGCTCTGGGAAGCCCTTGTCCACTGCCCTGTATCCCCCAGACCAGCCCGACAGGGCAGAGTCCTGGGCCAGGAGGCAGGAGCTTCTTCCTAGGCAGGCACACCCTGGCTCCTCACTCAGCCCACAGCACGGACTCAGTGTCTCGGGGCCCCTGTGTTGTGTGAATGGGGCCTGTAGTGCTGTGTTCCTGGAGTTGGGGGACTGGGGAGGCACATGAGCTGCTTGGATACCCGCAGCCCCCTCCCCTACCTGCCCAGCGGCCCTTAAGAGCTGCCATCCCGCACAGTGCACAGGAGGCGGTGGCTTGGACATGGGAACAGAGGCCTCGCCTCATGCCTCTGCCTACCTGACTGGCCCCCGGAGTCCCCAGCCATACCTGAACGCAGGATGCTGGGCTCTGTGACTTTCTTGCCATTGACGTAGGTGTCTGCCCCCTCACAGGGCTCCAAGGTCACCACAGCTACAGGAAAGGTGGGAGGGGCAGAGAGGAGGACTATGAGGGGCTGTCACCTACAGCAGCTCGGCTTACCTGGCCCCCGGGCATGGCCTCTTCCAAGCCTCTCGCCTCTCTTTTCCCTGCTACACAGGCCGTGACCATTGGCAACACTCATTTGGGCCTCAGAGGAGCTTAGGGGTCTCACCCCACTTAACAGAGGAAGAAAGTGACCCCCAGAAGGAGGATGCATGTGCCCACGTTGAAGCCAAGAGGCTGTGCTGGGCCTAATCACCCAGGGCCCTGTCCAGCTCCCCAGGTGGACAAGGATAAAAACACCAGCTAATGGGGCCTGGGCCGTCCCACAGGAGAGGGTAGGCAGGGCTTTGCAGTCAGAGAATTCCAGGAGAGCCAATCGTCCCAACACCACTTAGGGCCATCACCCTGAGGTGGCCAAGTTGGACAGTGGGTGTCAGTCACAGGTCTGCAGGCCAGAGGCTGGCTGGATGCTGCCGGGAGATGCCCTTAGCCTGGGCTGTGGGCCATGTGACGGCACACTGACACCACAGGCCCATCCCCAAGTTGGGCAGCACCAGGCAATGGGGACAGCCCCACGTCATCTCCAGGAGGGAGACCACTGGGCAGGCAGGGGAAACGGACAGATGGCCGCCCACAGCCAACAGGAAACCAAGGTCTGGAAATAGTTTTCCACCCTAGATCTGGGCTCAATCCTCATGGCTCACTGTCCTCCCGCCATGAACATCCTCCACCCTGGGCCCCAACACGCTTCCCGGCCAGCAGCCCACCTGTGCCCCCACCTCCAGCCCTCAAGGAGGCTCAGCTCCCTAAGGCAGCAGCTACCCCTGGCCACAGAAAGTACCAGGCATTTTCCCAAGCACCAACCTAATGGAAGTTGTTTTTAAGGCTGGCCCCAAATATCTCTCTCTCTCTCCAAATCTCTCTCTCTCTCTCTCTCTCTCTCTCACACACACACACACACACACACACACACACACACACGTCCTGCCTAGAAGTATGACTCGCGACCCACTTAGTGCTGGGTAAGCTGGGAGAGGGTGACCTCATTCAGGCCTGATCATCACGGCACAGGGGCATGGGTGCGGGTAGGGACGGTAGGGTGGTGATACCTTCGCTGCCTCCCCTGGAGTCGCTCCGGAAGACGCAGTGCTCCTCCTTGATGAAGTGCCCACTCAGAACAATGTCCTGCCGCCTCTCGCCATCCTCCCTGCCCACTCTGCGGGGTGGGGGCACCATCAGCACGGCAGCTGGGACCCAATACACCCAGGACGCCACCCACTGGCCTCCAGGGACGCCCAACCAGGATTGTTTGGGAAACACCCAGCGCAGACATCAGTGGGGTCGCTGGGGAAGTCCAAACTCAGTGGCCCCTCTGCAGAAGCAGGAATGGGGAGTCCAGCCTTCCCCTGCCAGATCCCAGGGCCTGGCCAGGCTGGAGTGGCTGCCAGGTCCCCTCTCACCTGGTGATCCCATCCTTGATGTAGTAGAGCAGGCACTCAGACATCAGCGGGTCCTCGTTCAGGTTGACGAGGTGTGGTGTCTGCAGGGAGACAGGAGGATCATCTCTCTTGCAGAGGGGCAGGAGCCTGATGCTGGCCACACCCCCCTCCAACCTCTCTCCAGGCACCAGACTACCACCAGGGTCCCTGCCCCCGCACTTGGCTGGTGCCACCAGGCTGGTCACTCCAAGCCAGGAAAATGAGGAACACAGAAAGCTCAAGCCGAAGGCCCAGCCCACCAACAGCAGCAGGCCGGTGGGACCCGACCACCCGCATACACCCAAGCCTGGCACAGCAGCCCCAGCACTGCAGCAGAAGCTGAGCTTCCAGAAGGGCAGACAGCCCCAGCTCTCAGCATGTGGGGGCCCTGGGGCCCTCTGAGGCTGGGGTGAGCCCCCAGATGTGCAGACCACAGGCTTTGTCCCATGGGGTCCTGGGTTCCCAGCTTTGGACTGTAAAATGGGGTTCTAGGACCCCATTCCAGCTCAGACAGCCCAGAAACCATGGGTTCACCAGTGGGAGCCAAGAGCCAAGAAGGATCAGGACACTGACCATGGAGGGCTCAGCCCTGGAGTCTGGGGAGTGAAGCAGTTGTGAAGGGATCCTTGATGAGCCACCTGAGGCACCCCCATGCAGAGAGGTGGAGACCTCGTCACTGGACGAAGGGGACAGACCATCCCCAGCTGTCCCTGCCCCCTGAGTGGGGAAGATGTCCAGCCAGGAGGGGCTGTGCCCACAGCTTTGGGGCTGAGTAGGGGCTACAGCCTTGGGACCCCACTGGCCTGTGCACGTCTCGTGATTCCCAAGAACACTGAACTTCTCAAGAAGGGGGTCCCCAGTGGTCCCACTTCTGGGCAGTGCCCAGACCCAGGGCAACCAATAAAGCTGCACCCCTGGAGTTCCACCCTATCCCTCCAGGAAGGGGATGGGGTCTGAAACAGTGCAGGGAACAATCCATTCCAGACCAAACCAAAGGCCTGTCTAGAAGACGTGTATAGTGAAGCCCCATTAGGACACTGCCTGTCCCGGCCCTGCCTGGGACTGGAATCTCCCTACAGCTCTTCTCAGGCCCTTCCTGTCTCCGGACCTCAGCGCGTGCTGGGCCGGCGGCCTGGAGCACAGCCCTGCCCAGCCCCTCCCAAGCTATGGACACACAGGTGTCTGTCCCCATGTCCTGGCCATCTTTGGGGTGGGTGTGTGGGGGTTGGGGACTAGAACCACAAGAAAGACTTTTTCCCAAGTGTGTGTGTCATGCCCCACCTGGGCTGCTGTGCCATGCCCCACCTGGGCTGCTGGATGGGGGCACAGGAGTCATATACACTCTGAAGCAGCTGCCCAGGGGTTCTGTGCCATGTGAGGGCCTCCAGCTGAAAGACCCCTTAGGCCTGGCCTGGTGGGAAAAGAGGGGTCCCCACTGGAACAGTCAGACCTGACTCTAGCTGAGTTCCAAGAAGGCAGCTGGCACCCAGCTCTGTGAGCAGCCCAGGCTCCAGGGCAGGTCCAGGCCCCTCGTGTCTCAGTCTCCAGCCTGGGTGTTGGCTCCTCAGCCTTGCTCTGACCTTGGAGAGCCCAGTCCACACTCCAGGCCACTAAGAGACCCATCTGATGTCCCAAAGCCACCAGCATGCCCCACCATGAGAATGTGGGGACAGAATTCTCCACAAAAAGCAAAGTGTGACTATGGGTGAGCTTCACAGCCCCAGTGCCTGGGCCAGAGCCCCACCGTGCTCCCCTACTTCCAGGAGCCCCCTCTGGCTCTACCTGAGACAGCACCTCACCTGGTCCTGTTCAGATGAGGGCAGTACCACAGAACTGAGATAGCTCCTACCTTTTTGGGAGAGAATACGCCCAAGGTGCCGCCATCCTCCCTCATGGCCACACCCATCTCGGCCAGCAGGGCTTCCCTGGGGGAACAGAGCTGAGGTCAGCACAAGCTCCACAAGGCTTCCAGCACTGGCCTCAGCCCTGGCTGACCAATGGGGGCAGCGGGCCTGTGGCCACCGTGGCCTGGGTGGTGCCCATGCGTGTCCCATCTGGTCACTGGGTTAGGGCATCTGCTGATGGGACTGGCCCCTCTGCACCATGGTCAGGGATCAGGTCTATCAGGCCTCAGGTCTCTCAGGCCTTGGTGGCTAGCAGCCAGCAGTACACAAGGTGGGGGTCATTGGCGATGAGGGAACAGGTTTGCCCTGGGCTGGGATGTGGCCACCCCATGGTGCAGGTGCCCAGCACTGGAGGGCAGGGCTCAGTGCTCATCCTGCCCAGGCTCCGGGCTTGCTGGCTGCACCCCTCCCCCTGGGCCTCAGTTTCCCCGCTGCACACCTCTCCATCCGGATGGCTTCTGTCCGCCGCAGCTTCTCCTCCCAGGTCTCATTGAGCTCAGCTATGATCTTCTCTGTTTCCTGGGGATTGAGGCAGAGCACAGTGAGCTGCCGGGGCTAGGGCCAAGGGAGAGGACAATGGAGACACGGGTGCCAGGAGAAGGAGCTGCAAAGCACAAGCGCCATATTCCTGGGCCCGACAAGGCAACGAGGCATCCAGAAGACCAAGGTAAAGCTCAGAGAATGTCTGTCTTTCCCTTAGACACACTCAGGAGAATGGAGAAAACGCAAAACAAATCTGGAAGGAAAAGAGAAGCAAATGCTCCTGGGAGATTCTGAGCCTCGGCTCCTAAAGCACAGCCATCCTCGCTGCTGCCAAGAGGCCCAGGTGCTCAGCCCTCTTCAGGACATGGACGACACTGCCCAACATCAGCCTGGTCTCTCCTTTTTCTTCCCACCCACAGCCCAGTGGGACCCCAACACCCCAGAAGGGCTCTCTGCTCCAGGGTCACAGGCCCAACCTCGCCCCCATCCCCTTCCTCACAACAGCCTCAGTGGGGCCTCTGCCTTTTCCCCTCAGCCCCTCAGTCTCCAGGCGTGTGGCTCACCTGCCCCTGCACAGCCATTCACTGAGGGGCATGTGTCTAGAAACCTAAAATGATCCCGGCCCATTGCTGGGCACCAGGGAGCACACTGTGCCTTTGAGCGGTGGGAGGTGGTGACTATTCCCAGGCAGGTGTGCAGGTGTGAACACAGGATGGCCTGGAGGGAGCTCAGGAACCTGCACCACACTCACTGCCCTTCTCAGGGGGTATAATTCTATAGGACGCCAGGGAGGAAGCTGCTGTGACCTGGGACTGTCGTCAGTGGAGGGGATGCTGCGGGGTGGGGAGGGACGAGACTCCTCTCCACCCACAGATGCCATCCAGCTCACTGCTCCTTGAACAAGCACCCACTCACACAATTAAAGACTCGACAGGAAGAGTCTCAGTCCTGGACATTCATTCTTGGAGCTTCCCTTGTCCAGGCTTGGCATGGGTAGGGGCACAGGCCATCCAGACACCCAGGTCTAGGGTCCTGCAGGCGCATTTCCTGCCCAGCAGCTGAGTGTTGTGCAGCCCACAGCCTGGGGACCCCCAAGTGAACTGGCTGCCTTGGCTGCTGTGGGTGGTCTGGAGATAGACCACTGGGCACCTGGGTGGCCACACGCCAGAGGCTCCTGCTGATGCTCCACAATGGCCCTATGAGGATGGGCTGTACCCAGGAGGGCAGGGTGCCTCTCTAACTCCTCCGAGCTCCCCACTCCCAGAGTCTGACACCCTGAAGCCCCAGGTGGTGCCCTCACCTTCAGTCTTTCAATGGCCTCCTCGCTGCCCGGGGCAAACAAGATGCGCTCGTGGAGGCTGGACACGGAGGCCGCGCGGCTGGACAGGGCTGAGAGCGAGGATGAGGGGCTCATACCCACCAGGGCATTGGTCACTGTGGAGAGAGGGTCAGGGGCTTCATTCACCGTCCCGCCACGGTTAAGGTTATTGTTCTCAAGGTCGGACACGTCTATGGGGAGGAGGGGTAGGGCGGGCAGACAGACAGAGGGAGGGAGAGAAAAAAGATGAAGATGGGAAAAAGTAAGAGATGGGGCCCAGAGAAGGCAAGAAACAGAAACCATCAACGAGGCACAGCAGCCCTGCCAGGCCCAGGACAAGCGCATGCAAGGCCTTCCTGCCACCCCTTGCCTACGATGGGACGGGGCCAGCAGTGGCGCGCACTTGCCCGCCTGCCCCCCAGGCCTGCCCTCCCCAGCAGCAGCATGGCACAGACCTAGGCACTCTGGAGCTCCCCTGCACCCCCTGCGCCAGGCTTCTTGCTTTCCCACAGCTGCACTCCAGGCCCCACTGCCAGGCCACCCTACAGCCCCCACACCTGAGGGCTGGGAGCCAGTCCTCCCTGCATCTTCCCACCCTGTCCACTGGCTTGGCGTGGTCACCCAGCAGCGCCCCGTGCAGACCCCCACGCTTGTCCTCCCACCCCTCACATCCACCGTCAGCCTGGGACACCACACACCCCCGAGCTGTGGGGCCAGGCTGTGCTAACCTTCAGCCCACTGACATGGAAATTGGCCCAGAGACCATCCTGGAGGAGGTGAACATGGGACCCTCATGAGGGAGGCCCTTCCCCTCCACCACGAGGAGCTCACCCACCAGCCTAGGCCTCATGCATCCCTAAGGCCCGGGAGGTGGGGCTGTGACATCTCTGAAGTGGGTGGTGCCAGGGGTCTCCTAGCGGAAGCGAACACACAGCAGAGCAGCAGCAAGCACGGGACCACACGGGGTGTGGGGGAAGTGGAGGGCGCCCTGCAGCCAAGCTCGGGGAGGCACTGAGCCCCATGGAGCCAGACCCGAGGCCAGGAGGCACAAAGGTTGGGTGGGATTTGGCAGTATCCGCTGTGAAAGCTGAGCTTCTGGCATTTCCAGAGTTGAGGGCCTGGGCGTGGGGGGTCAGGTCAGCTGGAGAAATGGCATTGCAGATGGAGGCCTGAGCCAAGAGCTGGGGACAGGACAGTCCCTCCAGCCCTCCTGGCCCTTTGGTGCTGATATCCTGACCTTCGCAGGCCTTTGGGTGCACAGGGGGTCAGAGGACCTGATCTCGGCCATGTTTAGCCTGAGAAGGCCTCAGCGACACCCTGACTCCCCCGTTGCTTTGGTTTCTCATGTAGACCATATGGGTGGGAAGGAGCCAGGAGTGTGGGCTCAGAGGCAGACAGAATCCCACATCTACGAGCAGGGCCCTGTGGCTGAGGGAGAGCAGTGCTTTCTGCCCCCCAAAAAGGAGAAGAAAGCAGAGCAGGTACCCTGGGGTTCACCCCTCCCTGACCATGCCACCCTAGGCCCTCATGCTGGCTGGGGCTGGAAGCAGAGATGCAGAGAGCAGCAAAGGGAATACACACATTTGGGTCCTCCAGGCACAGTGTTGGCTATGGGGGAGGGAAGCGTGGGGGAGGGGGAGAGACAGAGAAACAGAAGAACAGGTTTGTCTCCAGAGGGTCAGGCACGCCTTTCACAGGCCAGGGTGGCCAGCAGTGGGTGTGTGGCCACAAGCAGGGTGGTGAAGGTCTTCAGCTCCAGAACGCGGGGGACCTCGGTGACCCCAGCACCCACAGCCTGCCTATGGGGCTTCCAGGGGAGCCGTCTCTGGCCCACTTGCATCAGCATTGAACCCAAACCATGTGGTACCATCCAGGCCAAGGCCAGGAAACTTGCCCTTGTCCAGGGCCCCCGCCCGGCCTCCCACCCAGAGGCATTTCTGCCCAGGAACGTGGAGCAGGGACAGGGATTTGGCCCAGAGGGGCTCTGGGAGCGGTGTGGAGCTGCCACAGCCCAGGGTGCAGCCAGCAAAGTGGTGGCCCCAGGAGAGAGGATGTGATGACCTGCGAGGCCCCTGAGCCTGAGGCCCCACAACCCTGTCCAGGACAGGCTGGAGCAGGCACTCACTGTCAGTGATGTCGCCAAGACCCTGGGCGTACAGAAGGTCCCGCAGCCGGGTCACCTCATCCTTCAGCTCGCGGATCAGCTTGTTGTTGGGGTCCTCATTGATGACAGCATTGCAGCGGATCTGCTTGGCCCGGTCAGCATACCTGGGTGGCAGAGGGGGCTGTGGGCTGTGCTCGGGACAGGTCCACATCTGGCAGGTCCCAAGGGTGCCTAGAGCCCTGCCCAAGACCCAGCCTTTTGGGCTCAGCAGCCAGGCCAAAGGTGGACCTGAGCCAGCACAGCCTGGCACAGAGTGAGAAATCGCCCCCATGGCAAGTCGCTGGGGAGGGCATTTGGGGCCACAGGCCAGAGAAGACTTACAAGGGAGGTCACCCAGTTCCCGCTCGCCCACTTGGGGAAACTGAGGCCCAGGTGAGAAGGGACAGGGTGGTGTCCTCTCCCCCAGTGGTCCCAGGGTAGAGGGAGAAAGTCCAGTGGGAAAATGTGAGCACATCTATGTGTGCATAGGCTTGTGCTCACACCGTGTACCAGCCGATGCACATGTCTACGTTTCCAGCTAGTACATGAACCTCTATTGGGCCACACGCCCTTTGTTTCTCTTAAGCACTGGTGGTGCACAGTCGAAAGAAGGGAGAGACCACTGACCCAAACAACCGAGCAGCCTCTAGCATGGCTAGGGGCCCAGGCTCCCCACCCCAGGTGCCCACCCTGCCCATAAGACACACCTATGTCCCCTCTGCTATCTAAAAATCCCCAGTGGTTACCCCGGCCGGCAGGTGAGTGTAAACTGCTTCGCCCAGCAGGCACAGCTCTCCCAGTCTGGTGCCACGGGGCCCTGGGCTGCCTGCAGCCCCAAAGCACACCCCCAAAGGCTCCATGGAGGGAATAGAACAGGGCCTATGCAGGCCCAGGAGCCTCAGAACAGTCTCTTCCAGCCTCACAGAGTCCAGGGTATACCCCTCACAAAGAGTCGCCCCTGGTCACTGGTGCTTCCTAATTCAAGCACGAGAGGATCCATCCCCCAAGACCAGGGAGCGGGAAGCAGAGCTTGTCTCCCTGGAGAACTCACCTCAGCGTGCTAAGGGTCTCATCGTAGTTGATGTCTGCAGGACTCAAGGCTGCCACCATAGCTGTCCTTGAGTTACCGCCTGTGGGAAGAAGACCAGGTTGTGCCCAGAGGGGGATCTAGGCCCCAGGGCTATGTCTGCTCCCCCCTTCCCCCCACATTTACAGATGGGGAGGCTGAGGCCCAGAGAGGTAAACTGAGTCACAGGCTTACCCCCCCCCCCACCCCCACCCCATGAACACAGACAACAGCAAGGACCTGGCCTTCCTTGGCTGCTCCTTCATCTCTGAACCAGGCACCGCTATTATTTCTCTTTTACTTGTGTTTTTCTCACATTTGGGGCCATTTTACAACCATCAGGCCTTCCTTTCCCCAAAGCAGAGAGGAAAGTTGTGGAGGGTTTTAAAGTATTTACTCCAAAATAAATACCATTTATGTTCAATATTTTTTTCAAGCACTTCTATCATTTTCATTTGAAATATATTCCTCAGTATTTAACATCAGATTCCTGGCCCAGGTTAGTAGGATCAAAGCATCAGGTAATGCGTGGCATGAGGAACAGACTGTGTTCTTTCTCTTGAGGGAATCCTGTCTAGGTAACCTCAGCCATCGGAAAAGATCACCACTGACTCCACGCCAGCCCTCAGGACTGCTGCCTGGCGGTGCTTCAAGTCTGGACAGATGATCTTGCCTGCTTGACCCCAGGGAACTGTGTATCCTCAGGGCCATGTCCCCAGGGCATGGGTCCCCAGTGGGTCCCCATAGGGACTGAAGAGACGGTGTGAAGGGCTGGGCACATACCACACGGGCCCCAGGAAAGCCTCTGTGGGAGGACTCCCCTGCCCCCGCCCTGGGACTGAACCTGGGTGTGCCTGGAGCAGGCGGCTCCTTCCCAGCCCACGTCTCAGGTGAAGGAACACACTCTCCTCCTCTCTCAGCGGGGCCCATCCATCCGCAGGCCTGCTGCGGTCTGCAATACTGACCTGAGCTGGGGAGCAAGCATGGCTAGTTGTGGGGTGCAGAGGTGGTCAGCCAGGGCTCTGCACACCTCAGCCATGCGGCTGAGGGAGGCCAGGGACCCCCAGTCATCTATGTTCACCAGGTCAGCCCAAGACTCAGTTTACCTCCCTGGGCATCAGCCTCTCCAGCTGTAAATGCAGTTGGGGAGGACTCTGAGGTTATTCCGGGATGGACGGGATCAGCGTCGGGTGCATTTCAATTCCCACCTCCCCGTCTAAGTCTCACTGCTCAGAACTCAGACGGAGAAGAGGAGGTTTATGGCAGCCCCTCAAAATCCAGCAAGCAGAGCTCCCAGATCGCGTCCCAGGTCCCCGTGACTGATGGGGAAACCAAGGCCCAGAGAAGGATGAGTACTTGGCCTGGGTGTCACAGCCCACCTGACCCAGGACCACTGACACAGGCAGGTGTGTGCTGTGCCACCCCCTGGGCTGTCCTGGTTCCCACACTCGCTTCGTTAACCCACTGCTGGCCGTTGCCCCAGGTCCTCCAGAAGGGCCACGAACTGACTGGACCCTCCAGGTTCACCTCCCAGCCTCAGCCCAGAAAGGGTGAGAGGCCTGCTGGCGACTGGGCACCCCCTCAGTGGGGAAGAAGGGCACAGCCCAGGGTGGGATCAGAGCCCTGGGGACAGGCAAACCCACAAGTTCTCACCCAGGTTTTCCCGGAGGAGCCAGGTCAACACGGAATCTCGGTACGGAATGAAATCTGTCTTCTTCTTTTTCTTGTTCTGTGGGGGAGGAACATTCAAGGTCAAGCCCGAGCCCACTGCAGAGGAAGCGAAAGGGAGGGGCCAGCGCAGGCCCTGCCAAGTGGGTCCTCAAAGCTGGAGGCTGGGCAAGGGGCGGGGCCCGCTCTGCTGGACACATTCTCAGGCTGCCCAGGCCTCTCCCTGCCCAGACCCCAGGCCGCCACCCCAGAGGCCTCCTCTAGGCCACAGTCAGGGACTTGCTAGCATGTCCTTCAGGTTCCTCCCTCTTCCATCCCTGCTGCCCCTGGGCCACCCAGCTGGACACCGGCCAGGAGTGCTGATGTCACCAGCAAGTGTGTCCTCCCTCCACTCTGTCTGAAGGACTCATCTGAGTCCATGGCCCCTCCTCGAACACCATCAGCGACTCCTGACCCAAGGGAAAAGGCCCCACAGCTAAATGTGGCCCTCCAGGCCCCTATGGCCTCTGCCACGCTTACCTCCCTGCCAGCTTAAATCTCCCCTTCACCCAGAGTTCACCCGCCCTCTCCCCCATCAAACTCCCTATGGTCCTGCAGAAGCCAGCTCACAAGCTTTCCTCTAACGGCCTGTTCTCCCATCCCTCCCCTCAGAATGAAGCATCCTCCATGCTCTTGCTGCCTCTTTGGCTCTTTAAAATATGGACTCCATCCACATAATGCCTGCCAGGAATTGCTTCTGACAGACACTCTGTGACTGACTTAATGATCCCACTAACTGTGGGTTTCAGTGACTTCCAATGTCTACTGGTTCATGTATGCATTGGCTTATGAAGCATTTCCAGAGCACCTGCTGGGCCGGCAGATGAGGCCTCTGACCCTGGAGCCTGCACCCCAGGACATGCACGCAGATGCCACCTCAAGGGCTGGGAGCACACACAGACATCATTGTTCTTGAAGACAACCCCAGGAGAAGCTCCACCAGCTCACAAGGCACATAAAATTTGAAAGCTCTTGAGACTCCCAGTCAAAGGGGGTCCAGAATACTGCACTGGCTTCTCTGCGAGCAGGGTTTCAGGGTGTCCATCTCGCAGCTCAGCAGCATAACTGACTGCTTTCTTTTTTCTTTGGAAACTTAGTAGGGACTAACTCTACTCTATTTCTAGTTTTTCTTTTGTTTTGTTTTTGTTTTTGTTTTTTGAGACAGAGTCTCCCTCTGTCACCAGGCTGGAGTGCAGTGGCACGATCGCGGCTCACTGCAACCTCCGCCTCCCGGGTTCAAGCGATTCTCATGCCTCAGCCTCCTGAGTAGCTAGGACTACAGGCGTGTGCCACCATGCCTGGCTAATTTTTGTATTTTTAAAGTAGAGACAGGGTTTCACCACGTTGGCCAGGATGGTCTCGATCTCTTGACCTCGTGATCCACCCACCTCGGGCTCCCAAAGTGCTGGGATTACAGGCGTGAGCCACCGCGCCCGGCCTCTAGTTTGGTTTTTGATTATTTAATTCCTGAGGGTGAATTCTCTGCTATGTGTCACATTCCTTGCTTCCACATAAATGTCCTCCAGCCATTCAGCCACTTCAGCAAGGAGCCCAGCAGCCCCCTGGGTTTCCTGCTCCCTCACCGCCTCCCTGTCCAGTCGTGCTCTGCCATCTCCCAGGACCACCCCGCTCTCCCGTCTAGGCCCCCCAGCCTCCACCATCCCAAGCCTGGAACGCTGACCTTCCATCCTGACTTGCCGCACCAGGCCACCTGCTCCCGACCTATCCGTCACCAGCGCACATGGCCTGAGGACGCACCCTTGGCTAAAGCAGACACTGTGAGCCCCGCTGAACACCCGCCCGCTGCTGCCACTAAAGCTCCCCCAGGCAGCTCCTGACAAGCCGGGAGGGACCTCGGATCCTCAGACGGGCCCGGCTCCTGCCGGCCTCGCCTCCCTGCTCTGGGCCTGGCTCCTCAACCAGTTCCTCGAAAACCCTCTCGCGCGGCTCCTTCAAAAGTCTCTGTCACTGTCCCTCGCAGGGTCCCTCGCACTTTCCCTCCCAGTCCCTCACACAGACAGTCACGCGGTTCCCACGCGGTGCTTCCACATGTCAGTCCCGCACGCTCAAGCACTCAGTCCCTCAAGGAGCTCTCGCCGTTCCCCGCACGGTTCCCACGCGGCTGCTCGCAGCTCACCACACAGTTCCTCAGCTCCTCCCGCTCCCCACGCACTTCCTCGCGTTTCTCCACACGGTTCTTCACGCAGCTCCTCCTGCTTCCCCCTTTATTCCTCCATTCAGGAAAACGGCAGTCACTCGAATGCGGACCCCACCCACGGGATGGCTGCCGGTCACACCATTCATCAAGTTTCCCCACAAGTTCCACACGCAATTCTGTCACAGTTCTCTGTGGAGTTCTTTACACAGTTCCACGCGATCCTCACCTAGGTCTCTACATAGGGCCTCGTTACACAGGCGTTCCTCACCATTCTCCACACGCCAGTCCCCACCGTCCCTGACACACTCGCTCTCACGGTTCCTCACAGCTCCAGAGAAACTTGCCCACATTCCTCCAACATTTCCTAACACGGCTCCCCACGGGAGGCCTCACACGATCCTCCATTTCTCAGAGCTCTCAGCAGGCGCTCGCAGCTCCCGCACAGCGTTACACACACACACACACACACACACACACACACAGGCTTCTCAGTGTCCCACGGGCCTCACAGCAGCCACGCAGCTCCCGAAAACCCCTTCAGCTCGGCCCCCGTCCCCACACAGCTCCCCACCCCCTTCCACACACTTCCTCCCGGTTCCCACAGCTCCACGCGGCGCCCAGCAGGTCCCCGCAGCTTCCCATCCAGCTCCTCACACTCCCCGACAACCCCTCGCACACGTCTCTGCAGCTTTCCTCACGATTCTGCGCACCGTTCCACACACGGTTCCTCACCGCTCCCCACGTTTCCCAAACAGCTCCTCCCGCCATGGCTCACACACTTCCTCACACGTTCCTCACACAACCCTTCACGCCATCCCCAATGCGGGTGCACACACACTTTCCACACACTTCCTCAGGCCATTCGCCCGTGTGCACCCCGTTCCTACACACAGCGCTCCACACGGCTCCTCACGGGTCCCCAACAGCACCTCCATGTTCCCACCCAGTTCCACACAGTTCCACACTCAGTTCCACACTCAGTCCCTCACTCAGTTCCACACTCAGTTCCTCACAGTTCCACACTCAGTTCCTCACTCACTTCCTCACTCAGTTCCTCATAGTTCCACACTCAGTTCCTCACAGTTCCACACAGTTCCACACTCAGTTCCACACTCAGTCCCTCACTCAGTTCCACACTCAGTTCCTCACAGTTCCACACTCAGTTCCACACTCAGTCCCTCACTCAGTTCCACACTCAGTTCCTCACTCACTTCCTCACTCAGTTCCTCATAGTTCCACACTCAGTTCCTCACTCACTTCCTCACTCAGTTCCTCATAGTTCCACACTCAGTTCCTCACTCAGTTCCTCACTCAGTTCCTCATAGTTCCACACTCAGTTCCTCATCGTTCCACACTCAGGTCCTCACTCACTTCCTCACTCAGCTCCTCATAGTTCCACACTCAGTTCCTCACTCAGTTCCTCACTCAGTTCCACACTCAGTTCCACACTCAGTTCCTCACAGTTCCACACTCAGTTCCTCATAGTTCCACTCAGTTCCTCACTCAGTTCCTCAGTTCCTCACTCAGTTCCACACTCAGTTCCTCACAGTTCCTCACTCAGTTCCACACTCAGTTCCTCACTCACTTCCTCACAGTTCCACACTCAGTTCCTCACAGTTCCACACTCACTTCCTCACTCAGTTCCTCACAGTTCCTCACTCAGTTCCTCACAGTTCCACACTCAGTTCCTCATAGTTCCCCACAGTTCCCACACTTCCCCACACTGGCTGACACGCTTCCTCGCACGGTTCTGCGGCTCCTCACGCAGCCGCATGCACTGCCTCCCAGTTGTTGTTTCCCACATGGCTCCACACGCAGGCTGTCCCATGTTTCCCCCCAGGCCTCCCCACGCCCCACGGTGCTTCCGTTTTCAAACAGCTCTCCACAGCATTCCACACAGGTCCACACAGCCCCGTTGCACCCACTTTCACAGTTTCACAGTTCCACAAACAGTTTCTCAAGCAGATCCTCTCACAGTGCCTCAGACGGGGGCTCACGTGGCTCCTCTCAGGCCCCCGCGAGTTCCTCCGAGTTCCCGCACGCTTCCCCACAGTGTCCTCCACATTTCCACAGATCCCCCGAGTCCCTGACGCAGCGTTCACACGGTTCCTCATGCCTTTCCCAGCAGCCACCCGCCTGGCCCCCCGCAGTTTCTCCCAGCCCAGCACCGCTCCCCGAGCAGCTGCATGGCTCCTCGGCGTCCCTCACACGATTCCCACGCGGCCCCACACCCCTCCACACACTTCCGCTCCCATTTCCACAGGTCCTCAGAGTACGCGGAGCTCCAGCTCCACAGAGCCCCCATGTGGTTCCCCACACGAGCGCACACTTTCCCCAAGCGATTCCCCACACACTTCCCGCCTGCTTCCCCGCCTTCTCCACACAGTCACATTCAGTTTCTCACAAATCCTCCCACAGTTCCCCACGCAATTCCTCACACGGTTTCTCACATACTTTCCCGTAGCTGCACAGAGAGCTCTGCACGGTTCCCTCACATGATTCCACGTAGCTCCCCACCCTGTGGCACACACGTCCTGTCCCGGCACCACGCACAGCTCATGTTCCCACGCAGCTACCCTCAGGCCCCCAGAGTTCCTCGGGTTCCCACCACGGTTCCTGAGGCATTTATTCCTCTGGTCCTCACACAGGTTCTTCCGGCTTCTGACAGAGTTGGACACACAGTTCTCTGCAGGCTCCCCACACAGCTCCACACACACACACACACACACACAGCTCCACACACACACACACACACACACACACAGCTCCACACACACACACAGCTCCACACACACACACACAGCTCCACACACACACAGCTCCACACACACACACACAGCTCCACACACACACACACACAGCTCCACACACACACACACACACACACAGCGCCACACACACACAGCTCCACACACACACACACACACACACACACACACACACACACACACAGCTCTACACACACACACACACAGCTCACACACACACACACACACACACACAGCTCCACACACACACACAGCTCTACACACACACACACAGCTCCACACACACACACAGCTCCACACACACACACACAGCTCCACACACACACACAGCTCCACACACACACACACAGCTCCCCACACACACACACACACACACAGCTCCACACACACACACAGCTCCACACACACACACACAGCTCCACACACACACACAGCTCCACACACACACACACAGCTACACACACACACAGCTCCACACACACACAGCTCCACACACACACACAGCTCCACACACACACACAGCTCCACACACACACACAGCTCCCCACACACACACACAGCTCCACACACACACACAGCTCCACACACACACACACAGCTCCACACACACACACACACACACACACACAGCTCCACACACACACACACACACACACAGCTCCACACACAGCTCCACACACACACACACAGCTCCTCACAGTCCCGCACAATCTGGACAGCGGATCGTTCTCCGCTTCCTCCCCACGCCGCCCACGCCATTCCCCAGCGTTCTCTGACAGTTCCACGCGGTTATCACCGCTCCTCACAGTTCACTCCGCTCCACACACAATTCCCCACGCAGGTCCTCCGTCTCCCGCAGTCCCACGCAGTGTCCTGTGCCGTTTCCCACACGCTTCCTCTCCCGTTCCCACACAGTTCCCCACACAGTTCCCCACAGGGGCCCTCAGCTTCCTCGCCTGGCTCCCACTCGGGTTCGCCACACCGTTCTCCACAGTTCCCCACTCAGTCCACACGCCTTCTCCCAGTTCTTCCTGCAGCCCCACGTGTTCTTAGTCTCTTGGAACTCCTCACACGGGCCGCACAGCTCTTCACAATTCACACAGTTCTCTGTCCCCACACAGCCACCGCCGAGTTCCCTGTGCGTTTCCCAGTGAGCACCTCGCGGATCCCCGTGGTGGCGCCCGCCCTGTCTCACGCATTCCCACGCTGGCTCACTCCGTTCCTGCCGGTCCCTCGAACGCTTTCACGGCTGCCCACGCGGTTCCTCACACAGTCCCCAGCGTCGCCCCAGGCAGCTTCACACGTGGCGCGCTCCGCGGCACCTCCGACTCCACACGCGCCCGCCTCCCCCTGTGGCCCCGTCACGCCTACGGCTGCTCAGAGTCCAGCACGCCTGTCACCCGCTTCCTCTCAGGGCTCCCCAGCCCTCTCCATGTCCGAGGGGCTCCTCCGCGCCCCTTTCAGCTCCTCCCAGGGCCCCCACGCCCCCCGGGCCACACTTTCCCACCTCGGTGTCTCCCAGCAGCCCCCGCCCCAGGCCCTGCCGTGAGGCCGCCCCGGACGCCCTCCGTCCCCGCAGGCACAGGCACCGCACGGGGCCTCCCACACCCGCTTTCTTCCTTCCCGGGATCCACCCCCACGTCCCCCATCTCCCAGCGCACTCACTGCCCGCCCCGCCCCTCACCACAGGGCGCCAATGCAGGGCAGACACCGCCACCAGCCTCCCGCACCTGCCCCGGGGCTGAAGGAAGCCGCTTACCTTGTTGGGTCCGGAGTCCTGAAAAGGAAAAGACAGAGAGAGGCTGAGGCCCGGAGCGAAGCTGGCGCGGGCTGTGGGGGCGGAAGAGCAGGCGGCCCGGCTGCCTCGCCCTGGCCATGACTCAGGCTCTACCACCCCGTGGTCTCCTAGACAGCAGCTCCCCCAGGCAGGGTCCCTCCAGGGCCGCCCTTCCCGGGCCCAGGCCTGGGCTGCCTGCTGCACGGGGCCAACTGTGGCCATAGCCCCACTTTACAGGCGGGGAAACTGAGGGTCCCGGGAGAAACCAGGGCCCCTACCCCTTCTCCAGCATGTGACACTCTGGCCATCTCCGGGCTCTCCCTTGAACCTGGCCACCTCCCAGACACAGGGCCCGGAAACGAGGGTGACAGGGGCAGGATGGGGCGCCAAAGACCCTCTGGGGTTCTGGCTATGGAAGCCGGGCCGGGCCACTCACCATTTCAGCCAGGGCGGAGATGACCTTGCCCAGGGTGGTCAGCGACTTGTTGATGTTGGCCCCCTCCTGCGGGCAGAAAAGACAGTGGGGTTGGGATGCTGGGGACCCGTGGGGCCTCCTGCTCTGGAGGGATGCCCTGGGTGGACCTGTGCAGTGTGGAGTGGAGGCCACCACTGCAGCTGCTGATCTCTGGGGCCACTTGGGCGTGGGGTGCCCTGGCAGAAAGCCAGCTGGAGCCTCTGGCCAGGAGCATGTCCCCCAGTGTTGCCCTCAGCCCCATGCAAACCCTGATATCATCCCATGTCCCCCTGAAATGCTTCCGGGTCCCCTGCCCAAGCATCTAGTGCTGAGGCCAGCAGGGGTCGAGGAAACACACTCCTTCCCGACCCCGGCACTGCTTCCCGGGTGGTGCCCCAATCTCCCCAGGGAAGACCTGGCCTCTGGGCGCAAGGTCCTTGGGGCCCGAAAGAGGACACCGTCCCGCCAAACCCCTGACCTGTGTGCCCAGCGCTGGTGCCCCGGGCATGGCCCTCGGCTGCTGGCAGCCCAAGACCCCAGCCTATGCCCACCCTCCCTATGCAGGCTCACCCTCAGGGTGGCCCAGGCCCCCGGGACCCCAACAGAGCCCTCCTGCCACCCACTCTGGAGCAGGCCAAATGTGGACACGGGTCCCCGCATGGCGGCCTGGCCCCTACCTTGAGGCGCGTGCCCTTGGCTCCCGTGGAGTCAGCCCGCTCGCTCCCAGCCAGGTCCACCAGGCTGATTTTGCTCACCTGAAACAGTAGATACATCACATGCAGGAAAGGCCACAAGATGCGCGGGGGCATCCCAGGACCCCTGGGCAAGGTCTCCACAGCTGTTGAAGGAGCCCTGGCCAAGCGTCCCCTCTGCAAGGCGCCGCCCCTCCCCAGGCCCAGCAGTCCTGACCCCGCAGTTTCCACCCGCACCTCCGTCCCAGCTCTCCCAAGGCCCTGCCCGAGTTGAGTGCCCAGCCACCTCCCCAGGGGAGCACGGGCGCTGCCACCACACGCTGGGTGGTTTTCACACAAGGGCGTACTCGCTCCCTATGGCATCCACGAGGTGCGACTGTCACTGTCCCCACTTCCATAGATGGTGCTCAGTGTCCGTGGTTGGATTAGAACCCAGCTCCAGGAGGCCCTGGCCCTGCTCAGCCACCACACGGGCCATGGCTGCACCTAGCGAGGTGGGCACCGGCCAGGCTCCCAACAGGGGCACCCGCAGTCTGGGGTGGGAGGCCCTGCACCGGGAGGCCTGGCCCCTCCTGAGCCATAGCTACAGGGCAGGACTTGCCCACGGACACCACAGGACCCTCTCGGTGCCCACCAGTGAGGGCAGCGGGGCAGGCAGCCGCGCCGACCTCGTCCAGCTTCACCCTCGTCTGTCCCCCAACCCACCTCAGCCATCCTGAGCCCCCGCTCACTGTTTCATGGAGTCCCGGTCAGGAGGATGTGCCTGGCGGACCTCCAGCACCATCAGGGACTGAGCAGCCCTCACTCCACCCAGCCCCTTTGCGCTCCCCACACGGCTGCCTGAGCGAGCCCCCAACCAGGTGGTGGCTGAGGTGCCCCTGGGCCTGGACAGCTGGGGCATGAGGGCAGGGGACAGAGTAAGAGATGGTCAGGGAGAGGCTGGGTGCCCTCCTGCTGCCCCTCCCGTAAGCCTGGACTGGCTGTCCAGGCAAAAGCCCCAGAAGATGGCCCCCTGGCCTGGTCCATGGAGAATGCCAAGGCATGGGAGAAGGGCCTCTGGGGCGGGGGGGGGGACGTCCACACCTGGTGCCAGTGTAAGTGTGAGGACACTACCCGCCCTGCACAGGCCAGCATTGGGCCTGTCCTTGTGCTGCCCCCACTGGCCTGACCACCACCCCTACCCTGACCACCAGCCACTGCCCTTGGTGGCACCGCCTGTGAGGCCACTCACTCACCTTCTCCGTGGTGATATTGGTCTCTGCGTCATGGCGCTTCTGGGTGAAGATGATGTTGAAGACGGCGTGGGAGCGACTGCTGGTCTCATTCATGTTGGTGGCCGCCACGGTCCTGAGGAGCAGAAAGCCACGCACGGTTACCCCTCGTCCTGTGGCCGGGTGCGAGATCGCCGGTGGTGCCAGCCCTCTGAACCAGGTCATCGGGGGGGGCAGTTCCCCCAGACCCCAGGGGCCGCCCTGCTGGGCCTGGCACTGATGGCGCCTCCTGCCAGGACTCCAGCAGGGCCCATGGCCACCTGCCCACAGTGGCGTCCTCAGCCCCAGCCCTTGCTGGTATATTCAGGGCAGCAGTGACTGCGAAAGCTTCCCACTCCTGGGCACAGAGAAGCCCATGCAGTGCCCAGCTGGGCAGGAGCCCTCCAGGGCCATGATATGGGAGGGGAAGGGGGAAAGGGCTGTCCACTGTCCACCCTACCACGGCCCACACCCGCGGCTCTGGGAAGCCCAAGGAGCCCGCCACACCCCTCAGGAGATGGCATGGGTCTCGGCAGGGTCCTCCAGAACAGGAAGCCCAAGGCTGCTGAGGGTGGCCTGGAGTTGGTCCTGATGCCACCCTGACCTGCCAGGGACCTCAGGGAAGGTTCCCAAGACTCAGCACATGGGATGTGGCAGCCCAGGGCCCACCTCCAGCACGGAGTCACAATGACGGCCAGGGTGCGCTGTGGGCCTCATCAGGAACAGCACCCCCACCCACCAGCCCTTGTGGGGCCACCAAAGGGGTGCAGGATGGCGCAGAGTGTGACTCACGACCTCAGGAGCTGAGAGTGACAAGGGCCATCACCTCACCCTCAGGAAGTCCCGGGTGGCAGAGGGAGTCTGTTGCCATGACAACCAGGGCATCCCAGGCAGGAGGCCCAGGGCAGCAGAGGCCAAGGAGCCAGGTTGCTTATGGCTGCAGCACTGCAGCCGACCCTCCCCACATGCCCCCTGACCCCAGCACACTGGCCCCCACACAGAATGTGGACCCCTGGGACTAGCAGAGCAGCTGCCCCATCGAAGCAGCAGCCACAGATGCTGCCAGCACCCCCCGGGCACCTCAGCCGGAGGACGCAGACCCCCATGAAGGAGAAGCCCCATGGAGGTGACAGTGTCCCCTGCACAGGGGGAGCCCTCGGCCTCTCTCGGGCTGGCACAGGCCTAAACGACCTCGGGCTCAGGAGGCCACACCTCCGCGGGGGCACAGATGGACCCTACCAAAAAGGGCCAGGACCGAGGTGAAGGGGCTTCCTCCGGGGAGAGGCGGCAGGACAGGAGGGCAGGGAGGTCCAGTGAGTCCCTCCACCCACCTGGCCTTGTTCCCTGAGTCCATGAGGTCCTGGATGTCATTGTAGGAGGTGACAGCCAGCTTGGAGAGGTCCTCCACGTAGGGCCCCAGCAGTGGGTGCTCCCTCACGCGAAGGTTGCCCTTGTTCTTGGGGTTCAGGAGGTCACGGACGCGCTCACAGTAAATCTCCATGTAGCTGACCTGCAGGGCAGAGCCAGGCCATCAGGGGCCCCTGAGGCGAGGGAGTGGGGCTGCCACTGGGGGGACCCCTGAGTGAGGGGGTAGGGGTCAACATAAGGACCCCTGAGTGAGGAGATGGGGGCCGCCATCAGGACCCCTGAGTGAGGGGGTGGGGGCCACCACCAGGACCCCTGAGGGGATGGGAGCCAGCATCAGGACCCCTGAGTGAGGGGGTGGGGGCTGCCTGCTGGGCCCCTGAGTGAGAGGGTAGGGGCCACCATCAGGACCCCTGAGTGAGGGGGTGGGGGCTGCCATCAGGACCCCTGAGTGAGAGGGTGGGGGCTGCCTGCTGAGCAGAGGGCTCCCAGTCTGCAGCCCCTGTGTGTATGTTCGAGGCAGGGGTGTCAATGTGGCCTCCCTCACCACGGCCATCCTGGGCTCTAGGACACACACATGCCAGGGCCACCCCAGCCACGGCAGGCATGGCCAGGCCCTGAGCTCTGAGGCACCTGCCCATGCCCTGGCACAGAGCAGCTGCTGGAGAAGCACCTGCCAGGTGGGGATCACCTCATCACTCTGTGCTTTGGGGGTCTCGAGCCCTGCCCAGGCCCGCCGTCTTGCCTGCCACTTGGATGAGTGAGGGACAAGCTGGGCGTGCAGACCCGTGGTGGGCACTCACTTTGCATCAGAAAAGCACTGCCAGCCACACCAGATTCCCAGCCCTGCCCCAGCGGCCAACGGCAGGCGGGGAGCCCTACCTCCACGGAGTAGGACATGTTGTCGTTGGTCGTGTCGTTGATCCGAGAGAAGAGGTCCTCGCAGAGCTGCAGGAATGGGGGGACAGTCAGCCAGGGAGGGCTGGGGCTGCTCCCTGGATCCCTGCCCCTTGCGATACTGTGGGCAGCCTGTGCCAGGCGGGATCCACCCTCTCAGGCCCCTCTTGCACCCTCACCACACACGTCATGGTAAAGGCACTGAGAAAGTCTGTAGCCAAGGAGCCAGTGTCTCCCTCTTAACTCAGGGGTCCCTGGCTGGTGTGGGTCATCTGCCCCTCCCCCTGGCTCTGCCATCCTACAGACATCCCAGCCATCTCCCTTCCCTCAGCAGGCAAAGTACTAGTGACCAACTCACGTCCAGAGACCTGCCCAGGGGAATGGCTGGGGACTCAGGGTTCCTGCAGCAAATGAGGAGCTGCTGGGTCTGGTGTTTGGCCACCCCTGTCCTGAGCACCTCTCTCTGCCCACACTGCCAGCCCTCACACCTTCAGAGATCAGCTGCCCCAGCCAGGGCTCTCCCAGCTGCTGTGTCTTAGGCACATGATCAAGGTGGACCCTGTCCAAGGCCAGGGCCCTTCCTGCACCTGGGGCCTGGGTCTGCAGCTTCACAGCCACATCTGGCTCTCACCTGCCCCAGCCCCACTCTTGACCCAGCTGGCCTTCCCCTCCTGACTCCCTGCTCTCTGGGGGCTGCTCTCAGGGGTGCCTGGCCCGGAGCTCTCAGCCTCAGCTGGTCCCGCCCCATCTGCCAGGGCTGCCCCCGCCCGCCCCCCGCTTCGTGCCTGTGGGATGATGCCCTGCTGGTCCTTCTCCTGCTTGCCCATCATGGTGTAGGACTTGCCGGCACCCGTCTGCCCATAGGCGAAGATGCACACGTTGTATCCCTCAAAGGCATGCTGCAGCATCTCCTCGCCGATGTCCCGGTACACCTGCTTCTGCGACGCGTAGTTGATGTCCTCAGGCTGGAGGACGAGGAAGGAATGAAGTTGCAGGAGGCTGGGTGCATCCGAGGCTCAGCCCATCATGTCTGCGGAGCCAGGGGATGCCCAGGGCCTCAGGGTGCCAGGGCAGCACAGTGGGGAGGGATGCCTGCCCCCCATCCTACTCCTGCCTTGTGGGGTAGCTTCCTGGAGGAGAAGCCCTCTGTGTCACAGATGCGGGATGAAGAGCGGCCAGCCAGGCAGGAGGCAGGACGGGTTCCAGCAGAGGGAACAGCATGTGAAAGGCCCAGAGGTGAGACCTCAAAGCCAAAGTAAGTTCCATGTGACCGTGACAAGCAGGGGTGACAAGAGCTGAGACTGGGGACAGGGTGCAAAGGCCCAGAGACCCCACAGGCTGGGCTACAGCGCCTGGACACTGTCCTGAGGACAGTGGGGCACTTTAGGCAGGGGGACAGGGTGATTAGCTGGGGGTCATCCTGGAAGGAGGAAGGACTGGATGGGGAAGGCAGAAGCGGGGAGCCCTGGGGCTGTTATGGGGGGCAGGTGCTCAGAGATATAGATATGAGGGGCTTAGATGAGGAGGCTGCATGCCTTCTTCTAGAAGGGTCCAGGAGGTGGCAGGTGGAAGACAGGGCTCAGTGTGGACTGGATCGGGGAGGAGGGAAGGAGAAGAGTCCAGGGGTCTCCTGGGCTCCCAGCATGCAGGGCACAGCTTCCAGACAGGCTCAGGGTCAGCTTTGGGCATTCTGACTTTGGGATGTCTGGGGGAAAAGTCACCAGCAGATGGACGTACACACAGCTCTGACCCTGGAAACTACCCACACGGAGCTGAAGGCCCCTCAGTTCCTGCAGCCTCCATCACTGCCTTCGCTGAGGACCGCTCAGGGTGACCTTCCAGGGGAGCAGGGTGGGGTCCTCGCCCCAGTTAGAGAGGAATGAGCGGCTCAGAGAAGTTGAGGGACCCCGAGGGCCACATGGCCTATGCACTGCTGCCCCCGCCTCCCCCGACCCGGGGTCCCGGCTTACTGAGGTGTGCGACCAGTAGGAGTAGTCAAAGCTGAAGCTTTTGGGCGTCTCCTTGGGCTGTTTGGGGTTAACAATGGCTGTGGGAGGGAACACAGGTGGTTAGCGCTGTGCTGGGAGGGCCCCTGACTAGCTGGCATCTACACTCCAAGGTGGGGAGATGGTCTTAAGAGGCCTCGGGCCCCAGACAAGCCAGGCCCCCAAATTGGAGGGGACCTAGGACCCCACTCCCAGGCAGATGAGCTGTCTCTGCCCCCTCCTTATGGTGGACGCTGCCACCCATGGATGTCCAAGGGTACCACCATACCAGCCTGCAAGGCTCTGTGTCATTCTCCCGCCAAATGCAACTGGCTCCCCTCAAAGGCAGCCACCCGGGGAGGATCCTTCCCACCTGCAAGCTGCGGCCCCTCCATCTCTGGTGTCCACCTTGGGCTCACAGCCCCTGCCCTGCCCCGCCCCCTGCTCAGGCCTTTATGCTCCGGCTCAGCGTGCACGTGCCCGAGAAGCGCTGGAAGCCTGGGCGTCCATCACGTTTGTGTTACGCCTGTGCGGTTCTTCTAGGCTTGCTACTCCAGACAGAGCTCTATGGGACTGTCTTCTGCCAGAGTCCCTCCTCCCCCTCCCTCCTCCACCCAACTTCAAGCCCAGTCCCAGGCACCCTGGGCTGGCTTCAGGCAGTGCTCACAGAATATCTGTTCCTCAAACCCAGAACAAATCCATGAACACGTGATGATGCCCCCGCCCACAGCCGGTGCCTGGGGGGGTTTCCCAGGAGCTGTCCCAGTATGAGTGTCCCAGGAGCTCCTCCCACCCACACAGCCTGCAAGTATCTCAGGGACCCAGCACACCCACTGCCACCTTCCATCCTTGCCCCCAGCATTTCCCAGGCCCTGGACGGGCCTGGACCCTGCAGACTGCATGTCCTCAGTGGCCGGAAGGACAGGACCCGCTGCCCCCTGGAACACTGTCTGAACCCAGAATTGGTGTTGACAGAGGCCTGGAGGCCTGAGGCAGTCCCCTCCCAGGTTCTCACACCCAGGAGGAACACTGGCCATTCCTGGTCAGGGAGCCCCCGGAGACCACCACCATCACATCAGCAAACCTGAAGAACGAAGCCCTCATGGCACCGTCCTATGCTTGGAGATGAAGGCTGGAGATGAGGCTGTGTCTGCCCCGGATTGGTTTTCCTCAGCCAGCGTGGGCTGGGGGCCAGCGGCACAGCCTCCAGTATGCCCGCACCCTCCGTGCCAGCATGCACCCTGGGGACCTGCCACCAGGACCACGGAGAACAAAATGCCCCAGTTACGAGTTAAACTGTGTCCCCCTAATTTCATATTTTGAAGCCTTTACCCCCAGTATCTCAGAATGGGACCTCATTTGGAGATAAAGTTGCTGCAGATGTAATTAGTTAAGATGAGGTCCTACTCCATGAAGACGGGCCCTAATCTAGTGCTGCCATGTCCTTATAAAAGAGGAGATTTGGAGACAGGGAGGGTGCCATGAGAACATGAGGGCAGAGATCAGGGTGATGACAAGCTAGGAACACCAGAAGCAGCCGGCAAGCCCCAGAAGCTGGAGGGCCTGGACAGGTGCCCCTCATGGCTCAGGAGCAGCCACCTCTGCCACCACCTTGATCTCAGACTTCTGGCCTCCAGAATCACGAGACAGCACACTTCTGTTTGCGGTGCTTCCTTATGGCAGTTCAGGGCACTGAGACCCCCTCTGGCCAAGCGTCTTGCTGACAGCACAGGCATCACTGGCAGCCTTGTCGCCAGGGCAGATCCAGTTTCAGGTCCCACCTGCGCCCCCATCCCAGGCCTGAGGATTTCTGGGAAACACCCAGGCACCCCGGGCAGCCAGCAGGAGGGAGCTGGGGACTGACCATCACAGCCCTGTCCTCGGAGGTGAGAGGGGCCACGTCCGTGCTATGGCCAGGAGCAGAGGCAGAGAGAAGGCCAAGCTGTCCCGACTTCAGCGCCTGCCGGGACCCAACAGCACCCGTGGCGCCGCCTCCAGAACCCTAGCACGATCAACCAGCGCTGTGGAAACAATTGCAGCGCCTTCCCTAGCACAGCCCGGCTGGGCCTCCCAGCTCTGACACAGAGGCCTGGGGCCCCTTGCTCAAGCCAGCAACACCCACCGTGTCCACCTCATCCCCTCACTCCGCCGCACTCTGGCCCCATCCCCACACCCCTTCCTGCCCCATCCACCCCCTCGCCTCACCCGGCTGCACTCAGGTCGGGCTCCCCGCACAGGCCTGGCCCCATCCCCACACCCCTTCCTGCCCCATCCACCCCCTCGCCTCACCCCGCTGCACTCAGGTCGGGCTCCCCGCACAGGCCTGGCCCCCATCCCCACACCCCCACTAGCCCTTGCTCCCTGTCCCACCCTTGCCCAGCCCTAGGTGCCAACCTTGCTCAGATGAAGCCCTGATGCCACACCCCACATGGGCCATGAGCTCCATGAGGTGGGGGCCCTCTGGGACAGGGCACAGATGGTGCCCAAGGAATGCCAGGTAGGTGGGGGACAGAGGGCAGCACAGGTGAGTGGGCGGGAGTGGGGCTCAGTTGCAGCTGTAAATGGCCCTTGGGAGAATCCCTCAGGCCTGCTTGTCCTGGGCCCCCACCCCTCCCAGGCCTGTGTTGTGGCTGGGACCCCCATCCCACCCTGGCCCTGCCTACACCCCCATCCCAGGCCCTGCACTGGGGCTGGGACCCCCACCCTACCCTGCCGGCAACCCCACTCCCAGGCCATGTATTGTGTCTGGGAGCCCCACCCCACCCTGGCCCTGCCACCCCTCCCACACCCTGTGCTGTGGCTGGGAACCATCCTCTGTCACTACAGATGGGCCCCAAGCTCCAGAGAGGGGAGGTCCTCTCCCCCGGTCACACGACGCACAGCCAGACTAGAAGCCAGGGTCCCCGCAACACCTCCCAGCCCTGAGGTCCGCCAGGCCTGTGGAGACAGGCAGCCCCTCCTTCAGCAGCCTGCTTCTCACAGAGACCTCCCCGATTCTGCTGGAGAAAGGGCTTTTTTTGCCAGGGTCTGGAATTTTTTCCTTGTGCAGGTTTGAGGAGGGAGGAGGGAGAAACAGGTCCTCCCAGGGCCTGCTGGGCTGGGCTCCTCAGCCAGCCCCTTTAGGGCCCCCATCCCCTCCCACCCCAGGCTCTGGCCAGGCCCCCAGAGCTGGGCCCCTCCAAGGCCGGCGAGGTGCCCAGTATCAGGCAGCCTTCCCAGGACTCTGCATGGGCCTGCAAAGGACTGGACACCGAGACGACAGAGACAGCGGGGGGAGGGTTGGGGTGAGGAGTGGGGGGAGCTGGAAGAAGGGGGACGGGAAAGGAATGGAATACAGCCGTTTTCTCAGAGTCTCAGCTTTCCTGCGGCCTTGAGCACCAGGTGTGAGGGCCGAGCTGAGCTGGCTCTTCCCAACGGAGCCTGCTGTGGGCCGAGCGTGTCCCCAGATTCATATGCAATGCCCTGACCCCCAACCAGCTGGCATTTGGAAATGGGGCCTTGTGAAGTGATGAGGATGAGACGAAGCCACGAAGTCAGGGACCTCATGGTGGGATGAGTGGCTTTAAAGGAGGGGAAGGGACCCGAGCTCCCTGGGCCAGGCAAGGACACAGCAGGAAGGCAGCAGCTGCAGGCTGGGAAGACAGCCCTCCCACGATCTAGACCTGTGGGCATCTTGATTGGACTTCCGCCTCCAGACTGCGGAGAAGGGAACATATGCTGTTTAAGACGCCCACTCTGCAGCGCACCTGGACCTCCGAGTCTGGCCTCCAGAACAGGGGGGGGACATTTCTGTCATTTGAAGCCATTCAGCATGTAGCCCTCTGTAACAGCAGCCCCAGGGACCACACGGGTGCTACTGCTGCCCGTGCAGAGGGGCTTGCCCAGGTCCCCGACTGCTCGGGATTGGGGGAGCCCACAGCGGAGGCTGGGGGCCTGGGTCGCACCCACCCTGGGTCCAGATCCCCATCTGTGGGCAAGGGCAGAGATGAGAGGCCACCCAAACCCTGGGCCTCCTCTGCATGGCCAGAAGAGTGCAGATATGATTGGGGACCTCAGGGAGTACCCAGCACCACCCCTCACTACTGCACAGGTGGGGAAACTGAGGCCCAAAGGGATGCCCTCTAGCCAGTGTCACACAGCGAGTAAGTCATGAGCACAGCCAGGCCCCTCACTCCAGGAACTCACTTCAGGGGCCGCACATGGCTGAGGGTCCGCGTCCCCAGCCAGCCTCCAGCATCTGCAGAATGGCTGGGCAGGCTCAGGGCCCTCACGTCCTCCGGTCCTCAGGGCAGAGAATGTGAGGAGAGAGGAGGAGGACGGAAGCACTCACACTCAACTTCTGCCCCCAGGCCAACCTACACTAGCTCTGCCAGGTCGGACCGAAGTGCACCTAATGGACAGCTCAGCTGGCTCACAAAACTGCTAGGTCTGGTGTGTTCAAATGAAGAGGATTATTTATGCAGGTGATGATTACGGGATAACAGTTAAATTTACTTTCAAATGCTTCCAATTTCTGCGTCACAGCGGAGCTACAAGGCACGCTTTAGAGAGTGGGGCCTCTCCTCATGTTTTGAGACTCCAGGAACAGTCAGCAGCTTCACCGGACAGGCAGGGCAGGCTGGCCAGGTCACTTCCCCACGACATCCTCTGAGGGGCCCCGCACAGTCCCCGCCATCTTCCGAGGGGCCTGGCACACCAGCCAGGGCAGCCACTCCCAATTCTATTGATCTGAGCTGCAGCTGAGAAGTCACCAGGGACGGTGGCTCCTGTGAGTGCTCCTGGCAGGTGGACATCCACCCGCACCCTCTCATGCCCTGTCTGCAGTGTCCTCCTGGGGCTTGTCTGGGGGCAGGTCAGCCCTCTGGAACACCCTGGCCCCTCAACCTCCAGGAGAAAAGCCCATGACCCCCTTCCTCCGTCAGGCTTCCCTGCGCCAGGCCTAGGGGACATCCTTCTCTCCTGAGCTCCCTCAGCCCTTCACTCAGATTTCTGACATAGCTTCCAGCACTTTCTTCCAAAACCACCACTGGTTTGCTTTCTCCAAAATGAAAACAGCTTTCCTAGAGATTTTTCCTGATTATTCATTCTTCGGCCACTCTTTTCCCTCCCCCGCACCCTGCTGTCTCCCATGCACGTGCACATCCAGTGCACACAGGACCTGCAGTGAGTGCCCATCTGCCCTTTACCCACACACGGCCTCACTCTTGGGCTCCGTGCTGACCTTTGCCCCCTTCCCCACAACATCGTGTGGCACTTTCTCACAGCTGTAAACACAAACTTTCAGGAGCACTCAGGTCCGCTGCCGGGATAGACTTAACATCCCTTCAGCAGCTCCCAGCTGGCGGGCATTTGGGCGGTTGCCCCGGGCTTGGTAAAACAGCACCAAGGTGAACGTTTCAAACGCACACCTTTGACCACTTGCTGGATAACCTTCGTTGCATTTCACGCAAGCAGCCTGGTGAGGTCGGCCTCACACGTCTCATATCCATCACCAGGCCGTCCCCAGCAAGCGGCCTGGGTGCCTGTCCCTGCCACCCTCACAACCTGCCTTTTGCTTGCCGGCAACCTGGGGCCCTGGCTTTCTTGGTGCGTCTTCGGCTACAGTGGGCAGGACACTGATCTCATGTGTTGTTTGGGCTCTGTGGCTCTTCAGTTTCCCGAGGATGAAAGTGACAATGTCTGAAACATTCCAGGTGTCCTGGAGGAAATGCCCTGGCAGGCTCTCCACCCCTACCCTGAGTCCACGGCCCTTTCCTCCTCCTTGGTTTCAGAACTTTGCTGTAACCCCACAGACATTTAATTTAGTTTGGTGATCCCCGGAAGATCGGCATCTCAGAAGAGGTTGGTGTCTTGCATATGTTCATCTTTGAGAAGGGGAGGTTCCTTCAGGACCTACCAGTTGCCCAAAAAAAGTGTAGGGGCTCCTGCATTTCCCTCCTGACCTCCTGGGCTTGCCTAGACTTCTGCTCAGAGCTTACTGGGGAGCAGAGGCTGCTGGCACATAGGCGAAATCCCAGAACTCCAATGTCTTCAGGGCCAGACGGGATCCAGGCATTTGAAGCAGGGTGTCTCGCTTCAGGTTTCAATCCCACTGGCTAAAGGAAACGTGGCTGCCCACAGATATGGCTCCGGCCTCTGGCTCCTAAGCCGTGGGGTAAAGCTTTGGTTCAGCTTTTGTTCTCCAGGCCAGAGGAGAGGGTAGAGTGAAGCAGGCAAAAACCACTGGGGCATGAGGTCTCGGGTCCAGGCCTGCACTGCTGTCTCTGAACTGGCAGCTCTCTGGGTCTGGGCCGGCGCAGCCTCAGCCAGACCACCTTTCACCAGCTGGGCAGTGCTGCCAGTGTCGAGGTCTTGGCAACGCTGGCTCACCTCCAGGCTGTACCCTCCCGTTTCTGGATCCTATGAGGGGAAATGCATAATGGGGAGGCCGCCTACCCAGTGCCCCTGGAGGCTGAGCCAGGGGGCAGGTCGGAGGCTGCAAGGGTGCCACTCGCCCACCCTGGCCGTCACTTCTGGGACACACATTCCAACCCGCCCACCTGCCTAACCCTGTCATTTAGGGTCTGGCCTGAGGCTGGGCCATTCTCAAGGTTCAGGGGCAGGAGGGTCCCATCTCTGAGGCTTTGTTCTTCCATCCACTCTGCTTCTGGTGGTCTTTAGCTGCTCGACGGGTCTGGTTCTTGTCACTGTGCCAACCATGGAGTTCCCCATGACCCCACATGCAAGACTGAGGTGGCAATTGTGCTGCCGGCACCCAGTGGGGGATGGAAGGGGATTCACAGGGCCCTCCCTGATGTCCTGGGTCACCTTACAATGACACAGCAAAGCCTGTTGGAGCGTGGAACAGGCGTCCTCTGCCCACCCCGGGCCACAGTGCTCACCAGAGGTCACGGTTCCCACCCGGAGTCGAAGGTCACACCCAGAGCCATGGTTCGCACCTGAGGTCACATTTCCCACCTGAGGTCACATTTCCAGACTCACAGCTCTGCGCAGCCTGAGGCTTCCCTCTTAAAGGCAAGGGTCCTGCCACCTGAGCACTTTCTCCGACCACAAAAGGCCAGGGCTGCAGTCAGCTAATGCAGCGAGCGTTGTTGGAAAAGCACTGGCCTTCCTGGGCAGGACAACCGGTAGGTGCATTGTGTTCATCCACGGGCCCCGGCAAGGCCAGGGCCCCGGCCACGGAGGTCACCCACTTACGAACGCACCTTTGTCAGCTTCCCCTCAAACTTCCCCAATCTCCCACAGTGCATCCTGGGACCACCTCCCAAATAAACTCTTGGTGCTCAAATCCTCATCTCTGGGTCTGCTTCCAGGAACCAAACAGACAAAACAATTCACCATGAAGAACAGTCAGGATGCAACCCTGAAGTACACTGGGGCCCCACAGCCGCAGCAGCCTCCATACCCTGGAGTTTAGCAGGGTCTCCCCAGCCTGTCCACTGCACCATGATTAGCCACAGAGCTCCACGGGCTTCTGGAAGGATCATCCCTGGGCCAGACAGAGGGCCCGAGCAGAGCCCTCACTTCCATAGGACGTGACAGAGCCCAGAACACCCCCAGTGACACCTGAATCTCCAGCCCCTGAGCAGGCCTCGGAGACTAAACCTAGGGAGGAAGCTTCCATGGGACCTGAGTGCCCTCCCCTCGGGACGCCCCCCTCCCCACCTGGTAGATAATAGATGAGGGCATGTCGGATGGGTGCACGGCACCTGTGAATGGGAAGGCTGTCATTGTCCACATCCTGAAGACCAGGTGGCTGTTCATGTCACCACTCAGTGCAGCTGACACCACTTGATCCTGTGACGGCAGCAGCAGTTGCAGCTGCACCAGAGGCCCCAGCACAAACTGCCCCGCTGAGCCCAGCCAGCCACAGAACTGAGAGATGACAATTGGTTCTTGCTCCAAGATACTGATACGGTTTGGATATGTGGGGAAACATATGGGTGTCCTTATAAGAAAGCCAAACCCAGTGGTGGGTGTCCTTATAAAAAAGCCACATGAAAGCAGAGACACAGACACACAGAGGAGAAGGCCACGTGACGACGGAGGCAGAGACTAGAGCAACGCTGCTGCAAGCCAAGGTGGCTGGCAACCACCAGACCCCGGAGAAGGCAGGAAAGGTCCTCCCTAGGAGCTCAGAGAGAGTGAGGCCCTGCTGGCACCTTGACTTTGGACTTCTGGCCTCCACAGCTGTAAGCGTAAATCTCTATTCTTATAAGCCCACCACCGTTGGTGGCAGTTTGTTACAGCAGCCCCAGGACACCCACACGCCACATAGACAAGGAGGTGCTCTTGCGGCCAGGGCCAGGTTGACTGCTGAGCCTGGCCCATAGGCACAGGACCATGGCCCCCAGCAACCCATGGCCGACCCCGATGCTGTGCAGGCTGATACTCACTGGTGGTGCTTCCAGACATCTGAATGATGCACTTGGAGTCACGGCTCATTTCCCGGGAATTGAAGGGGCGGACCCGCACCGCCACCTTCACCGAAGCCCCGGCCATCTCTGTGGCCTTCGTGGGTCACTCCTCGCAGTAGTGGGAGCCCCAGTGTGGGGGGAACACCTTGGAAAAAAGGGAAACATGAATTAGAAACAATATCTGAGGAGGCAGGACAGGCACTCCGGCTGCAGCTGAAGCCACAGGTCTTTTCCACTCCCCTCCAAAGCTCCCAGTGTGATACATGCATGGGGTGGAATCCACAAGGAGAGGAGGCAGCGCAGATAATTCTAGAAAGCAGGAGCCCAGCGGGACCAGTGGAACCCAGCTTCGCAAGCCTGAGGAAGCTGAAACCCAACAAAAGAAACAGAAACACAGCGACCTGGGTGTGAACGTGAAGGTGGCCTTCACACCCACGGCAAACCCCCCAGGAAGGGTCTTCCCCTGTGGATGCAGGCGCTGGTGGGCTCCATGCCAGGTCCGCGCAGGCCCCAAGAGCCAGTGCTGGCTCCAGATCGACATGTCAAGGACGCTTTAAAACAGAACAGTGTTCTAGAATGCCCCATCACACCCTTCACACCAAGCGCCAGCTGGTAGCCACATCAGCAGTAGTGTGGTCTCTGAATTAGCAAGAAAGAACTTTACTCAGAAATGAAAAGAACAGCACAGACAGCCCTAAGCAATGGGACAAAAGTCAACGTTTTCGGCCCAATGTCCTGCTGGTAATTCACGCAGAAGGTGGAGAGGAACATTCCTGAGCCCCACTGAGGAGAAGCAGGAGACAAGTCATGGGGAATTCGGTACAAGCCAGGGCTGGGGGACCAGCTTCGGCCTGGCCTTTACCCCAGCTGTGTGACAGCTTCCTGGGCCCCAGTTTACCGTCTGTGAAATGACGGGGTGGTGGTCAGGAACCCCAAAATGATTTGGCCTCTCGGGTACTGGGACTCTGAGGAAGGCTGATGAAAACTCCCCGCAAAACAGTGACGAAGCAGCCACTGTGAAAGGTCTTTCCGGGCTGACCAGCCAGATGCTGCTGCTTCCCCGTGGGACTTGCGGCCTGAACGATGGGGCTCCTGGGCACAGGGACAGGGACAGCCTCGGGACAGAGCTGTTGGTTACAGGAATGGCCAGAACTCCATGAAACAGAATTCATGCAGCCTGACACGAGAGGTTTTCGCCAATTGCTGTCTAAATGCTCTAGGGTGCCCACTCAGTGGTGAGTCCCACATCACCAGAGGCATCCAAGTAGAGCAAAGGCTGGGAGGCCTCCTTGAAACCCTTCCACACTGACATTCCATGAAGAGGCAACCTTCTGCCTGGTCGTCCCCATCTGTAAGTGCCACCCTTGGGGGAATCTGGCAAAAAGCCCCCATCCTACAGTGCCCCAGCCTCATAGCTGTGAAGAAGGGACAAGCCCCTCTGGGCTGCCCCTGGAAGCTCCAGGATCAAGAGCAGGAAGGGTCTGTCTGCAGAAGGAAAGGGGGCACAGCAAGCCTGGGTCTGTCTGCAGAAGGAAAGGGGGCACAGCGAGCCTGGGACAGGATCAAGAGCAGGAAGGGTCTGTCTGCAGAAGGAAAGGGGGCACAGTGAGCCTGGGACCAGGGCAGACGCTGAACTCCTGGACCTTGCCCAGGCCACTCCCAGGCTCCCCAGAACTCCTCCGCAGAACAGGCTGGATGTGGGGCAGGGCTGTCCCTCAGGCAAACAGCTCTTCCAGAGGCTACAGGGGAGGGGGATGTGCCAGGCCACCCTATGGCTAAGTGGGGACAAGTTCCTGATGTGGCTGGACTCGTGCCGCCTACACCACAGCCCCTTAGAGCCACCAGGTGCAGCCGCGTCTACACTCCAGAGTGCTTCCGCCACTATCTCTTCTCACAGCCAGGAGTGGCTGCCAGCGTGGACGGGGGGATGACCTCTGAGAATCTGTGTTTCCTTGTGTTGAAAATCCCTGCACTTTTAAAACTGGAAAAAGTCTTAGGACGTTCCAGCCGGGATGGAGAGAGGAACAGGCAAGTTCACCAGTCCCTGGCTAGAGCACAAATCCCGCAAGGTTTCTAGGGAGCAATTCTGCAGCACGCCCTGGGCCTTTAAGAAGGTCTGTATCCCTTGACTCAGTAATCCCAAGTACTAAAATCGGAAATACTTAGAAATTAAGAAAATATTGATGAAAGCAGATATTCCATTCAACAGTGCAAAATTTCCAGTTCTCCCCAAATTTAGCTATATAAATTCAGTGCAATTCCGATAAGCAAAATATTCCAACAGGATGTTCAATGGAATTTGGCAGGATAAGAGAATTTTGAAAAATGAGAACAAAGAGAGGAAACATCCCCTACCAGCTATCATATATCCTACAGAGCTACAATGATTTCCAAAGTCTAGAAATGACACGTGAACAGACTAAGCATGTCCAAAGCAGACACACACACACACACACACACACACACACACACACACACACTAAAGAAAAAGGCAGCAATTTAGGGAATGAGGTAAGATCAGTATGGGACAACTGGCTCTCCCGTATTGAAAAAATAAAGCTATTCTAGAACTTGATCTTTAAAATGTAAAAGTGGTACAAGGACACAGAGAAGCCTCTGTTCTTGGCTCTGGGGTATGGAATATGCACACCACGAAGCATGGAAGGCGAAGGCGGCTTGGTGGGTGCAGTGGCCAGCAGCCGACCAATGCATTACTCAAGAGGCCCGATACCACGCCGCACTGTGTGTGAAGGAATCAGTGTGCAGCCACAAGCCAACATTCCAGAGGAGGGGCTGCCAAGACGGGAGCTGGCCTCCGCAGCACAGCCTCCGGGGTGTATTTGCATTCTGCGCACGGGGCAAGAGACTGGGAATCTGGAGTCTTCCCAGACAGAGAGCCGTTGCTGAGGGACGGAGGAAGCTGCAGAGCTTTTGGGCAAAAAGAAACTTGAGAGGCCAAGATTCCAGAAGACAGAGGTGAACAACTAAGATGAACAAATGCCCAGTCCTTCCCTTAAGACATTTGCCAAATTCTGAGGATATGAGAGGTGAGATTTTAAAAACCCAAGCTGAAAACCAAAGAGGAGTCTTGCACAGTCTCAGGTGGGAAGGAACAAAGATTTGAGTTCAGGGTCCTCCGGGAGGAGAATACCCAGTGATCACACCAGGCTCTGGCTGAAAGCCCAGCAAGGTACGAAACCTAAGAGCAGGGCAGAGCCATAGCTCGGACGAACCTTATGAAAACTACAACCTGCCCTCGCTTGGTTTAATTCGGACTTCAGTCTGGCTGCCTGGGAGAGAAAATGGAAGCCATCTGGAACCTCTACACTCTTTTATTTTTATTTTTATTTTTTCAAACCCAGGATAATCTCTGTACTCTACATTCTTTTAATAGGCAATGTGTGACATCCAATCAAAACTTAGAAGGTATAAAATAAGAAAGGACTCTGATTAAAAACAAAGAGGAAAAATAAAATATAAACACATGAGAAAAAAAAAGACACATATCTAAACATGATCCAGATCTAGGAGTTATTAAACAAGGACTTTAGAACAACCCTGACAAATATATTCAAAATAAGAGCAAAAAGGACAGAGAATATAAATGGAAAATGGAGAATTTTTCCAGAGGACTGGAAACTATAAAAAAAAAAATCAAATGGAAATGCTAGATCTGGAAAACAAAATACCTAAAATTAGGAACTCAAGAGATAGACACAGTTGAAGACAGTGTTAGTAAACTGGAGGACAGGTAATAGAAATATAGAAAATTTAAAACAGATAAAAAGAATAGGAAATATAGACATGACAGCCAGAAAAGTATAGGACACAGTGAAATGGTCAAACATACCTGTAAGTGGAATCTAGAAGGAGAAGAAATGGAATGGGGGTGCCATGGTCTGAATGTTTGTGTCCCCTGTTCCCATCCAAATTCTTATGTTGAAATCCTAACCCCCCAAGTGATGACTTTAGTAAGTGGGGCCTTTATAAGGTGATTAGGTCATGAGGGTGGGGCCTCACAAATGGGATCATGCCCTTATGAAAGAAATGCCAGAGACACCCCTCAGCCCCTCCACCACGTGAGAGCAGGGCAAGAAGGCGTCTAGGAGCCAGAAAGCAGATCCTCAGCCAATGTGCCTTACTCTTGAGCTTCCCAGCCTCCAGAACTGTGAAAAATAAATTCTCTTATTCACAAGCCACCCTGTTTGTGATATTTTTGTTGTATCAGCTGGAATGGACCAAAACAGGGGAGAAGCAGTATTTACAAAACTAATGACCATGGATTGTCCAAAGCTGCTGAAGCACATTGATCCACAGGTTCAAGAAGCTCTACAAACACAAAGCAAGACAAACAAGAAAGCCACACAAGGCACAGCACTGCAACACTGCTAGGACCAAGGATGAAGAGAAAAAGCTTAAAGTCAGCCAGAAAAAAAAAAAAAAAAAGCATGTAACCTTTAAAGGAGCAAAAATAAGATTGACAACTGACTCCTCAACAGAAATGATAGAAACCAAAAGACAAGACTGCAAGATTTCAACATGATCATGAAAGAGGTAACAGTAATCATTTATATTCGATTGTCAAGGATACATGTTGTCATTGCTAGGGTAATCATTTAGAAAGTAGAAAACTAATGTATAACTAACAAGTTAATAGAAAAATATCCAAAAAATTAAAATTTATTGTATGAATCCAATAGAAGGCAGTGAAGGAGAAAAACAGAATATGAAAACATAATTGTCAAGTGGAAAAGAAAGAGTTAAGATTGCAGATAAAAGGTCAACTCAGTATGAATTAAATACACCAAGTAAAACATTAAAAATTGTCAGACCAGATTTTTATAAATTATATTCTGTTCATAAGAGACTCTACATACAAAGACACAGAGAGGCTGAAAACAAAAGGATGAAAATTTGTGCTTGTTCTATCAGCCACTGAGGAGGAGAAAATATATATCGTACACATTATTTTGTTTATTTAGTTTGAGACCGGGTCTCCTGTCTCTGAGACTAGAGTTCAGTGGCATGATCTTAGCTCACTACAGCCTTTACCTCCTAGGCTTAAGCAATCCTCCTGCCTCAGCTTCTTGAGGAGCTGGGACTATGGGCATATGTCACCATACCTGGCTAAATTTTTTATTTTGTAGGGATGGGGTTTCACTATGTTAGCCAGGCTGGTCTTGGGCTCCTGGGCTCAAATGATCCTCCCATCTCAGCTCCCCAAAGTGCTGGGATTCCAGGTGTGAGTCACCATGCCCAGCCTCATACATATTCTTTTAAAGTGCACACAGAATGTGTGCTAAAATTTGCCATATGCTGGTCATAAAGCAAACTTCCACAAATATCCATCTTAAATTCAAGTTATAAGGCAGATGTTCTCTGACCACAATAGAATTATGCTATACATCAATACCCTCAAAAAAAATCACCTACAAAACAACCCAATTGCTTGGACACTAAGCAATACAATTTTTAAAAACCCATGGGTCAAAGAAGTCATCACACTGGATATTAGAAAACATTTTGAATGAGTGATAATGAAGATACATTTCAAAGCTGTGGCAAAGGTCCTGCGGAAGGTAGCTAAAGCCGGACTGACGAGGAAACACATAGCCTTAAAGGCACAGGGATGGGGAGGGCAGCCCCACATCATCCCCAGGTTGGTTCAGACCCCAGTGTCCCCGAGGGAGCTGTGGTTGGCTTGGGAAGACTTTCAGGAGGTCACCAAGGCTTGCCTTGGGAGGGACCCAGGCTTCCACTCTTGTGAATCTTCTAGATCAGTCTCCACGCAGGTCTGCTTTTCAGCATCCAGAACGTGGCTGCTGAGCGTTCTCTCCTGTTTCATTCTTATGGGAGCGTTTAGGTCTTTTTTTGGTTTACCTTTACCTTTATTTTAGTGGCATTTCAGGAGGGAGAGATGATAAATGGATGAATACCACAAACAGGACATGGAAAAAAATAAACCAAATGCAAAAGGGTAAACAGTTTATAATTCTATCTACATAACCGCTAAAACAGGCACGAATTAGCAGAACAAGCACATTAATTAGTAATATACAGCTAAATTTTAAAAACAGCTAAGAGAGTTGAAAAAAATTGGGTATGAGGAACAAAGGCTGCTGATTTTCTAAACAAATTTTATAAAATGTTTGATTGTTCTACACTGTGCTCATACTTAACCTAAAAAGAATCATTTTAAAAAATCATTACCAAACAGTTGAGGTAAAATAAATAGAAATTCCTCATTTTGGTTGACAAATACTGATATATGTGAAATCAAAAATCAGTTTGCTCATTAAAATTAATATTTCCTGCCCGGGTCAGGCGTGGTAGCTCATGCCTGTAATTCCAGCACTTTGGAAGGCCGAGGTGGGTGGATCACAAGGTTAGGAGGTTGAGACCAGCATGGCCAAGACGGTGAAACCCCATCTCTACTAAAAATACAAAAATTAGCTGGGTGTGGTGGTGGGCACCTATAATCCCAGCTACTCGGGAGGCTGACACAGGAGAATTGCTTGAACCTGGGAAGCAGAGGTTGCAGTGAGCCACGATCACGCCACTGCACTCCAGCCTGGGTGACAGAGCGAGACTCCGTCTCAAAAAAGTAATAATAATAACAATAATATTTCCCAACAGAGAGCAAAAGGGCTGAATGGAAGCTTCTACTTCTGCAGTATGGTGGGTGAGACACCCTCCATTATAAAGCACCTAGAAATTCAGGATAAATAACAAACATCAGAAGAAAATTAGAGGACTCCTCAGAAGGAAAGGAAAAAGAGGAAGAAGGAGATGGAATTAAGGTGGCAACAAAGCTACAGGCATTTGGTGATACCAGAAACCAGAGAATTTGGTTTCACCTGCTGTGGGGGGAATGGGAGGCAGGACCTCAAAGAGACAAAAAGTGATGACTGGAACCAAGTCACCACAAAATTGAATCCTTCAAAGCTACAGCCTCTGTGAAATGGAAGGCTGGGTAAAAGAAGGGACACGGGAATTAATCTGAATGACGCCCAGCTCTAGGTGGTGAAAAAGCAAGTGTTACTGAGAATTTAAGGCCACAGGCCTGTCCTCATAAAGTTTGGGTTTCAAATTTACAACACCTGCATGATCAGTGAAATCCAAATTCAAGAAGTTAGCTCAGAGTAGTTCTCAGGAGTTAGGCCCCAAAGCACCTAACAAAGCACATACAAATCCTCCCAGGAGAAGGCTTCCTTTCCCAGGGCCCCAAGATTCCCACATATGAACATCAGCCAAATGTTAGCTCACAATGAAATATTACCAAACACTGGGAGAAGCAATTCACCATAAGCAAGAGTCACCAAAAAAGGAGAGGAGAGAAGAAGGAAAGGGAAGGGAAGGGGAGGGGAGGGGAGGGAAGTGGGGAGGGAGAGGGGAGGGAGAGGGCAGGGAGAGGGGAGGGAGAGGGGAGGGAGAGGGGAGGGAGGGAGAGGGGAGGGAGGGCGGAGGGAGAGGGGAGTGGGGAGGGAGGCGGGAGGGAGAGGGGAGGGAAGGGAGAAGAAAGAGAAAGGGAAGAGAGGGATTAGATCCTCAGCGACTTCAGATATTAAAATTGTGAAATACAGATTATAAAAATAAGTTGGCTTAAATGTTCTAAGAAATAAGCAGAACTGAAAAACAATGGGGTAACATATGGGAAAGAACCATGCAGAACTTTTAGAAATAAAATGTAATTATTTAAAACTGAAAACTTAGCAGACATGCTAATCAGCAAATTAAATGGAGCTCAACACAGAATTAATGAACTGGAAAATATGTCAGAAAAAAATTACCCAAAATGATCCCAGAAAGAAAAAAAGGGCGAAAATATAAAACCAAAGTTCAGAGTCAAGTAATATGGAGGAATTCATTAATTTATCATGACAGGGATTTTAACACACTTCTCACTAATTGGTAGATCAAGCAGATATATAATTAATAAGAGCATAGCATGAATAACACAATAATCATAAATTAATGGACATATGTGCCTCTCGCAGAAAATTAGAGCAACATTCTTTTCCATTACATATGGAACATTTACAATATTTTACCATGTACTAGACCATAAAGCAACTCCCAGTAGCTTTCAAAGACCTGTATAAAATGAATCATGTAATTTGAACACAATTAGACTAAAAATTAATTTAAAAATAATTAAAAACCCATATGTTTAGAAATTTAAAAAATAAACTTCTAAATAACAAACCAAAGGAAAAATCATGATGAAAATATAAAAATACTTACTAAATGGAAATGAAAACACTAATAGCAAAACATGGAGTTTTCATGTCCAGCCATGACAGAGTCCCAGGGACCAGGCTTAACCTCTCACTGTAAACAATAACTAGCAAAGAAGACAAAATATACGAAAATACTGGTGTTCAGACATCAGACAATAGGCAGTGCAGGACTGTGATCCCTGAGAGAAGGGGCACATACTAGGTGAGCCCTGTGATCACTCCAAATCTGCCTGGAGGCAGGCACAGCAAGGTAGGACCCAAGCGCCTTGGCAGCTTTGACAGGTTGAGAAGATGGTGGTCAGAGTTTGGGTGGGCAGAGGCAGCTGGAGGTTGTGAGTCAGAGTTCTGGAAGAAAGGAGCTGCTCAGCAGAAGTCCAGAAATTTGCACCGGGGTACACTTGAGTCTTTTCAGAGTACTAGTCCATTCCTGGATAATCCAGACACAAAAAGACTGGGCCGTTGTAATCTGAACAATTCTCAAAACTCACACAAGGTAAGGAGACATCTGTGATCCTATCAGCCAGAACAGGGAGTCCTCTTGAGCCTCCACTCCAGATATTCCGTGGAGACCCTGGAGAAGGCATGCCCTAGGTGGGGGACTAAACTATTCCTGCAGGTGGTCTACTCTAGACCAGCTCTAGAAAAGCTTAAGAACAGGCCTTGACTGATCAAACTGGTCTTCAAGTAAGTTAAGCGCCTGCCAAGACAAAGCCCAACATGCACTAAAGCAAGAAATAGAAGTCAGACTCTCTAAAAACTAAAAATCATGTCTAGCATCCAATCAAAAATTACTAGACCTGCCAAGAACCAGGAAAATGTGATGCATAACTATGAGAAAAATAAGCAATAGAAACATGAATTTTCCTACAATTATTAAAGAAATTGATCCAATAGTTTAAAAATCTACCCACAAAAAAAGGCAGCAGATTCAGACACTTCTTATAGGTGAGTTCCACCATACATTTGTTTAAAAGATAATATCAGTCCTATACAAACTCTTTATGAGAATGGAGGAAAGAGAGGGAAACACCCAAAGAATATAAAGTCGTCCCTCAGTATCAGTAGGAGATTGGTTCCAGGACCCCCCACAGATACCAAAATCCACAGATGCTCAAGTCCCTCATATGAGCTGGTGTACTATTTGCATTTGACCTACACATCCTCATATATATGTGTGTGTGTGTGTGTGTGTGTGTGTGTGTGTGTGTGTGTGTGTGTGTGTGTATATATATATATATATATATACACAGAGAGAGAGAGAGAGTTTCACTCTTGTTGCTCAGGCTGGAGTGCAATGGTGTGATCTCAGCTCACCGCAACCTCTGCCTCCCGGGTTCAAGCGATTCTCCTGCCTCAGCCTCCCTAGTATGCGCCACTAGGCATGCACCACCATGCCCAACTAATTTTGTATTTTTAGTAGATACATGGTTTCTCCATGTTGGTCAGGCTGGTCTTGAACTCCCGACCTCAGATGATCTGCCCGCGCTGGCCTCCCAAAGTGCTGGGATTACAGGCATGAGCCACCGCACCCAGCCCCTTCCATATATTTTAAATCATCTCAAGATTAGTTATAATACCTAATACAATGTGAATGCTATGTATTAATAAATAGTTGCTATACTGTATTGTCCAGGTAATAGTGACAAGGGAAAAACATTTGTACATGTTCAGTATAGACAAACCATTCTTTTTTTCCAAAAATTTTGATCTGGTTGAATTCACAGATGCAGAACCCACAGATATCGAGAGCCAACTGTACTCCTAGCTCATTCACTGATGCTAATAGAATTTTAGCATCAAAGTAAACAAGAAAAAATTGAGAAAGATTATAGACCAGTTTCACTGATGAACATAGGTACAAAAGTCTGAAAAATTAGCAAGAAAATACAGTAACAAATAAAAAGGGCAATGCAGGTAAGCATATTCCAGGAATACCAGTATAGCTTGACATTAGGATAGCTATTATTATAATTTTCAAATTAAAGAAGAAAGAATATGAGGCCCTCAATAGATACTAAAAAAGCATTCCATAATTTTCAAGACTCATTTGTGATAAAATTCTAAGCAATATTAGAATAAAAGAAAACTTTTTTAACCTCATAATAGCTATCTACTAAAAACCTACCCAAACATCACACTTAATGGTAAAATGATAGGAACATTTCCTTTATATTCAGAAACAAGTCCAGGATGCTTGCTATCTCTACTTCTATTTAACATTGTAGGAGAGGTTCTGGCCAAACCAGTAAGACAGGAAAATAACAAACAACATAAATATGAATTTGAAAGAAAGAAACCAAACTGTCATTATCTGCAGACCATTTGCTCATCTACACATAAATCAAGAGAATCCACAGAAAAAATATTTGAATTAGGAAGGTTCAATAAGGTTGTAGAAATCAAGAACATTCTTATATACCTGATAAAGAATTAAAACATATTTTAAGGTATCCTTTAAAATAATAACCCAACCTGGCACAGTGGCTCACACCTGTAGTCCCAGCTACCATGGAGGCTGAGGTAGAAGGATTGCTTGAGCCCAGGAATTCAAGACCAGCCTGAGCAACATAGCAAGACCCATTTCTAAAACAAAAAAAAAAAATTTTTTTTTTTTAATTAGCCAGGAGTAGTGGCAACATCTGTAGTACCAGCTCCTTGGGAGGCTGAGGTAGGAGGATCACTTGAGCTCAGGAGTTCGAGGCTGCGGTGAGCTAATGATCACACCACTGCACTCCAGGCTGGGCAACAGAGCAAGATCTTCTCTCTAAAAAATAAATAAATAAAATAATAACCCAAACTATAGAGTACCTAGGAATAAATGTCACTAACTTTTTTTTTTTGAGATGGAGTCTCACACCGTCGCCTGGGATTGGAGTGCAACGGTGCGATCTTGACTCACTGCAACCTCCGCCTCCTGCGTTCAAGTGATTCTCCTGCCTCAGCCTCCCGAGTAGTTGGGATTACAGGCGCCCACCACCACGCCCGGCTAATTTTTTGTATTTTTAGTAGAGATGGGGTTTCACTGTGTTGGCCAGGCTGGTCTTGAACTCCTGACCTCGTGATCTGCCCGCCTCAGCCTCCCAAAGTGCTGGGATTAGAGGCATAAGCCACCACGCCCAGCCGTCACTAACTTATTATAAAGAAAATTGTAGAACTTTACTAAAAACATTGCGGAAAATCTAAATAAATGGAGAACTATAACTTATTGGTGGAAAATAAATCTCAATATCTTGAAAACATTTAATTTTACCCAAATTGATTCAAAAACTCAATGTCATTTCATATGAAAACTCAAGTTCTTTTGTGAATCATGACAAGTTGCTTCTAGAAATGTATATGGTAGAGTAAGATGTTAAGAACATCAATAACAAGTCTGAAGAAGAAGAAAAAAAAGACCAGAGGGCAGAGGGCAACACGCCCTATGATCTCGAGCCTTGGTAGAAAGCCCTGGCATGAAGTCGGGCTGTGCTGGGACAGGAAGAGGCCATCACGAGTGCAACAGAAGGGACCCCAGGAACAGACCTGCAGAAGCACAGCCCTTTTGACATCTGGGAAAGGTGGCTTTACAGAGCAAGGGGGAGAGGACGGACGACCGAACCAGCGATGGAAGGAACACTGGTTGGCAATATGGAGAATACACCATTAGATCCCTTTATATGTCAAATAAATTCCATGTGGATTAAAGACCTCTATGTTAACAAAAAATGTTTTGGAAGAAAATAAAGAAGAGTTATATCTTCACGCTACCCCTAGGGAAGGAATTTTTTTTTTTTTTTTTTGAGACAGAGTCTCACTCTGTCGCCCAGGCTGGAGTGCGGTGGTGCAATCTTGGCTCGCTGCAACCTCTGCCACCAGGATTCAAGAGAAATACCTAATGTAAATGACGAGTTGATGGGTGCAGCAAATCAACATGGTACATGTATACCTTTGTAACAAACCTGCACGTTGTGCACATGTACCCTAGAACTTAAAGTATAATAAAAAAAAAAAAAAGAGTTTCTTGTGCCTCAGTCACCCAAGTAACTGGGGTTACAGGCATGTGCCATCACACCTATTTTTATTTTTATTTTTATTTTTTGTATTTTCAGTAGAGATAGGGTTTCGCCACATTGGCCAGGTTAGTCTCAAGCTCCTGGCCTCAAGTGATCCACCCACCTCGGCCTCCCAAAGCGCTGGAATTACAGGTGCGAGCCACCGCACCCAGCCGGAAAGATTTCTTAACCCACCGAAAACACCAAAATGAAAGTTTGGGTATCAAAAGATATCACTAAAACGGTGACGAGAACCCCACCCACCTGGAGAAGGTATCTGCAACACATACAATTCAACGAAGGATTTGTACGCAGAATACACAGAGGACAGATAAAAATAAAAATTTACAAAAATCACAGAAGAAAATGGGCAAAAAGATATGAACTGGCAATTTACATGAAAAGATACTCAACCACGATAGTAATTCGGAAACCATATTTTCAAACTGTATCCACCAGATGGCAACATTTAAAAGTAGGGCACACCAAACGCTGTCAGAAGGAGGCCACAGGAGCTTTTACAGCTCACCTTGGGAGTGAACGGGTGCCACCACTTTGAAAATAACATGGTAACATCTGGAGGGGCTGCAGACCTTGTGCCCCAGCAACTCTGCAAGTAGAGATGCTATACATATTCACAGGGAGAAATACACCCAAATGCAGAATGACTTATCATTACAAAAAGAATGGAGACAGCCCAAATGCCCAGCATCCAAGATGCAGATGAATGCAGAGTCGGCTGCAGGCCCCTCGAAGTTTCAAACACACAAGCAGCACTCCACAGACTCAGGGCAGACGATGACACTCCAGGAGCGATCAGCACCGAATTCATGGTGCTGGGCGTGGAGGGGGTCTAAGGGCCTGGACGCCACCAAGGCCACTCGATGTGCCCGCCATGGTGACGTGGAAGGACCTCCTTCCCGCCAGGCCCCATCTGTCCGTCTTCCTCCCCAGGGTGATGTGGGTCGGCCGAGATGCCGGGTGGTGGTGAGCCCTCTGCCAGTGCTACCCTTGGGGAGCAGGTTGGAAATGCCTTATTTTGAAAGCTAATGTGGGCATGTGGCCGTTGGTTGTAATATTCTGTATTCCTTGTTGTATATTTTTGCTACCACATGACACAATTTTTAAAGATGTAACTATTGGCCGCGTGCAGTGGCTCGTGCCTGTAATCCCAGCACTTTGGGAGGCCGAGGTGGGCAGATCACTTGAGGTCAGGAGTTAGTGGCCACCCTGGCTTGTAACATGTTGAAACCCTGTCTCTACTAAAAATACAAAAATTAGCTCAGCGTGGTGGCAGGCACCCATAATCCCAGCTACTTGGGAGGCTGAGGTAGGAGAATCACTTGAACCCGGGAAGCAGAGGTTGCAGTGAGTAGAGATTGCGCCACTGCACTCCAGCCTGGGCTACAGCGTGAGACTCCATCTCAAAAAAAAGAAAAGAAGAAAAGAAAAGAAAAGAAACTATCTTCAAGAAGTTGTTCTGTCAGCCAACCTGAGAGGGAGCCACGTGGCCCCAAGGGTGGCCAGAGCCTATGGGCGTGGCTGATGGCAGAAGGCAAAGCTGAGGATGGGGGTCTGACACAGCTGAACCCCTGAGAAGGCGGGGGGTTGCGGTCCACAGTGCCAGACACAGCACATGCCAGAGCCCAGGAGAAAGGGTGAGCTCCCCTCAAAGACAGAGAGGGGCACCTCTGGGACAGGTGGGGCAGGAAGTCATCAGAAACAAGAAGCATGAACTGGTCCTGTGGGGTGAGGTCACGCTGGCTGGAGTGGCCAGAGATGAGGGCACAGGCTCAAGGGTGGCAGGGAGGAAGCCAGAGGGGTTGGGATGACTGCTCAGAGCCAAAGAAGATGCCGAGAAGCTGGTGGTGGCAGGGTGGGGTCTGCGCTGGGGACATAGAGGCAACACCACGGGTGTCTGAGGCTCTGACTAGACCCAGGATGCACCCACAGGAAGTGGGCAGAGAAGATGGCCCGAGGGCAGGAGAGGGAAAGAGGGCTGGGGGATGGTGGCCATCCATGTGGGTATGTGGGTATGGCCAGCCGGCTGTGATGACTCCAGGAAAGGGAGACCATGAGCCCTGAGCCAGGGGCCCCAGGACAGAGGAGAGGGGAACAGAATCCATTCACTTGGTAAAAATGCATGCAGAAAACCCACTGGGCGCACCGGGCCACGCCCCGCAAGTCACTGCAGGCACAGAGGGCAGGGTGGCCCCGGAGGAACTCCCCTGTTGCTTTGGGGCTCTGGGACCATTTCAGGTTCCTGCCTCACCCTGGGGTGGGGGCATCAGCAGAAAAAGCCAAGTCCCTGTGGAAGGGGGCTGGGGGTGGCACCAAGGCAGATGACAAAGCGTGCCTCAGCTCGAGGAGTGTCCAGGAAAGACCAGGCATGGGGTGACGGTGAGGGCCAGACACAGGCCTGGCACAGGCACTCCCTGCCCAGCTGCTGGAGAGGCCCATGCTGCAGAGCATCGCACAGGCATCCGCCTGGAGCCCAGACGCCCTTCACCTCTGGGTCTGCCTTCACCTCAGGGGCCCGCCTTTACCTCGGGATCTGCCTTCACCTTGGGGATCCACCTTCACCTGGGGATCCACCTTCACCTCAGACATCTGCCTTCACCTCGGGATCCACATTCACCTCAGGGATCTGCCTTCACCTCAGGATCTGCCTTCACCTCGGGATCTGCCTTCACCTCTGGGTCCGCCTTCACCTCAAGATCCACCTTCACCTCAGGGATCAGCCTTCACCTCGAGATCCACCTTCACCTCAGGCAGGGATCAGCCTTCACCTCAGGGATCCGCCTTCACCTCGGGGATCCGCCTTCACCTTGGGATCTGCCTTCACCTCTGGGTCCGCCTTCACCTCAAGATCCACCTTCACCTCAGGGATCAGCCTTCACCTCGGGGATCTGCCTTCACCTCGGGGATCAGCCTTCACTCGGGGATCCGCCTTCACCTCGGGGATCCGCCTTCACCTCGGGGATCAGCCTTCACCTCGGGGATCCGCCTTCACCTCAAGGATCCACCTTCACCTCGGGGATCCGCCTTCACCTCGGGGATCCGCCTTCACCTCGGGGATCTGCCTTCACCTCAAGGATCCACTTGCTCCCAGTTAGACAAGTGGCCCGCCATGTGCACACCCAGCAGGGCCAGCCCAGAACAAAGCATCGGCATGGGCCACTTCCTGAAACACTGATCCTTCTTGAAGAGTTTGAGAAAAAAACCACAGCAGGTTTTTCTTAGAATTACAACCGATTGTCATAGAGGAGTGTCCTGGCCACCCCTGGAGAGTAAGGAGCCCCAGGTCCAATGACTGCAGGCACACTGGTTGCTCTGAGACCCCATGGGATAGGGCCAGAGCCCACCACACAGCCCCCAACTGCAAAGGGCGTGGGAGAGGCGTTTCCTGGGACCTCAGCCCTGAGTGCCGCTTGCAGAGGGCAGGGAAGGGGCAGGGGCTCAGGCATGGGAACTCAGGCACCTGGTGGAAGGCAGGGGTGAGAAGTGAGGCTAACATGGAAGCCCGCACCCCCAGCCCCGCCATCCACCCTCCGAGGGTGGTCACTGCCAGTGCCCCCAGGTGAGCAGCTGAATGGCTTTCTCCATAGCAGGAGTGAAGCCTTCAGTGAGCTGAAGAATGCAGTACCCCTCATTCTGATATGCAGGGGCAGCTTGGTAGCCAGCCCCACCCCTTCACCTAAGCCAGGGCCTGCCATGGACACCCCACCCCCCATGGACACCCCACCCCAGCTCTGGTCAGAACCACTCCGGGGTGAGCAGCAGCAGCCCTGCCGCTCCCGCCAATGGCCTCCCTAACACATGATGTGCCAACTAATGCCTTCCTCGGGCGTGAGAACAGAGTGTGAAAGGGAAGGACCAGAGCTGCCAGCAGAAAACAGGCCCTGCGGGAAGGACAGGCAAAGCATGGAACAGACGCGAAACAACCGAGCACAACCTCTGTCCACGCACCCGGGAGATTCAAGAAGATGCTCATTTTCAAAACAAGGGCAGAATGCTATGAGACAGAACATTTAGAAACGTGAAGATTTTAGAGATGAAAAATGTAAGAGATGAAGTACAAGATTCCAAAAACCCTAGAAAAGGCAGTCAAAGGACTTTAGAATATAAACAAGGAGACAGAATATACAAGAGAAAAGCAACCAAACAGACCAACCCATGAATTCAGGGTAAAAGAAAAAATGAAAAGGAGGAAATTACGAACAAATAGAAGTAGAGACCCTGACTTCAGTGTGAAGGGCCCACCGAGTGCCAATAAATGCGAACCCCATCCTTACACCCGTCGACATGAAGTTAGAACACCAAGGAAAAGACAGGATCCTAAAAGCTTCCAGGGAGAAAAGACGAGTTGCCAACAAAGCCTGCTCATAAGTGACCTGATGCAGAAAGCCATGGTGACCCTATCCTTAGAGTTCCCAGGAAAGCTACTTAGGAACAGAAGTACCCCAGACACTACCACCCAGAGCAAGGACACAGCAAAAACACTCTCACACACCAAAGACTCATGCACCCTTTCAAGGAAGTCACACAAGGATGTGCTCCAGCAAAACAAGACAGGAAACCAAGAAACAAGCAGCTCTAGGGTCCAAGAAACAGAAACTCCAATCCAGGGGACATGGCAAGCAGCTGCCAGAGGCCACTTCTGGAGGTGCGATAAAAGGGAAAAAACTCATTCAAGAAAATAAAAAGGCTGGGCGCGGTGGCTCATACCTAAAATCCCAGCACTTTGTGGGGCCGAGGCAGGAGGATTGCTTAAGCCCAGGAATTCAAGACTTGCCTGGGCAACATGGCAAAACCCCGTCTACAAAAAATTAGCCAGGTGTGGTGATACATGCCCATAGTCCCAGCTATTCAGGAGGCTGAGATAGGAGGATCACTTGAACCCAGGAGGTTGAGGCTGTGGTGAGCTGTGACTGCACCACTGCACTCCAACCTGGGTGACAGAGTGAGACCCTGTCTCTAAAATGAAATAAAATAAAGATAACCAAGAGCTGGAGAAAATAAAACACCAACCAAGAACATCTTGCCTAAGTACAGAGCTGACGCAAAGGGTGTGGGGCCGTAAGCGTGCTCCTCTGGTCTGCGCCTAGCCCACTGCAGCCACTACTTGTCCTAGAGCTGCAGCCCTCCCAGGCCCCAAGGACCTGCACCCATGGTGGGGCCCTGGCCCCAGAAGCAGGAGAGTGGGGACCAGATGACACCAAGCAACTGAGTACAGTCCCACCCCAGCCCCACAGCAGCTCCTCAGGAGCCACACCGACCCATGACCTTGAGCATTGACTGCCCAGCCCTGTCCTGCACCATCCTGGCTTGAGCTGATGACAGATGGAGAAGGAAACTGAGGCCCACCCTCAGGTGGGCCTTTCTGGCAGGGCTGAGGTGGGGGCAGGAACCCCTTGAGGGCATTCCTGGCACTACCAGCCTCAGGGAAGGGGCCCTGCAGGAGCAGTCCGGGGCCATGCCTGTCCCTAGAGCTGCATTTCAGGAGCCCCACGGGAGGCCCAGAGGGAAGGGGGTGCCTGTCATTCCTAAGCCAGGCTCAGGAATCCATAGGTTCTGAACAAGAGACACTGAGACCCAAAGACACCCCAACCCCTGAGAGGGTGGCCAAAGCTCAACCTGGACTCTACCAGAAAATGCGGTACCTGGGCTAGAACAACCGGCTCAGCCATGGAAGAGCACTGACTGAGTCTTCACTCTGTGTGAGGCACCGTGCTGGCCCCCGTGGGGGTGGGAGAAGTGGGGGGTAATGGGGGTGGAGGAGAAAGTGGAGGGATGAGCAGAAAGCACTAAAGGAGCTACCATCCTCGGAGTCCCAGGTCCTCACTTTACAAGCCACATGGGCTTCTCAGGAGCCTCAGTCTCCATACCTGGAAAATGGGAACACCACCACCTGGCTCAGTGGGGTCCGAGCCAAGCGGTGCTGTTCTCATTGTTCAGGTGTGGAGTGGCATGGGATAAAGGGAAGCACATGAGGTGCACAGTGCAGGCTATGACCAGTGTTCTCTGTCTTCTTCCCCACCCCTGGAAACCTATGGTTGTGGAGGGGGTGCCAATCTGAGGGGTAGGGGTGACAGCAGGCATCATGGCAGAGGCAGCATTTGAGGGGGACCTAAAACCTAATGTGGAGGTTGAGTAGAAAGTATTGAGAAGAAACCCAGGCAAGAACAAAGACAGGGACAAGGGATGCAGAGTGTGTGTGTGTGTGTGTGTCTATCTGCATGCATGCATGTGTGTATGCATGCGTGCATAAGCATGTGTGTATGTGTGTTTGTATGTGAATGTATGTGTGGGTATGTGAGTGTGCATGAGCATGCATGTGTGTGTATGAGTGTCTGTGTGTGTGAATGTATGCATGGGTGGGTGTGCGTGCATGTGTGTGTCAGTGTGTGTGCAATGTGTGTGTATGTGTATATGCATGTGGATCTGTGTGTGTTCGAGTGGATGCATGTGACTATGAGTGTGTGTGGCCGGGTGACTGCTCTGGACCCCTCCAGGGCACTGTGGGGAGGGGTGAGGAATAAGCACGAGGATGCCTGGAGAGCCAGGCACTGGCCTGCCCTCCCTATACCCCAAGGCGTCCTGAAATCTGGCAGGGATGGCAAGCAGGAGGGACCCCCAAAGGTCATCTGAATCCCCAGGCTCTGTGGCAGCCAGGGCTGGGCCTGCCCAGACCACAAGGCCTGGGATTAGGAGATTAAATCCAGGGTGAGGAGGCTTTAGAGAGGCAGCAGCCCCTCCTACTCATTCCGGCAACCCCAGCCTCTGAGTCCCACATCCAAGTCCCATATCCACACATCCGGATCAATCTCTACAATGCACTAGGCCTGCAGGAGGCCAAAGCTGGCAGGATGGGCTGGCAAGGAGCAGGAGAGGTCAGGAGGCTCAGTCTCCACCTGCTGCTGACCTTGACTGTGCCCTCTGCCCCACAGCACCCCCAACTGCAGCACGTGGGCCAAGCCCAGCCAGCTGTTCCCTGGGTTCTTGAGGCCCTGGGGGTGGGGGCACTGGGGTGGCGAGAGGCCAGCCAGGCTGAGGGTGGGGATCCCAGTGGGGCTCAGGAGCTAAAGAGCAAGCTGGCTTCGTCAGGTGGGGCCACTGTGCCCCTGCCTCTGCCCAGGTGCCATGCCAAAGGACTGGGATGCAAAGCTCTGGGATCCCAAACCCTCCTGTAGCAGGGATGGGCCTATGGCCGGAGGCCACCACCTAAGGGGCAGAAGCCGGCAAGGACGCAGGCCCAACGCTGCCTGGCTGTGTCCCTGGGTACCCTGGCCACCCATGGACAGGTTCGGGGCAGGGTGTGGCCCAGCCCCCCATGGTTCTCAGAGACGCTCCTGGGCATGGAGTGGGTGATGGGCAGTGGGAGGTGACACCTTGAGTCCCTTTGGCCACCCATATTGTGGGTGGTGAGCCACATCCTTTGGGCCTAAGAACACTGAATGTGGCAATGACCTAGAGAGGTCCCCAGACTCTGCAGGCAGACAACCACGTGCTCATCCTACCAATCACAGCCACCCAGAGACCCAGGCCCACCACTCTCCACCCGTGGTAGCGGCTCAGGCCCCTCCCAGCTCACTGATAGATGTGCACGGATGGTCTCAGGCCTGACGGGATTGGCCAGCTAGGCATGTGCAGGGCTCAGTAAATCCCAATGACCTAATGCTGGTAGCCCCTCCATAGACCCCAATCTGGTAGGACCAGGGCTCTGTGGGAACGTCTCCCTTCCCGTCCCCACCACACCCAGTTCACCTGCTTTGGCCGGCCCGGCTGAGTGGCCTGAAGAGATGCCCTCAGTCTCCTCCAGGGCCTCCTCCTCCAGCTCACATCTCCCCCTCCACCCTTCACAAATCCCACAGGAGGACTGCCCTACCCTACTCCCAAAGGGCATGGTGGGCCCAAGGTCAGCAGTCATGACATCAGTGAGGACTGCGGGGCACAGGCTGGGCGGCCGGGCAGTGACCCCAGTTTTAATCCTGATCCAGCCAAGCATCATCCCTGGGCTTTGGGCAGAACTCCAGGCTCCACCTGTTTGTGGCTGGCCGGCTGGAGCCCCAGATGGGGCAGTCTGTGGGACATTCCAGTGGGGAAGGGGGAAAGGAGGCACCCAGGGGGGCAGCACCCGGCTGGGAGCAGGGCTGGCACACAGCAGACATCTTGCAGGCCCTCACCACAGGGACCTCCCTGGGCCCGGCCCGGGACCCCTGCCTTGACAACTGATTCCAGCCTCTGTCCACCCTGCGGACCTGCCCGGGGAGGACACCTGCAGGGCCTCAGATCCATCTGCAGCCGGAGTGAAGCTGTTCATCCGGGCCCTGCCTTGGACCCAGCACCCTCCCGAGACTTCACCCCGGGTAAAGGCTGCCCTCCTCCGATCCCACGCTGGGCCCCTCAGCCAGCGGCCTTACCGCATCCCTCCTCATCCCTCCGGTCCAGAGGGTTCCTGGGTCTTGACTCCAACCACCCCATCAACCAAACAAGGAACCCCTCTAAATAGACGGTGTGTGTTCAGTGCAAGGGCAGACCTGAGCCCTGGCCCTGGCCCATCCCACACCCTGCACCGCAAGCTCCACATCTGCTCCACTCCTGACTGCCCCACTCCTGACTGCCCCACTCCACAGCCTGGCTAAGGCTGGTGGCCAACCACACCTGCAAAATGGCCGCCGCAGGTGCAGCCCCAACCCCCACGTGGACCCCAGAGCTTCCCTTCAAACCCTCTGCTGCCTTCTCACACCACGAGGGTGCTGGCATGGCTTCCCTGGCAAAGGCCCCGCCAGCCTGAGTGCGACCTGGTGTCCCGCAGAGCCGAGCACGGTGTCGCGCTGTGCGTCCCCAGGGTGAGGCCAGTGCCAGCCCTGCGAGGCAGGGGCCTCTCCGCACCGCCTCCTCTCCGCAGCCGCAAGATCCAATCCGCTTGCCCTGGCAGGCCTTTAATTCCAGCAATGCAGGCACCCCTTGGAAAGGGCTGACGCTTGGGGAAGGGGTCCTCCAGTCTCTGGGGGAAAGTCCCTATTCCCGGGGACGTGGGCGCGCATCGGGTCCGCGCCGGGCGACGTCGCGCTCGCGCCCAGCAGGCCCCATGACTTGGCATTCCCTCCTTCCCCTCCCCCTCCCGCCCCTGCGGCCGGCAGGGCCCCCCCAACCCCACCTACCGGCGCCCAGCGCCCCGCTCCTGCGGACCCTCCCTCCCGGCGGGGATGCTGCCCCGGCCCTTCCCAGCGAGAGGGCAGCGCGGCTGGTTTGGGGGAAGTCAGCGTGAGGAGCGGCTTAAAGCGGGAGTGCGAAGGTCTTCGCGGCCACTGTTCCTTCGTGTCATCCGAGCCCGGGCGCCGGGGGCGCGCCGCCAGCCTAGACCCTGCGGCCCCGCAGCCCCTCCCTCGCCGCCGGGCCACACCTGTTACAGGGGCGCTGGCTGCTGAGACGCAGGCAGTGCTCGCCGGCGGCCCCTCCCAGGTGCTGGGTCTTTCTGGAAGGGAGCTGGGGTCTCTGGCGTGGGAGGGGGTGATGGGCAGGCCGGCCGTGCAACGAAGCGGGTGGCCAGGCCCCAACGCCGCAGCCCCCGCCCCGCCCGCCTGTTTTGCTCCCGGCTCCAGCATCCGCCCTCCCCCACCCCGGGAACCGGAGCAGCTGCCCGCGCCCGGCCGCCCTGCGCGCTCTCCCCTCGGGCCGAGGCGCTGCAGCCGCGCACCCTCCCAGGTGCGGCGTCAGCGTCCTCAGCCCCGCTCACCATCCCTCCCCTCCCCCGCCGTCTGGGCGCAGCCCCTCCCGCAGCCCCGCCGGTGGCTCCTCTCCAGGGAAGCGGAATAGCCGGGGAAGGGCGGGGGTATCCCGATCCCGCCGGCCGGGCGAGCCCTCCCGAGGGCGACCCCCGCCCGCCTAAGCCGAGGGTCCCGCTGCAGCCGAGATCGCGGCAAAGGGACCTTTTCCAGCGGCACCTGAAGGGCGGACACCCCTGAATTTCCCCCATTGTTCTCTGCGGAGATGGAGGAAGGTCTGGAAGTGAAGGGGCCTCGCAGTGCCTGCGCTTTGGGCGGCAACAAGGGCGCCGGGCCGGAGCTCCCCGCCCTGGGCGCAGTGGGTGCAGGTGCGGGCTGCGGGCGCGGGCTGCCGGGCGCAGGTGCGGGGCGAGGGGCGCGGGCGCGGGAGGCCGGGCGGGCGGCGGCCTTACCTCTCCGGCGTCACTGGCGGCGGCCCCGCATGGGCACTGGCATGGGCGCGGGCTCTCGAGCCCGGAGCTGCTGCCGCTCGCCGGCTGCTCTGCGCTGTGACGGCGCCGCCGCGTGACGGGCTGCGCGCCCCCGGCCCGGACCGCCCCGCGCCCCTCCCGAGGCGCTGGTTGGCTGCGCGCGGCGTCCGAGCTCCAGTCGCCAGCTGGTTTGTCGCGCGGGGAGAGGGACGGGCGACGCGGCCGCCGCGGGGATGGGGCTGGGGACGGAGGGGGCCGGGGCCGGGCTGTGACGTCACCGCTGACACCGCGGCGGGCCCCGCGGAGGGTGGGGGACCGACACCCGGCTCGGACGCAGCGTCCCCTCCCCCGGCGTGCCCCTGAGACCTCGCGGGGGAGGGACCCGGCGGCGCCCCGTCCCGAAGCCCCGCGTGCACCTGAACTTGCCCGCGGACCCCTCGCCGGGCCGTCCCCCACCCTGGCCCCTTTCGAGTGAAATCGTAAAACGTCCACCTGCCCCCGCTCTGAGCCAGCGACAGACGCATCGTGGGGGGCGGGCGGGGCTGGGGAGGGAGGGCTCCTTGCGCCAGGGATGCTGGCTCCGGGTGTAACAGGTGCGCGGTGAAATCGCATCTTGTGTCGGGGCCGGGGCGCCGGGGGAAGAGCAGCAGTGACCCAGGCCCTCCCCGCCGGATGATGCAACCCGCCCGCGGACCCGCCGCCTCGCCTCTACCGCGGCTCGTGGGGACCCCCCGCCCTCCTCTCGCCCCACCTCTCCAGGCCCCCATTGTCCTCACCCCAGCCTGTCCAGTTTAACTTCCTTGGACCCCCAAGTCACACGCCGCTCGGGGGCCACCCCGGCAAACCCCAGCCTGCGTCACCCGCCCCCAGCCGCCTTCCTAGTTCCAGGGGCTGACTGGTATCTCTGTGCGCGCCACCGTCCTCCCTCCACCGTCCCAGGGCTGGGCAACTTCGACAAAGCCTCTGGGCAGCTCGCCCATGGGAACCTCCCCGCACTGCGGTGCGGGGGTGCACGGATTTCGGGCCACCCTGAACCCCGGGGCTGGGTCCCCTCCAGCCCAGCCCCTGCCATCGAGCCCCTGCCATGGGCATCCTGGCGTCGCCTGGCTAAGCCTCCCTGGCGCCCAGCAGGGGCCTGCGCTGCCCTAGCGGCCTCGCCGTTAACCATTTCATCCACACTCCTGGGAGAGCCGGCTTCACCTCAGTCCCGACAGCTGCGTGCGAGCGCCTTGCAGGTGGCTGGGGGAGATTCACATCCACTTCTGCAAGACACGGGCCCCCCACTCCCAGCCCCAGCCCCGCCGAAACCAGCTAGACAGCTCCTCCTCCTTCACTATTTCCTGGAACCGCCGGCATGAAAGAGAAATCAATTGTTCTTCCTAACCCTGGCAGAAACAATAAAACCATCTGGGCTTCTGGGGCTGGGGTCTTTATCACCTCCGTTTTCCTCATGCTTTTTAATCTGGCAAGTTCTCTATTTCTCGAGGCAATAGACATTTTTCTAGGAATTAATCTATTTCACGTTAATATTTAAATGACTAGCATATCTTTTTTTCTTTATATTCTGGCTTTTTATGGTTTTGTTTGTTTGTTTTGACAGGGTCTTGCTCTGTCTCCCAGGTTGGAGTACAGTGGTGCCATCTTGGCTCACTGCAGCCTCAGCCTCCCCAGCTCAAGCAATCCTCCCACCTCAGCCTCCCTAGTAGCTGGAACTACAAGTGTGTGCCACCACGCCCAGCTAATTTTAGCATTTTTTGTAGAGACAGGATTTTGCCCTGTTGCACAGGCTGGTCTCAAACTCCTGAGGTCAAGCCATCCACCCACCTCGGCATCCCAAAGTGCTGGGATTACTGGCATGCATTTGGCCTGTATTTTGTTTTTTGCATTTTTCTCTTTTAATATTTTTAAATATTTTCAGAGCTCCAACTTTTAGTTCTGTTAAACGTCTTTCCCGTTATTTCATTTGCTTCTGTCTTTCTGTATTATTTCCTTCCTTTGTGGTTCTTTGGATTTGATCTGTTCCTCTGTCTTGAACCAAATGCTTAGCTCCTTTTTAAGCCTTCTGATTTTCCAATAGATCTACTGTATTAAAAGCTACAAAATTCCTTCTACAGAACTGTCTTGGCTGAGTCTCACAAATTTGGACATAAAATGTTTTCATTATCATTCATATCTAATATTTTCTACTGTTCCTGATGATCTCCTTTTAAACCCAGGGTTATTTAATAATGTTATTTACTTTTCAATAGTGTTTCTTTAATTATAACCTTTTGTTACCAGGTTCTAATTTAATTGCATTGTTGTCAGAGAACAAGTCTGTATTCAGTCAAGATCCTGGCAGGAAGCAGATGGCACACTCAAATTGGGTAATTTGAGAAGGGTTTGATAAAGAGACTATTGATAAAGGTGTGGGCAGGAGGTCGGAGAGCCCCAGGGGCTTGGTGGCACTGCAGCCTTACTGCCTGCAGGGAGCGGGGCGGGCAGAAGCAGAGGCTCAGGTGGAGGGGTGCAGCCAGCCAGAGTTTCCTAGGAAGGGAGCCAGGGCAGCAAACCCTGGACCTCACTCTCCCTCTTCCCCTGATCTGGTAGTGCTTTGGCTGAACCCAAGGGGAAGCTGGAGGTCAGGGGCACCCAAGGAGTATGGTGCATTTCGGGTGGTCTCCTGAAGAATGGGCAAAGGGAACTTAGAAGCACAAACAGAAACTAGCTGCCCAGTCTGCATGGCCCTGTGCCTCTGGAATTCATTGAGGCTTCTTTAGGTCCTAACACATAGTCTATTTCATACATGTTCTACCTGTGTTCAAAATGGTTGTACTCTCTGCTTGATGGGCAGAGAGTTCTCTATATTATGTATTAGTTCAAAATTATTAATTCTTGACTCAGTAAGGTAAGATCCCAGATAGAAAAGCTTTTTAAGGTTATTAATCATTTTGATCAGGATTTGGAGATTTCTGCTAATTTTTGTCAATGTGAACTATGCTTATTATTTTTTAAAATTTCCAGTTAGAATTGTTAAAATATCTGCTTCTCCCAGCAGTTCCGGCACATGTTGCTTGCTGTGTATTGTGGCCATATTTTTAGATATTAGAATGATTGTGATAGACATGCATTATCATTCTGTGGCTCCTTGCGCCCATATGTATGTGTGCCCTTCTTTGTCTGGCGTTTGGAGTTTTTAAATTTTTTGCCTTAAATTTGAATGTCATACATTACATGTCAATCCAGTTTTCTTTGGTTCATATTTGCTTGCTATGTCTTTTGCCAACTTTCTTATTTTAAGCTTTTTGTATCTTTTTAAAGCGTATCTCTTTTAGGCAACCCATTGTGTAAATTTTTAAATGTAATCTGTCTCTGCCTTTTAATTGGAATTTAACCCACTTACATTTACAGCAATTACTGTTATATCAAGACTAAGCTTTGCTGCCTGTTCCCTGACTGCTCCTCATCAAAGACAGAGTCTGAGATACCAGTGCTGGCCCCTCCGTCCCACTCAAGACCCCTCCGACGGGCAGCTTTATCAGGGACACCCATCAGCTTGGCCGAAAGCTTCTGGGAGGGGGACTGCAGTCTGAGACTCTTCCTACCCAAGCCCCTTCCTTCCCTGTCTCTTTTGCAGGCCTCAGACCTGCCTCAGGATCTGAAGCTCTTCTGCCTGCACCTGCTCCCTCCCCTCTATCCTGCATGGGCTTACTCCCAATCACCACTCGCCCCTCCTCTAATGCCACAGAGACATGGACTGACATGGATCCCCGGGGAGCATGTTTTTCTCTCCAGCTGGCCATATTCCTTGGGCGTCGAGTGACTCTGGCCTGTGAGCGCCCAGTGGTGTCGGGACAGCAGCTGCTCTACTGGCAGCCTGCAGTGGGGAGGCACAGAAGCCAGGCCCATACAGGGAAGGCCTGGAGTGCAGGCTCCTTCCTGAAACTGATCACCACTCCTTGCTGCCTCCCTCCCCAGAGCCCACAGAGGAGCCACTTCCCTACCTTGTGCTGCATCATGCTGTAGCATCTGAGAGGAGGCTCTCTGGACAGCTCTCTGTTGTCTCCAGGGCCGTCCCACCCAGGAGGACCTCGCAGCTCCCTAACAGTCCCCGTGATGGCTTCCTGTGGTCCAGGCCATCCCAAGACGGGCAGGAGAGCAGGACTAAACTGTGTCTCTCCTGCCCGTCCCCCTTGCCCTGGCTGCAGCCTCCACCCACTTCACAGACCTCATCTATTTTTCCAGTGGGAAAAGGCCCAGTAACAGAACATGCGGGGCCCAGTGCAAAATGAAATAAAGCCGCCTTGTTCAAAAGCCTGGCAAAGTGCAGTTAAAGGTGCTAAATATACAAACCTCTTCCTCCATTCCCCAGGCTCTCTTGATTAGCCATGGTGTTTTCTTGCTATTTAATGCCATTCTAAGTAAAGAAAATTAAAATTTTAAATTGCTAGCATGAATTTTACTCTTCAGCTTTCTATCGTAGAATGCCAGTTTTAAATGCAGATAGAAGAGCTTTCAACTCATACACCGAATCACTGAAATTACACAGCTCATATTTCCTAGTTCATCTGTGTGTGTTTTCTGTTCTTACCAGAACAATGAAAACCATGCACACTACTCACTTGCCTGCTTCTATTTCACTTCTTGATGCTGGCACCAACATTCTCTGCCTCCCGCTTACTGATGAGGAAGGAGGGATAAAAGGAGAACTCTGGGTCTTCCTGTCTTTCCCTTTCCTTCCATGCCACCATTTCAGTGAAAGTGCTCGGCTAATACAGGGAAGTAAAATGAGTAAGAAAAGATACAACAGGGGTCCCATGTCCTTTGTGTTCCTTAGAACACCATTGCCCCCTTTCTGTATTTGGAACAAGTTCTGGTTGAAATGGAAAACGTGGCCTTTCTGGGCTGTCTCATGCCACGCCCACTGGGCTGCAGGCATGACCTGCTCTACCTGGCACTGGAGTGAGTCTTGCTGAACTCCATACCATGGCACTGTGAACACTAGATCAGGATGGGGCTGCAGGAGCAGGCAGAGATTTGTGCGTCTCCTCTGCACCTGCCTCAATATGCCATCGGCAACACAAAACACAAAAGATGAAATTATTAAGGATCTTGGGCCAGCGACAGCAGAGCATCAAGCCAAGAGTGCGGGGCCACCTGCTCTGATGCAGCTCACAGACCCAGTGGTGGAGGCTGTCGATTTCATCCCTTTCTTTTCCCCTCCTCTCTCTCTCTCCCCCCACTTCATCTTCCCTCCTCCTCTTCCTCCTTTCCCTTCTGTCAATCTCATTGTTTTTCTTTGAACACTCGATCATTTCTCCACTTCTAAACAGAAAAATTAAACGCAGATCAGCATGTGACAAGCTGTGGGGCTTGCCTCTGCTATCCCTGCTCAGTTCCCACTTCCTGAGGTCAGAGTTCAGGGATGCAGGACAGGACCAACACTCTGAACCCCACCCTCCAACAGACTAGATCAAGACTTTCTCACATTAGTGCCCCCACAACTGCACTGAGGACCCACCCGCCACTGCCCTCTCTGCACACACCCAGAGGCTGCAAGCTGTCCAAGTGGCCAAGGGTAGGAGTGGCATAGTCCAGGAATGCTGGTCGCCCCGGGGCCCTGCCTGCTGACCTCTTGTTGAGAAGCAGGCTTTGCCCACCCCCAAATAAATCACTAACATGGAAGAAGTTTTCAAAAAGCAGCCACCTTGCGGGCCTGGGCCCAGGTAATTTCAGACTTTTAAGCTTAAAAAATCTAGACTGCTCTCCTATTACTTAAAGTGACCCATAGCTATGAAAAGGAGGAGACTGATGAAATTCTTGTTGTGAAGCCAGCATAACACTGATGCCAAAACCTGGTGGAGAGATCCCAAAATGGAAGACCACAAACCAATTTTGCAGCAATATGAATACAAAAGTTACATAACACAGCCAGATAGAATTCAGTAGTACATTAGAATGATCCTGTAACATGGCTAAATTCTTCTCGAAAATACAAGTGTGGTACAGTATTAGAGATGGCATGAATATAATCATTCATTTTAGGAAGTTATAGGATTAAAAAAATGGGGTGATTTTAATCAATGTTGAAAAGGCATTTGACCAAGAAGCCATCTATTTCTAGTTAAAAAGAAAACAACCACACCCTTTAGGGAAACGTGGCTTCTTCCTTCACCTGAGGAGGGAGCAGCCCTGCAGGGTCTTGGTGGATGAGTCCAGCCAAGGGGCAGCCCAGGGCAGCCCAGGGCAGCTTCACGCCTATCAGTTGCATGACTCTGGGCAAGTTCATTAGCCCTCTGTGCCCATGACCTCTTCTGCAGCTGGAATAAAAGCTGTGCCAACCTCATACAGCAGTGGTAAGGATTCGATGAATTAATGTGTAAAATGCTGAGACGAGGGCTGGACACACCATAAGCCCTATATAAACGATAGCTGACCTGGTGAAACAACAGAGAAAGCCTCATTACAATGAAGGATGTGCATTCTCACCTCCGTTGCATTTAGAAGTATCCGCCTATGCAATTAAAAAAGAGAAGAAAATACGTGACATAAATACATATTTGGTCTTTGCCCTCAGTTTCTGACACTGCATTCCTAAAATGCTTGTAATTTCCTAAGTGATGGGGTGCTAGGACCATCCTTTGTTTTGATATTTGCGTCCCAGACCAAATATTTGATTCCAGGACCTCAGGTCATGACAGAGAGCTCCTAAATCCTTCGGGCTTTCCCGGGGGATAGGAACGTCTTTTGTTCTAATTAAGTGACTCTTGGTGGGTTCTTGGATAGCTTCAGGATGGAGGCTGGTCACCAGAAAGATTAAGCCATAATTAAAATCTTGGAACTTTCAGCCCCACCCCCTCAGCCTCTGGGGAGAGGAGAGAGGCTGGCAACTGAGCAGCAGGTCAGGCTGTGTGATGAAGTGCCATGGTCCGAATGCTGGTGTCCTCCCTCAATTCATGTGTTGGAGCTTAATCCCCAATGTGATTGTATTAAGAGGTGGGACCCTTAGGAGGTGACTGAGTAATGAGGTTGGAGCTGTCACACACAGAATTAGTGCCCTTGTTAAAGAGTTTGAGGAGCCCCTTCTCCCCTCCACCAGGGGAGGACCCATAGAAGGCACCACCCACGAGGAACAGGCCCTCATCAGACGCCATATCTGCTGGTGCCTTGATCTTGGATTTCCCAGCCTCCAGAATGATACGCAATACATTTCTGTTGTTTATCAATTATCCAGTCTGAGGTGTTCTGTTTTAGCAGCCGAACAGACCAGCACAGGAAGTCTTCATAAAAATCCCTAAAGGACAGGGTTTGCAGAGCTTCTGGGCCGGTGAACACACCCACGTGTCAGGAAGGTGGTGCCCTCCACTCCATAGGAACAGAGGCTCCTGCACTCGGAGCCCTTCTAGACCCTCCATACTAATCCAGTACATGCAAATGTTTCTCTGAATTCTGTGAGCTGTCAGCAAATTATTGAGCCTGAGGAGAGGGTCCTGGAAGCTTCTGATTTGTAGCCAAGTTGAACGTATGTGTGGGTAACCTAGGGCTCACCACTTTCCACTGGCATCTGAAGTGGGGGTGGTCTTCAGAGGCCAAGTCCTTAACCGGCGGGGTCTGCGCTAATTCCAGCTAATTGGTGTCATCACTAAATTGTAGAACACCCAGCTGGCGTCAGAAGAGTTGGATAATTGGATGGTGTGGAGAAAATAACCCTCACATTTGGTATCAAGTGTTCAGTACAGGGAATAAACAGCTGTTTTTTCCTATTTAAATAGCAGGTTAAAATATTAGAATGGAAGAAACAAAGTTATTATTTGTAGATGATATAATCATCTATCTAGAAAACTTAAGGGATGAGTGACAAGCTATAGGGAACAATAAGTTAGGAGCTGGCATTATTAAAAAGTAAAAAAAAAAAAATAGATGTTGGCACGGATGTGGTGAGAAGGGACTGCTTTACCCACGGCTGATGGGAATGTAAATTAGTACAACCGCTGTGGAAAACAGTACGGCGATTTCTCAAAGAACGAAAAGTAGAACCACCATTCAGTCCAGCAATCCCAGCATGGGGTATCTACTCAAAAGAAAATCATTATATAAATTCTTTAAAAACTATCAATATACATGTTTATTGCAGCACAAATCACAATTCCAAAGATAAGGACTCAACCTAAGTGCCCATCAACCGATGAGTGGATAAAGAAAGTATGGTATATATACACCATGGAATAGTACTAAACCATAACATGAACGAAATAATGCCTTTTGCAGAAGTTTGGATGGAACTAGAGGCCATTATGGTACCGGAAGTAACTCAGGAATGGAAAACCAAATACTGTATGTCTCACTCATAAGTGGAAGCTAAGCTATAGGTACACAAAAGCATATCGAGTGGTACGGTGGGCACTAGAGACTCCGAAGCGAGAAGGATGAGAGTGGGGAACAGGATGAAAAACTACATATTGGATACAATGTACACTTTTCAGGTGAAGAGTTAATTAAAAGCCCAGACTTCACCACTGTACAAAACCACCTGTAGGCTAGGCACCATGGCTCATATCCGTAATCCCAGCACTCTGGGAAGCCGAGGCAGGTGGATTACCTGAGGTCAGGAGTTCAAGACCAGCCTGGACAACATGGTGAAACCCTGTCTCTACAAAAATACAAAACTTGGCCGGGCATAATGGTGGATGCCTGTAATCCCAGCTACTCGGGAAAGTAGCTGAATCCAGTCGGGAGAATCGCTTGAACCCAGGAGGCAGAGGTTGCAGTGAGCCAAGATCGCGCCTTTGCACTCCACCCTGGGCGATAGAGTGAGACTCCGTCTCAAACAAAACAAAACAAAAACCATCTGTACCCCTAAAGTTATAGAAATATTTTTTAAGTTTTTTTAAGTTAGGAGCTGATAAGAAAAATTGTCACCAAGAAGGCAACACTTTCCACAAAACAGTGACCAGTTAGAACCTGTAATGGAGGAGTCCAATCATAATAGCAATCAAAAATTGCTAGAATGCATACGTAAATAAAGAATACATAAAATAAAAATAAGAATAAATACAATGGCAGGAAATAACAAGAAATATACAGTTTTCTCATTCATAAGGAAATTATATAGAAAACTTTGAAAATCCACTGAGAAGAGATAAATTAGTGGAAAAGCATAGTGTATTTTTGGAAGAGGCAATATTGTAAAAGAGCTAGTTTTCTCTAAATTACAACTACACATTCCATGCAATTAAAATAGCAACAGAAGTTCACATGGAAACACGAACATGCAAGACTAACCAGGAAATGTGTTAAAAAGAAGAATGAGGAGAATCCGCCCTATAAGACACTAAAACATAATATGAAATTCTCACAATTAAAAAGATGCCAGTGTTGAAGAAGAAACAGATCAAAATTTTATGATAAAAGGTGTCCTTTCAAATAATTTTGGGGAAATAGATCATTTAATAACTATGTTATTTCCCACAGTGTCAGATACTGTGGGAAAATATAGAGCTGGATCCCCACCTGACATGTGAGTGACATCAAGACAAATTCCCAAGGGAATCGATATTAATTTGTGAAAACAAAACCTTAGGGGGCTGGGATGAAACGTGGTGGCCGTATGCAGTATCTTGGAGTGGAGAAAGCGTGACACATCACCTGAGCCCTCTGAAAAGATGAGGACTCCACAAAAACCCCAGCATCTCTATGGCCCAACACCATAAGCCAAATGGAAATCCCAGCCCCACACTGGGAAAATTATTTCCACAATTATGAAGATGCAGGGATTTCCGACAGTGTAAGGAGCTCTGCAAACCCACAGCAAACAATCTGAGTGATGACCCCAGAGATGGGCAGAGACTACAAAGGGACAGTTTGCAGAAGGAAAAACAGGGAGAGAATGGGCCAATAGCAGGGAAAAATATGGACACAGTTAAAGAACTGCACATCAAAGTGTAGGGTTGTTGGCTGGGCGCGGTGGCTCGTGCCTGTAATGCCAACACTTTGGGAGGCCGAGGCAGGCAGATCATCTGATGTCGGGAGTTTGAGACCAGCCTAACCAACATGGAGAAACCCCGTCTCTACTAAAAATACAAAATTAGCCAGGCGTGGTGGCGCATGCCTGTAATCCCAGCTACGCAGGAGGCTGAGACAATAGAATCGCTTGAACCCGGCAGGCGGAGTTCTGGTGAGCCAAGATCACGCCATTGCACTCCAGCCTGGGCAACAAGAGAGAAACTCTGTCTCAAAAAAAAAAACAAAAACAAAAAACAGTGGGGTTGTTTTTTGACCTATCAAATTTCATACAATTAAAATGTCTAGTAATGTCCAGTGTGGCCAGCCCATGGGAAAATGTGCCATGGTAGTGTCCAGGGCAAGGACTGCAATGTTTCTGGACAGCAGTTTGTCAAAATGCACCTGCGTTAGCCTGCTCCTACCCTCAATTCAGTAATTCCATGGCTAGCAATTTGCCTGTTATATACACACACAAAAATTTGCCAACATAAATAGGCAAGAATATTGATCACAATATGGATTTAAAAACGACATAATCAACCAGGTGCGGTGGCTCATGCTTGTAATCCCAGCACTTTGGGAGGCCGATGTGGGCAGATCACCTGAGGTCAGGAGTTCGAGACCAGCCTGGCCAACAAGGCGAAACCCTGTCTTTACTAGAAATACAAACAAATTAGTCGGGTGTGGTGGTGCGTGCCTGTAATCTCAGCTACTCGGGAGGCTGAGGCAGGAGAATCGCTTGAACCCAGGAGTTGGAGGTTGCAGTGAGCTAGGATGGTGTCACTGCCTTCCAGCCTGGGCCACAGAATGAGAATCTGTTTCAAAAAATAAAATAAAATAAAAAATAATCAAGGTGTTCACCCGTGGGCACGGGCTAAATGGACTGGGGCATACACAGGAGTGATTTCTCCAAAGCGTCTAAAATGAAGGAGTCTCAAAAGTATGTGCTGATGGGGGAAGATGACTGGGATTTGTTGTTAAATTGTTTAGAAGGGACACAGAAGAGTGTGCACAATGTAACCCCCTCATCCCGTTTTTTTCACTGAAAAGAATCACGAGAAACTGTTGGCAGCCTTTGTCATGGCTGGGGTGACTCTTGGTGGGGGTTGTTGAGAAGGCACGCACTTCTTTCTTTTTAAATATATCCACTTTCTGTGTATATGATTTGAATTTTTTTAATCTTAGGTGTAACTCTTTACGCTATTGGAGTTAGAGAGTAAGATGCCTTCATATTTTACTTTCTTTTGTATCATTCTGAATCTACACTACTAATAAATACTACATTAGGGAAAACGTTTTTAAAATCCTATCAGAGCGTAGACTTCTAGATAAACCAATGTGGAAAGAATATTAGGTTAAATCATATCAAATTACTGATGTCTACTTTTGACCTACAAAAGTGGTAATTTTAAATGGTTCCATCTAATAAAAATAAATTGTAGAAAAATATATCACAAAATTTAAAATACAGAAACCAGCTTTTTACACAGAAAATTACAACCCGCAAGTGCCACACCGAGAGGCGGCTGCAGCCAGTCTGAGCCCTGGGGACGCATGTGCTGTGACGTCCAGGCAGCAACCGGGCCGGGATGCGCGGATGGCGGGGGTGCCGAGGTGGGCAAAGGGATCACCTGGGGTCAGTGCGGGGAGCTCTGTGGACACCAGGATGGCAAGTCAGGAAGACGCTGCCCGCCACGGTCCCCCTCGGGCCTGGGAAGCCTGGAAGGTCAGGGCCTGGAGGGGAGCTGGGTCCAGGCAGGGAACTCACAGCAGAGACGCCCCGAGGGTGGGGTCGGGCCAAGAGCCGCAGCCAGGGGATGCCCTGACCTGCGCTGGAGAACGATTCGCGGAGTTCCAGAAGGGACAGAAAGGCACAGAAACAATATTCGAAGAAATATTGGCTCAGAATTTTCCAGAATTGCCTACAGACAGAAACGCTCAGATTAGGAATCAATAAGGACCCCAATAGCAAATAAAAGCAAGTCTGCAGAACACCAGAGACAAAACAGTGAAAAGACAGGTCATCTTAAAAGAGGTGAATTATGAAGTCCCAGGCCAAGGCGTTGGGTGGAACCCCAGGGTGTGGAACTGCAACAGCCCCGCAGTCTGGAAAGAAGCCGCCAGCAGCCCGCGCGGCCCCGCGGTTCCACGGGGCCTCGTCCCCGCCCCTGCCCCGCTGTAGGCCCCGCCTGCTATAGGCCCCGCCCCGCTGTAGGCCCCGCCTGCTATAGGCCCCGCTCCGCTGTAGGCCCCGCCTGCTATAGGCCCCGCCCCGCTGTAGGCCCCGCCTGCTATAGGCCCCGCCTGCTGTAGGCCCCGCCTGCTATAGGCCCCGCTCCGCTGTAGGCCCCACCCCGCAGGAAACCTCGCCCCGCTGGTGGCGCGCCCTGGTTGCCGTGGCAACCTCCTCCCTCCGCCGCCGGGTTGCCGGCTTCGCTAGCCTCTCAGCAGCGCCGTTGCCATAGCAACGGCGGGTGGGTCCCGCGGGGCGAGCTGAGCTAGGGTGAGCATCCTGTGGGGTAGACTATGGCGGCTGGGCGCGTGCGGCCTGTGCGGGGCCTCCCCGGCTGCGGTGAGAGCGGCTCGAGGGGTCCCGTGCCCGGACCCTGAAGTGCGGCCAAGCCGTGGGGGGCTCCGTGGGCTCGCGCTGCACCGCGGTGGGGTTGGGGTCCAGCCACATAGATTGAGTTGCAAGGCCCTTTGGGACGGGAAACTGCATGTTACAAATGGGGAAACTGAGGCCAAGATCGAAAAACGCTGGGAGGGACTAGCTCCAAGCTGACGCACTAGTGTCCAGGCAGAATCCTGCTGGCCTAGCCAGGACCCTTTACATCCCAGCTTTGCTCAGATGGCTCCCAGGGGTGACCTGTGGGTGGTGTTCCTGGCATGGACCCTGGATCCTGTTCCCACAGAGCTCCCTGTCAGGCCGAGGCCCCGTTGCCCACCTGGTCTTCACAGATCCCCTCCAGGCGCCTGCTCAGGGGCACCATGACAGGCCTTGCCCACCCTGTCGTCACATCTTCACTGCAGCTTTTGCAGCCTTTCCCTGAAACTGAAGACTCCCCATCCCCCAAAGCCCTGTTGGGATGCCTCTTCCCCCTCCTCCTCCATGAAGACTTTCTGCCTTACAGGACGGACGGGGGGCCCAGGTGGGCAAAGGGGTCACCTGAGGTCAGCCCGGGGGGCTCTGTGGACACCAGGATGGAGGTCAGGAAGACGCTGCCCCCCACGGAACCCCTCGGGCCTGGGAAGCCTGGAAGGGCAGGGCCAGGAGGAGAGCTGGGTCCAGGCAGTGCTCTCACAGTAGACGCCCTAAGGGTGCGGTTGGGGTTTCATTTGTTTCATCCACGCCTATTTTGCTCTGTGCACCCTGTCTCTGAGAGTCTCGGGGTCAGGTGTACAGTGGGGACGCTGCAGTCCTCAGGTTTGGAGAAGAGAATGTCAATGAGACAATAGCAGTGAAGTTGTCTGAGAACTGGCTGCTGGAATAAAATCCTGGCTCTGCCCCTCACTAACTTTCGAACCTGGGTGGTCATTCATCTCTTTGAGCCCCAGCCTCTCCGTTTGTGGAATGTGAAGTGATTACCCATCAATTTCATGGCGGGTAAATTGTGTCCAATAAACAATGGCTGTCAGGGCATGGTGAATGCTTAACCAGGCTGTGTCCACCCCTCCACAGTGGGTGGGAGCTGGCCTAGCTCATGGCCTGGGGTGCAGCGCAGACTCTCCAGAGGTCCAGGAACCTCAGCAGTGGTGTCAGCAGGTTTGCCACATGCTCTGGGGCTGTGGTGATGGGGCGGAGACAGGACATCAGCCACTGGCCTGGGTCCAGGGAAAGGAGGCCCAGCAGAGCCCTGGTCACGTCCCAGCTCTTGCAGTGGAGCCGGGGACCTGGGTGTGGAGCAGGCAGACCACACTGCAGCAAAGGGGCAGCCAGGCAGAAGCTCAGGCCCAGCCCACAGACATCTGCCCCAGCTCTCCCCAGTAACCCTGACCCTTCCCACCATCCCAGCCCACAGACACCTGCCCAGGCTCTCTCCAGTAACCCTGACCCTCCCTGCCATCCAAATCCGTGCTGTGGAATTTGCCAAGTGCTTACTTTTGGTTTTTTGGTTTTTGGTTTTGGGTTTTGGGGAGTTTTTTTGAGATGGAGTCTCGCTCGTCGCCCAGACTGGAGTGCAGTGGCTCAATCCTGACTCACTGCAACCTCCACCTCCCGGGTTCAAGCAATTATCCTGCCTCAGCCTCCTGAGTAGCTGGGATTACAGGTGCCCAGCTAATTTTTGTATTTTAGTAGAGATGGGGTTTCACCATATTGTCCAGGCTGGTCTTGAACTCCTGACCTCAAGCGATCCACCTGTCTCGGCCTTGCAAAGTGCTGGTATTACAGGTGTGAGCCACCACACCTGGCCAAAATGCTTACTTCTGAGTAGCTGAACTGAGTTTACTTGCACCCACAGAGGGCGCAAGGAGGCACAATTGTCGCCCCCATCTTGCAAATGAAGACACCAAGGCTGAGACACTTGAAAAGGCCCCTGAGGGTCAGAGGATGCTCTAGATTGACTTGAGCCAGGTCTTTGGCTGAATACCCTTCCCCCAACTCCAGTAGCTTCTTTGGGGCCAGAGCAAGGCAGTGCTTAGAGGATGGGAGGAAGCAGGTTCCCTGGTAGGAAGCCCCCAGCCTGGCTTTTCACCAATGGAGGCATGAGGTCAGCCTCTCTCTGCACTAATGTTAAGGCTTGGCAATGACCTCTCCCCACTCAAGCCCACCCCTCCCAAATCCTCGTCATTCATAAACAGCTTCCACCCAGCTCAGCCATGGAGGCTGGTAGTACCTTCTAACGCAGGGTGCTCACCCTGGCTGCAGATCAGAATCACCCTGCTGTATCCCTCAGAGATCCTGACTCCATTGTTCTCCGTGAGTTATGGGGGCTCCTAGTTAAGCACGCCAAGTGGTTCTGTGTGTGGCTGGGCCCTGGGACCCCTGGCATGGGCAGCCATCAATCAGGAGAAGTCCTGGCTATGATCACCTCTTGCCTGCCGGAGAATCAGATGGGCAGAGAGAAGATGCAAAGCAGCATTTCCTCCTTACACACTTCCAAATGCTCGCCCACAGTGACTGTGTTTTTGTTCCATCCTGTTTTAGTGGACATATGTTCTCAAAATCATTACTCTGTGCTTGGGACTGGGGTCCAGGCCTCCTCCCCATTTTACGGATGGAGAAATTGAGGCTCAGAAGGGAGTCAGGACCAGGACGCAGGACAGACGATGCCAGATGAATGGCCCTTCCCATTCCTCTGCTAGAAGAACAAGTGTCCACTCCCTATTTCTTGTTTTTCTCCTGAAAATCCAAATGTTTATAGAAGTCATAAAGAGAAATAAACAACCAGGTTTTTGCCCCAGGAAACAGGTCTGGTGAAGATGTTTATTGGAGACTCTTGAGGACCAAACCCAAAACTGGGTCATCCTGAGGGGAAGAGGGTGAGGAGGAGCCACGATGAATTGCACCAACGTGGGATTTCTGAAGATAGTCGCGCCAGTTTCTGACCCTGGGGCTGCTGAGGGTGACCCCGTGTCCAGGCCCAGCAGGACAGTCCTGCCTTGTGCTTTTGTGCCCATGCCCTCTTTCACTCTCACAGTGCCCGGCTTGGGCGGCAAATGACACAGGTGCCCTTCACACCACAGGGAACTCCCAGACCTGGAGTTCTCAGTGCAGTGGACAGAAAAGGAGGCCGAGGCTTGCTGCGTTTTTGGAGACACTTAGCACCACATTCTGTATTTATCCACATTAGGTTTGGGACAGTTTGTTGGGAAGGGGCGTGTGTGTGTGTCTGTGTGTGTGTGTGTGTGTGTGTGTGTGTCTGTGTGTGTCTGTGTGTGTGTATGTATACACGCATGAGTGGGAAAGAAAGAAGGCCAGGCGCGGTGGCTCGCGCCTGTAATCCCAGCACTTTGGGAGGCTGAGGCGGGCAGATCACAAGGTCAGAAGATCGAGACCATCCTGGCTAACATGGTGAAACCCCGTCCCTACTAAAAACACAAAAAATTAGCCGGACGTTGTAGCGGGCGCCTGTAATCCCAGCTACTCGGGAGGCTGAGGCAGGAGAATGGCGTGAAACCAGGAGGCAGAGCTTGCAGTGTGCCAAGATCGTGCCACTGCACTCCAGCCTGGGCGACAGAGCGAGACTCCGTCTCCAAAAAAAAAAAAAAAGAAAGAAAGAAAGAGATGTCAAGTGGAGAGAGGCTGAGACCCTCAGAGCTCCAGTGGGTGGGAAGAGGCCAGGATGTGAAGTCACGAGAGCCGGGAGGCCCCAGATGCTCAGGACCCCCAGGAGTCCTGGGTTCTATGAGCCTCGCCCTCCTCAGCCCCTGCCTTGGGGATTTGGACTCTGCGGGGCTGGGAGGAGGCCTAGGAGTCCGTCATTGCAGGATCACACCCCCATCCCTGCACAATCCCTAATCTCACATCAGAATCACTCAGAGGTAGGACCAGGGTCATGATCCCATTTCAGGAAGGAGTGAAAGAGGGGCTTTGCTGGGCCCCGGACTCAGAAACCAGAGCCCTGGGTGGGTGGGGCCCAGGCTGGGCAGCCCCCAGCCAACCAAGGGTAGGGACTGGTAGGGCCCCAAGTGAATGGGTCCCCGGGCTCTAGCCCGGGAGGCCCACCGGGGATCTGCACAGCGTGGGCAGCTCTGCCGGGATCTGCTTGTGGCGCACTGGACGGCCGGGTGCTGACTCAGTGTCTGGCCAGCAGCAACTGGGCTGGGGCCAGATCCCATCGCAGCGCAGCCGTGTCGGCAGGCAGCTGCTCCCGGACCAGGACCAGCTGCTCCTGGGGACCAGGACCAGAACGAAGTGTTAGCTGTTGACACGTCAGTCCAAGTCCCCTACCCCTCTGCTTTTGCTGCTCCCAGTCCCTCCAGTTTTCCCTCATCTGTTCATCCACAAAGACCCTGGAAGCCCTGAGCTTCCTCTGTGTCTGGAGCTGCAGCATGGCAGTGGGAAGGGCTGCCCCTCTGCAGGGCCGCTGTGCTGTGTGCTAGGTGGGGCTAATAGCTGGGGTCACCCCTGCTGCTCACCCTTAGCTGAGGAGGAGAGGAAGCAAATTGGGTGCTCCCCAGTGACTTGGGTCTGGATTCTGCTGTCAGCCTACACACAGAGCAGGAGGCTGGGGACTAGAGGTTCTCTGGGGACAGCATGTAGAGGACTTGACCACAGTGCTAGATGCTGGCAGGGACGGAACCGAGTAAGACACCATCCTCCCCAGGGCAACCTGCCATCTTTCTGATGACAGACACTTACACAAGTACAGGGAAGACAGGGACCTCACGCCATGGAGGAGCCCAGGGTGTGCGAGGTGGACTTCTCCCCTGTGCAGACCTACTCCTACCTCCTCAGCCTGTCCCTGCCCCTGTGTCCTGGGAGGGTGGCCTCTCCAGATTCTATTCTGGCTTCAGCCAGTAGGAGAGACTGCCAGGGCTGGAGAGCAGGAGGAGAGGGTAAGGAGGGAGGGGGCTGATACTCCTGGCCCCACCTTTTCAGATCACTCCAGACAGCCTGCCCTCTTGCTGAGGGCTTTAGTTTCTGAATGGCACTGTCCAGTTCCACCACTGGCTCCCTCCTCGTGCCCTCCAGCACTGGCAAAGACCCCAATGCCACCCACACCTCCCTTGGTGGGTCCCCAGCCCTGTCCACACCTGTGTAAGCAGCCTGTCACCAAGCTCTCTGCAGCTGTGCCCCTGGAGCATAGCAAGAGGTTTCCTGCCGGAACCCTCACTGGTACATGCGGGTCTTTCTCAAAAGCCCACGAGCATTGACATAACCAGGCAGAGAGCCCCTCAAAATACCAGTAAACAATTCAAAGAAGAAATTGTACAAGTTATTGTTCTCTGAGCCTAAGCGATAAAACAAAAAGTAAATAAGAAAAGTATGGTCAAGAAAAAAATGTCTAATGCCTTGGAAGTTAAAAAACTTACTAGGTTAAATGAAGAAATATAACTGAAGTTGCAATCTTTCTAGAAATGAATGAAAATGAGAATGCTCTTTATCAAAACCAAGGGGATGCAGCCGCTGTGCTGTGAGAGGGAAGTTCAAGCTTAAAGGCATTGATACGAATTCAGGAAAGGTTGGAAATGATTGGCCTCTATGTTCAACCTCAGAATCTAGACAATGAACATCAACAACACGATTCAACAGGGCAGGATAAAGGGATTAAGGCAAAACCCCAAGTCATGAAATAGAAAATAAACACAAATTAGACTTAGGAAAAAAAAGGATTGGTTCTTTGAAAATGACAAGAGGATATAACTATAGAAACAAAATATTTAAAATTAAATACATATACAAAAAGTGAAAATCTAAGTAACATCGATACAGCTGGGTGCAGTGGCTCACACCTGTAATCCTAGCACTTTGGGAGGCCGAGGAGGATGGATCACCTGAGGTGAAGAGTTCAAGACCAGCCTGGCCAACCTGGCCAAACCCCATCTCTACTAAAAATATAAAAATTAGCCAGGCGTGGTGGCACATGCCTGTAATCCCAGCTGCTCGGGAGGCTGAGGCAGAGAATCGCTTGAACTTGGGAGGCGGAGGTTGCAGTGAGCTGAGATTGTGCCATTGCACTCCAGCCTGGGCAACAGAGCAAGATTCTGACAAAAAAAAAAAAAGGTGCATAATGAGAAGAAAATTGAAGCAAGTCAAAGAGAAATTACTAGAGGAGTCTTACCTATGCTATGGCAAATCAACCTAACAACTTTAAGGCCATAATAATTAAAACAACTCAATATTGGCAAGGGAACCAACAAAAAGATAAATGATAGAGGTAGCACATGCTAAGGGCGGGATTTCAAACTAGTAGGGGAAAGGCTCAACCTTCTCAGCTGCACTTGGGTGAAGGATCTCTGGAGAGGGAAAGTCAGGAACCCTCCCTGCTCCATGCACAAGCCCAGTGGACTAAAACCTAACCTAAGAACAGAAACTCCGGAGCAAGTGGGTGAGTGGGTAAATCAGCGAGAACCAGCTCTTTCCCAATGCCTCACCCACATGGAGGCCCATGGCCAGGGTTGGCTTTGTCTGATGGATGCGGGACACCCTCGGCCAGCAGGGGCCCAGGCGCGGCTGGAGACTGGAGGCCAGCTGAGCAGAAAAGCCAGGCCCTGCAGCGAAGCCTGATCAGAGGCAGCTCCCCCTCCCCGAGCCTGCGTGCTGCAGATGGGTGCTGGCTGGTGACACCATCCCTGACCGTGCAGGGCAGCCATCGGCGGGGATAGCCCATGTGTGCATACGGTTGGATGACTCAGAGTCAGTCCCAAGCCGGAGGCCTCTCACCCACAGCTGAAGTTTGATGTTGGATCTGTGCCTCACCGCAGTGTGGCCTGGAGTTCCAGGATGCTAACATTCACGAGCCTATGCAGTGCCCCCATGGCACTTTCAGAGGAAGGCACTGAGGGTTGAGCTGGACACATCTCCTGATCCCAGGGCCCCTGCCTCCTCGTCTCCATCAGGGGTTCTCAGAGGCGGCTGGGCACCTGGTGCACCCGGGCTGGCCACCGTGTTGTTAAATGCACCCCAGAGTTCCTGGGGCTCAGCCTGAGTCGGAGCCGCTGGTCAGAATTACCTCCAGTGCCCCGCACTGTGAGGGGGAGTGTGGCTTCTGGGAAAAAAGAGGCGCCATCTGCATAGAGCAGCCCTCTCTCCCTCTCCCCTCGTCCCCTTCTGTGGTCCCAGCTCCTGTGCAGGTCACCAGAGAGTGACTTTCCCTGAAGCCCACACTGGCGGCTCCTACCCTGGTAAGGAGGGGGCACACCTGGGTCCGGTTCCCAGGTAGTGTCTACTCAATGCTAGCTGTGTGGCTCCGGGCAGGGCTCCCTCTCTCCAGCCTCAGTTTCCCCATCTGTAAACTGGAGAGTCTTTTAGAGGCCACAACCTCGGATGACCCTTCTGCCACTCAGGCTCCATCAAAGGGTCTGCAGTTCTGCTTCCATCCAAGGGAGCACAGCACGCAAGGGACTTAACTCAGACTCAAGGTCAGAAGATGACCTGCAGAAACAGAACCAGCAGCAGGAGCAGCTGAGATGGAAGCTTTCCTTAGATCTTGGCAGAAGAGAAGTTGACCTTGGAGGAAGGAGTTTGGGGATCAATTCCCTTTTCCTCTGTTATTCAAGAGGACGTGTGGGGAGCTAAGAGGCCAGTCCAGATGCCGCCAATGCCGCTGTGTGCAAAGCTGTCTCTGAGAGCAAACGTGGGGCTTGGTGGCCGTGAGCTGGCCACACTGAGCATCTCTTCCAGGCAAATTCTGTCTCCCCCAGCCCCAGGTGCAATCACTGGGCCATGACTGGAGAAATTGAGTGGGGAGGTGTGGAGAAGGCATCCTGGCAACAGCAGGGGCAGTCGTGACCCATGGAGGACACCCTGTGTGGACCCGTAAGGGGGAGCTGCAGACACCATGGACAGCGAGTTCCCTGGGCTGGTCAGCAGGGGACAAGGATCCCAGCAATCCATGGCCTGAGCTCACAGGCCTGGAGGGCTCCAAACAGCCTCCCCAGTGCCACCTGCTGGGAAAAAGAATTAGAACCAGGGATGCATCTAAAACTGACAGGAAAGGTTAGACAGGAGCTCCCAACAGGGCGAGTGTGCCTCGGGATCCACAGCCCAGGCCCCCTCCCCATGGGGGAGGCTGTCCCCACCCAGGCCCAGGTGCCCACAGAAGTGTGGCCTTCCCGGGAGGATCCAGCTGTCGCTGGGTGGCCAACACGCCTCTTCTCAGGGTGCCTGGACACATGCTCCTGAGGCATGCCCCCCTGGGCTGAGCACAGGGAGCCCCACCTCAAAGCTGAAGCCCCATCAGTGCAGCCACATAGGTGCCTGGGTCCAGCTGGCCTCATCTCCTCCAGGCCAGCCTCCCCAGCTGCTCTTCTCCGTTTACAGGAGGGACCCTTGGATAGGTCACTCCCTGTTCCATGCCTCTGTTTCCTCATCTGTAAACGGGAAATAACACAGAATTTCCTCAAGGGGCTGCAAGGACTGGCTGAGTTCTGTAAAATGTGGAGGACAGGGCACACCGATGGCTCATTCCCATGACTCCTGGGCTTCTAGGATGGACAGGAATCCAGCTTCCCAGCTGGGCTTCTGGTTTCGGCCCTTCCCTGATGGATCTGGCATGGGAGGGCCCACTTCCTTCCAGGATCTGCCTGTGGCCTGTGCTCCTGGTCGGGCCAGCAAGAATGAACTTATTCTCAGGGTCCCCCCATCTCCCAGCCTCCTTGCAGCCTCCTGGGCCACATCTGCAGTCTCAGGGACTCGAAGCCCTGCGGGGAGAGGTCAGCGGGAGGCCTGTGACCTCAGAACACCTCTCCACCCACAGGCACCAGATCTGGGGGCAGCCCAGGAGGGGCTAGGACATTCCTAGGGCCCTGAGGGATGTGGGCTGGGAGCTGGCCCTCAGGGCTACCAGGTGAAGGTCTGGGCTGGGCTTTGGGGAAAGGAATCCGGGGGTCTGTTCTGAGGAAGGGAGGTCTTTTGCCTGGGGTGACCCTTCATAGAGCACTCTCTCCTGTCCCACCAGGAATTAGGTGAGGCCTTAGGCTTCAAGCCTACTGGGGTTGTAAGGGAGAATGAAAATCTTTCCTTTCACCCTCTGAAGTTTCCCTGAAAAAATGAACCGACAGAAAGCAGATTAACAGGAGAAAAGGCATACAAATTTATTAATGTACACAGGAGTCAGGGAAATAGAACTCAAAGAGGCTGGGCACGGTGGCTCATGCCTGTAATCCTAGCACTTTGGGAGGCTGAGGTGGGTGGATGGCTTAAGCTCAGGAGTTTGAGACCAGCCTGGGTGAAACCCCATCTCTACCAAAAAAAAAAAAAAAAAATTAGCTGGGCTTGGTGGCACGTGCCTGTGGTCCCAGCTACTTGGGAGGCTGAAGTGGGAGGATCACTTGAGCCTGGGGGTTGGCGGCTACAGTGAGCTTAGATGGCGCCACTACACTCCAGCCTGGGTGATAGAGCAAGACCCCCTCTCAAAAAAAAAAAAAAGAACTCAAAGAAAGGCAGGATAGTTGCTGTTTTTATACCACCTTGAGATTTGTAAACCAAGAATAAAGTCCTAAGCCCTTTCAACCAACTGACTAGACCCCGTTATATATATAAAGTTTGGTGCCGCAAAAGGAATAGCACTCGAATATAAAATTTTATTTTTAATTCTCAGCAAGGTAAGTTACTGCTATAGAAGGATGTACCCTTAGAGATGGAGCAATGGTGAGCGCACACCTGGACAAGGGAGGGGAAGCGGGTCTTAACCCTGAAGGATGTGGCCCCTGCTGCTGTGTGGTTCCGCTACTGGCTAGGGTTAGACCGCACAGGCTAAACTAATTCTGACCGGCTAATTTAAAAGGAGTGATGGGGTGAGTGCTTTGGCGGGAAAAATGGTTATGACAGAGCAGGTAATCAGAATGAGTCGGGGGGAGCAGGTGATCGGAATGAGTCAGGGTGGAATAGGTAATCAGAATGAGTCGGGGGGAGCAGGTGATCGGAATGAGTCTGGGTGAAGTAGGTAATCAGAATGAGTCGGGGGAGCAGGTGATCGGAATGAGTCAGGGGGAGCAGGTAATCAGAATGAGTCGGGGGAGCAGGTGATCGGAATGAGTCTGGGTGAAGTAGGTAATCAGAATGAGTCGGGGGAGCAGGTGATCGGAATGAGTCAGGGTGGAGTAGGTAATCAGAATGAGTCGGGGGGAGCAGGTGATCGGAATGAGTCTGGGTGAAGTAGGTAATCAGAATGAGTCGGGGGAGCAGGTAATCAGAATGAGTCAGGGTGGAGTAGGTAATCAGAATGAGTCGGGGGGAGCAGGTGATCGGAATGAGTCTGGGTGAAGTAGGTAATCAGAATGAGTCGGGGGAGCAGGTGATTGGAATGAGTCAGGGGGAGCAGGTGATCGGAATGAGTCAGGGGGAGCAGGTGATCGGAATGAGTCTGGGTGAAGTAGGTAATCAGAATGAGTCGGGGGAGCAGGTGATTGGAATGAGTCAGGGGGAGCAGGTGATCGGAATGAGTCAGGGGGAGCAGGTAATCAGAATGAGTCGGGGGAGCAGGTGATCGGAATGAGTCTGGGTGAAGTAGGTAATCAGAATGAGTCGGGGGAGCAGGTGATCGGAATGAGTCAGGGTGGAGTAGGTAATCAGAATGAGTCGGGGGGAGCAGGTGATCGGAATGAGTCTGGGTGAAGTAGGTAATCAGAATGAGTCGGGGGAGCAGGTGATTGGAATGAGTCAGGGGGAGCAGGTGATCGGAATGAGTCGGGGGGAGCAGGTGATCGGAATGAGTCTGGGTGAAGTAGGTAATCAGAATGAGTCGGGGGAGCAGGTGATGGGAATGAGTCAGGGGGAGCAGGTGATCGGAATGAGTCTGGGTGAAGTAGGTAATTGAAAATGTTGCTTTATGAGGAAGTTAAGTTTAACAGTAGAAGGCAAAGAATTGAACATACTGACATATTGATTCTTTGACTAGAAATTTAGAACTTATATCTAACAACCCCCTCTTGACCAAGGAGACTCCACTGAAACCTGAAAAGCTGAATTCCCAGCCATGACAGGAAGTGGGGTCAGACATACCTCCTTATTCTCCCTCCGTTTTGGGATTTAGGCACAGCTGAGCAGCACTAACCTTAAAGTAGAGATCATGAGAGTGATAGAGCAGACTCCTTGTGGCAATAAGACACCAAATTCCAGCTTGACTCTGGTGTAACCTCACACGACAGATGGCAGACCCTGAAGGAAATAAAAGTATTTTACTCCAAACTATATTTCTTTGACATATTTTGAGATGGCCCTGCAAAGCCATCTTTTGTGGGGGAAATTTGCATCTGTAGAGAATCTCCATTAATGCAGCCAGGCCTTCCTTTCTAGTCCTTTCCCGGATCTAAGGGAGATTAAATGAGGGTCTGACACTTTCAAAGTCTGAAAACAGACATTCACCTTCTATTCTCTCTGAAGACTGCGACCTGGGAGGCTTCAACTGCATAACAAGAACCGTGCTCTCCACAACCCCCTTATCTTAACCCAAGCCTTTCTTTCTACTGACTTCAAGTCTTTAAACAAAGTCTAGCTCTTTCAACCAATTGTCAATCAGAAAATCTTTGAATCCATCTGTGACCTGTAAGCACCCCAACTTGGAGATGTCCCATCTCTTTAGGCAATTTACACCTTCCATGTATTGATTTATGTCTTTGCCTGTAACGTCTGTCTCCCTAAAATGTATAAAACCGAGCGGTGACCCGACTCCCTGGGCACACTTTCTCAGGAACTCTTGAGACTGTTCCCCGGGCCATGGTCACTCATATTGGCTCAGAAGAAACCTCTTTAAATATTTTATGGAGTTTGGTTTTTCTTTGAACAGGTTACAGAAAGAATGGAGGCTCAAGCACGGCCAAAAACAGATCCCAGTGGCATGGCAGGTTTTGGGAGGGGGAGAAGAGGAGGCCAGGCTCACCAGGTTAGGGGACCTCACAGCTAGCAAATGGTAAATGCTGCTTTTAGCCTTTAAGGGTGACAGACTGATATGGTTTGGCTCTGTGTCCCCACTCAAATCTTACCTTGAATTTTAATAACCACCACATGTCAAGGGTGGAACCAAGTGCAGATAATTGAATCACAGGAGTGGTTTCTGCAATGCTGTTCTCCTGATAGTGAGTGGGTTCTCACAAGATCTGATGATTTTATAAGGGGCTTCACTTGGCATTCCTTCTCCTTCCTGCCATCATGTGAAGAAGGACATGTTTGCTTCCCCTTCCACCATGATTGTAAATTTCCTGAGGCCTCCCCAGCCCTGTGGAACTGTAAATCAATTAAACCTCCTTCCTTTGTAAATTACCCAGTCTCAGGCAGTTCTTTAATGCAGCATGGGAAGGGAGTAATATCGTAAACTCTTACCACAGAGAGTGGGGTGCTTCTGTAAAGATACCCAAAAATGTGGAAACAACTTTGGAACTGGGTAACAGGCAGAGTTTGGAACAGTTTGGAGGGCTCAGAAGAAGACAGGAAAATATGGGAAAGTTTGGAACTTCCTAGAGACTTGGAGGGTTCAGAAGACAGAAAGATGTGGGAAAGTTTGGAACTTCCTGGAGAATTATTGAATGGCTTTGACCAAAATGCCAATAGTGATATGGACAACGAAGTCCAGGCTGAGGTGATCTCAGATGGAGATGGGGAACTTGTTGGGAATGGGAATAGAGGTTACTCTTGCTGTGCAAAGAGACTGGGGGCATTTTGACCCTGCCCTAGAGATCTATGGAAAGCTGAACTTGAGAGAGATGATTTAGTGTATCTGGTGGAAGAAATTTCTAAGTGGCAAACTGTTCAAGAGGAAGCAGAGCATAAAAGTTTGAAAAATTTGCAGCCTGATGATGCAATGGAAAAGAAAACCCATTTTCTGGGGAGAAATTCAAGCCAGCTTCAGAAATTTGCATAAGTAATGAAGAGCTGAGTGTTAATCACCAAGACAATGAGGAAAATGTCTCCAGAGCATGTCAGAGACCTTCACAGCAGCCCCTTCCATCAAGGGCCCAGAGGCCTAGGAGGGAAAAAGGGTTTCCTGAGTTGGGTCCAGGGCCCCCCTGCTGTGTGCAGCCTTGGAACTTAGTGCCCTTCGTCCCAGCCACTCCAGCCATGGCTAAAAGGAGCCAACATACAGCTCAGGCCATTGCTTCAGAGGGTGCAAGCCCTAAACCTTGGCAGCTTCCATGTGCTAATGGGCTTGTGGGTGCCCAGAAGTCAAGAATTGAGGTTTGGGGAGCTCCCAATCCCTAGATTTCAGAGGATGTATGGAATTTCCAGAATGTCCAGACAGAAGTTTGCTGTAGGGCAGAGCCCTCATGGAGAACCTCTACTAGGGCAGTACAGAAGGGACTGTGGGGTCAGAGCCCCCACACAGAGTCCCCACTGGGGCACTGCCTAGTGGAGCTGTGAGAATAAGGCCACCATCTTCCAAACTCCAGAATGGTAGATCCACCGACACCTTGCGCTGTACATCTGGAAAAGCTGCAGACACTCCATAGCCAGCCCATGAGAGCAGCCAGGTGGGGGGAGGGGAGGTGTTGTACCCTGCAAAGCCACAGGGGCAGAGTTGCCCAAGGCCATGGGAGACCACCTCTTGCATAAGCATGACCTGGATGTGAAACATGGAGTCAAAGGAGATCATTCTGGAACTTTAAGGTTTAATGACTGCCCTGTTGGATTTCAGACTTGCATGGGGCCTGTAGCCCCTTTGTTTTGGTCAATTTCTCCCTTTTGGAATGGGTGTATTTACCCAATTCCTGTACCCTCATTGTATCTAGGAAGTAACTAACAAGCTTTTGATTTTACAAGCTCATAGACAGAAGGGAATTGCCTTGTCTCACATGAGACTTTGGACTTGGACTTTTGTGTTAATGCTGAAATGAGCTAAGACTTTGGGGGACTATTGGGAGGGCATGATTGTGTTTGAAATGTAAGGATACGAGATTTGGGAGGGGCCGGGGTGGAATGATATGGTTTGGCTCTGTGTCCCCACCCAAATCTCACCTTGAATTGTAATAATCCCCATGTGTCAAGGGCAGAACCAGGTGGAGGTAACTGAATCATGGGGGCAATTTCTGCCATGCTTTTCTCATGATAGTGAGTGAGTTTTCATGGGATGTGATGGTTTTATAAGGGGCTTCCTCATTTGCTTGGCACTCTTTCTCCTTCCTGCCTCCATGTGAAGAAGGATGTCTTTGCTTCCCCTTCTGCCATGATTGTAAGTTTCCTGAGGCCTCCCCAGCCCTGCATAACTGTGAGTCAATTAAACCTCCTTCCTTTAAAAAATTACCCAGTCTCAGGCAGTTCTTTATGATAGCGTGAGAACAGGCTAATACAGACTCTCAGCTTATCTTTCCTAAATACAGAAAAATGAGGGCCTCAGCAAAAGCCTGGCTGCATCAATGCAGGTTTTCTATACAGATGCAAATTTCCCCACAAAAGAAAGCTTTGCAGGGCTGCTTCTGTTTTCAGGCCCTCTGAACAGCCATCTCAAAATATGTCAAAGAAGTTTATTTGTGGGGGATATATTTTGGTTTCCTTTCTGGTGGAAGCTCAGATCCTGGGGGAAGGTGAGCCTCCAGGCCTGCCTCCTTCTCTCCCTCTCCGCTGCCCAGAAACTCCTGGGACAGGGAGTCTGGACCCTGGTGAGAGAATCTGAGAGAGTGGGCTGGCCAGGCAGCCAGGGCAGGGCAGCCACACAGCCCTGCAGAGAGCACTGGCCGGACCTGTGGCACAGCTGGCCTCCTGCCAGGAGCTGCCCGTGTGCCAGGCACCATGGCCAATCCCTTCCCTGTCAACCCTAAATAAAGAGATTCAGAAAACAGGATGAAATGGACAGTTAACTTGAGCACAGAGCATAAGGACAGCCACCTGGGAGCACAGACTCCAAAGAGTGGGAGTTGGTGCTCCGAAGTTCTGGGGGCTATTTGTATAGATAAGGTTTGGGAAGCTTAACAGGTGATATGGTTTGGCTGTGTCCCCACCCAAATCTCATCTTGAATTGTAGTTCCCATAATTCCCAGATGTCATGGGAAGAACCCAGTGGGAGGTAACTGAATCATGGGGACAGTTTCCCCTATCCTGTTCTCATGATAGTGAGTGAGTTATCATGAGATCCTATGGTTTTATAAGAGGCTCTTCCCCCTTCACTCTGCACTTCTCTCTCCTGCCACCATGTGAAGAAGGACTACAGTTGTACATTCGAGGTAAGGAACACCGTTGGGCATTAGAGGGAGAGGAGCACCACTGTACTTTAGAGGGTGAGGTGCACCATTAGGCATTAGAGAGTGAGGAGCATGGTTGTGCATTAGAGTGTGACAAGCACCATTGTACATTAGAGGGTGAGGAGCACCGTTGTACATTAGAAGGTGAGGAGCACCATTGTGCGTTAGAGGGTGAGGAGCACCGCTGTACATTAGAGGGTGGGGAGCACCACTGTGCGTTAGAGGGTGAAGAGCACCGCTGTGCGTTAGAGGGTGGGGAGCACCGCTGTACGTTAGAGGGTGGGGAGCACCGCTGTGCGTTAGAGGGTGAAGAGCACCGCTGTGCGTTAGAGGGTGGGGAGCACCGCTGTGCGTTAGAGGGTGGGGAGCAGGGCTGTGCGTTAGAGGGTGGGGAGCACCGCTGTGTGTTAGTGGGTGGGGAGCACCACTGTGCGTTAGAGGGTGGGGAGCACTGCTGTGCATTAGAGGGTGAAGAGCACTGTTGTGTTAGAGAGTGGAGAGCACTGCTGTGTGTTAGAGGGTGAGGAGCACTGCTGTGCATTAGAGGGTGGGGAGCACTGCTGTGTGTTAGAGAGTGGGGAGCACTGTTGTGTTAGAGGGTGGGGAGCATCACTGTACATTAGAGGGTGGGGAGCACCGATGTGTGTTAGAGGGTGGGGAGCACCGCTGTGTGTTAGTGGGTGGGGAGCACCGCTGTGCGTTAGAGGGTGGGGAGCACTGCTGTGTGTTAGAGGGTGGGGAGCACTGTTGTGTTAGAGAGTGGAGACCACTGCTGTGTGTTAGAGGGTGGGGAGCACCGCTGTACATTAGAGGGTGGGGAGCACTGCTGTGTGTTAGAGGGTGGGGAGCACCGCTGTACATTAGAGGGTGGGGAGCACTGCTGTGTGTTAGAGGGTGGGGAGCACTGTTGTGTTAGAGGGTGGAGAGCACTGCTGTGTGTTAGAGGGTGAGGAGCACTGCTGTGCGTTAGAGGGTGGGGAGCACCACTGTACATTAGAGGGTGGGGAGCACTGCTGTGTGTTAGAGAGTGGGGAGCACTGTTGTGTTAGAGGGTGGGGAGCACCGCTGTACATTAGAGGGTGGGGAGCACTGCTGTGTTAGAGGATGCGGAGCACTACGGTACATTAGAGGGTGGGGAGCACTGCTGTGTTTTAGAGGGTGGGGAGCACTGTTGTGTTAGAGGGTGGAGAGCACCGCTGTACATTAGAGGCTGAGAGCACTATTGAAGTTTAAAGGGTGTATTAGTCATTCTCACCTGCTCTTAAGGAATACCCAAGACTGGATAATTTACAAAGGAAAGAGGTTTAATTGACTCACAGTTCTGCATGTGGGGAGGCCTCAGGAAACTTACAATCACGGCAGAAGGAGAAGTAAACTCGTCCTTCTTCACTAGGCGGCAGGAGACAGAAGAGTGAGGAACAAAGGGGGACGAGCCCCTTATAAAACCATCAGATCTCGTGAGAACTCACTCACTATCATGAGAACAGCATGGGGAAACTGCCCTCATGATCCAATCACCTCCCACCAGGTCTCTCCCTATATATATAAAACGGGGATTAAGGGGATTACAATTCCAGATGGGATTTGGGCGGGGACACAACCAAGTCACATCAGAGGGTGAGGAGCACCGCTGACACTAAAGCTTGAGTCCTGGGCCCCACAGCATGTGATACTGGGACTTGTTTACATCTCAATTCTTTAAAAAGATGTCTTTTAGATGACTGGGCAAACATGTCTATGGCCAGGCTCCCAGGTGATAGAAAGGAATTGTTATTGGCTTTTTTAAGTGTGACAATGGCATTGAGGCTGTGTGAAAAAGGTCCATCTTTTTAGGTGTGCACTGGAAGATCTGGGTGGAAGAACACACTGTCGGGGTTTGCTTTAAATCTTCAGCAAAATTAAACAAGTAATACGGAGGGGGTCCTGAGAAAAGAAGCTGGACAGCAGGACGCTGCCGGCTGTTGAGGCCGGTGCTGGCGCCAACAGTTTCACTGTCCTCATGTCTGTGCCATTGGAGAACGTCCTCATTACTTAGAAGATATTTTAAAATGGGACAGCTGTGACGTGTGCTTCAGTGGGAGGCTCCCTCCTCCCTCACAAGGAGGTTTGGCTTCCTTCCCCATAGAAGATTCTCCCCATTACCCCAGGGCTAAGCTGAGGGAGGAACAAGAGGGCTCACCCCACAGACCTTACAGAGCTGTCCTGAGAAGAAGTGGAGGCTGGGCCAGGGATGGGGTTTGCCCAAGGACACACTGCAGGTTGAGGGCAGAGCCAGGCACTGAGCTTGTCGAGAAGGCCGAGAAGCAGCCCCGAAGTTCAGGGCCCATGGCTACGCCAAGTGCCATCAGGAACCGGGCTGTGGAAGCCCCTAAGGACGGCCAGAAGGACCAATCTAGGGGCCTTCATAGCAGCTCACTCACCACGGGGAAGAGACAGTGCAGGGGCAGGAGCAGTGAAGGGCGGTGGGCGCTGCCCAGGGCAGGCCCAGCCAGGGCAGTGAAGGGCGGTGGGCGCTGCCCAGGGCAGGCCCAGCCAGGGCAGTGAAGGGCGGTGGGCGCTGCCCAGGGCAGGCCCAGCCAGGGCAGTGAAGGGCGGTGGGCGCTGCCCAGGGCAGGCCCAGCCAGGGAGGGTAGTCAGGCTGGTCTAGGGGCCAGAGCCCTGCGTGAGAAAGCCCCACCCACTGCTTGTTGATGACGAATGGTGGCAGATGGGGGTCAGAGGGCACTGGGAGCACCAAGGCTGGACGGGGAGATGAAGACAGGATGGCTGGGCTACAGAAGGCAAGAGGCACATGAACCCCACAGACATTTCCACTGGAACCCCCGTCAGAGCCACCTGGGTACCCTCTGAGTCATTCAAGTGGAAAAACAAATCCACAAACAAGTCCCTCCCTGCTTAAACCTGACCGACTGCCTCCTGACCATCCTCTGGTCACGCCTGAACTCTGGGCCCCCTGCTGCCGTCCCCCATTGCTGCCGTCCCCCACTGCATCCACCCCATGTGCAGGCTGCTCCCACCCCAGAAGCCTCGAAGGCCAGGGACCCGTGGGGTCCCTCCGTGACTCGGTACCCTTCCCCTCGCTGTCCCCTGAGTTTCCTTCAAATCAGGAAGCCTCCACCAGCCCTGGCCCGCTGGCTGGGTCCCTCCCCGAGAGCCAGGTCACCTGTCACTGTCTCTCACCATCCTCAGCCCCATGGACTGTGCTGCAGGTGGCCACTGTCACGTCACCCAGGCCAAGCACACCCGTCAGGATTCCCAAGGCAGGTCGGTGTCCAGCCGCTTCCCTGAGGCTGCAGGCCCAGGCGGGCTGCGGAGTCTGTGCCTACATACCGCGGGCCGAGCTTGCTCCAGGCAGGGACGGCGCGGGAGGCACAGGTCCTCTTTGGGCCTTTCTGCAGGTCCTCCTGCCCCACATGGACATGCCAGCTGTCACTTGCACCATCAGGAAGAACAAGAATCCTGTGTGCCCTGTGGTGGGGCCACAGTCGGCCGCTAGGTGTCACTGTTTCCTCAGAGACCAGCACATTGTCCCTATGCTTTCTCTCTGCAGTCCCTGGCTGGCAGCTCCTTGGGCAGGGTGGTGACCTCTGACCCCAGACCCGTCCCCCCTGAGCTGGTCCTGGCTCCACCGGGAGCTCCGTCCCCTGGGCTTCCTGCTGATATGTAAGTCAAGCCTGAGCTGCCGCGTTGGGGCCACTGATCTGGGCAGAGCCTCGTGGGGTCTCCCAGGGGCTCAGACGTTGGCCAGGACCCCACAGGGAGGATGCTCAGGTCAAAAAGATGCCCGCACTCCGGGCGCTGCCCAGAGCTCTTAACTCTCATGCTGAGAACAGCTTTGTGTGCTGAGTGTTTCGCACACCCGCAGGCCCCGCACGTTCTGCCTGCTGTTCCCTGTAATCCTGACCTCGCCTGGGAGTGGCAGGGCCACCCACTTCGGGAGCGGTGGAGATTGGACTATTTAGAGCACACACGCTGGGGAACCAGGGGAAGAGTTGTGAAGGGGTTAAGCAAAAGAAGCCTTTCTCCTGGGCTTGTAGATGGCCGTCTTCTCCCTGTGTTTCCACATGGCTGCCCCCCATGTCTGTGTCCTAATCCCCTCTACTTATTAAGACACAGTGGGGTTGGATTAGGGTCCATCCTAACAGCCTTATTTAACCTTAATTAGCTCTTTAAAGACCTTATCTCCAAATATGGTCACATCCTGAGGGACTGGAGGCAAGGACTTCAACACATACATTTTGGATGGCACAATTTAGTTCAAAACACCTCCCAGCCCCAGCTGGCACTGCCTTCCCGAGCAGACCCTCCAGGCTCTCTGCTGTGATCTGCCATTGCTGTAGGTAGAGTCCATCCTCCCATGATTCCGCGGGGCTCTCAGCATAAACCCAAATCCTTCCTGTGGCCCCACACACCCTTTGGCCACCCTGCAACCTCCCCCTGGCCACACTGTCCTTCCTCTGATCCTGGCTGCACCCTCCCCTCCTACCGGGGGTCTTGCGGGTGCTGTCCAGCAGGCCTTGCTGCTCTGGGCCCCATCTTCATGCCCAGATTAACCATTCTCCCCAGGCAGATCTTGGCTCAGATGTGGCTTCCGCCAGAAAGTCTTCCTTTCCCTCCTGCTCACTCCCTGCCGCGGCCGCCTCTCCTCTGAGGTCTTACCATGCGGTTGCCCAGGTCCCCACTTCTGGGCCAGCACATTGGAGCAGTGAGCCTGTGCATTTTCTCACTGTTTTATTCATGATCATTTATTCTCTTATGATTAATCCAGAGAAGATTATCAATAAATGATGGTGAATAAACAAAAACATGAATTAATGAATCAAAACCTCAGAACTTGCCCAGGATGGGAAAACAAGGTTGTCAGCATTGAGGACAGTAGCTGTGGCTCTAACCAAGAATCAACCGTGTGGAGGGAAACCACACCACTGCCTGAGGTGGAAACAGGTGGCTGTGCAGGTTTGCCAGGGCTCCAGGCTGACAGTTCTCCAGGAGGGCTTGCTGATCTTTGATTTTTTTACAAGGAAAGGACACACACACAGTCAGCACAGGGCAGGGCACGGGGCAGAGCATGGAGGAAACCAGCGCGAGCTTCTAGCGTCCTCTCCAGCTGCAGCCCGCGGGACGCATGCCATTCCCCAGCACCACGTTTTGGTGACGCGTGTGACATGTCCCAACCATGGAAGCCCTTCAGTGCCTCAGAGCCTCAGTGCCAGGGCTGTTCTGGGGCTGGTCATGCTGCACCCTCTGCCCGGCATGCCTGCAGATCCCAGATCCCTGGGAGGAAAGCAGGTGCCCAGCAGAGCCGCTTGTCTGCACAGACAGCTTAGGTGCAGTGGCCTCTCTGATCTGCCAGGGTGGTGAGGACCCCCGAGATCCAGTGCCGAGGGAGCACCCTGGCCTGCTTGTCACCCTTCCCTACACGAGAGTGATAAACCGCTTTCCTGGCATCCAGCAGATCCAAAGAAAGGAGATTCACCCTGGAAATGCCTTGGTAAAACGTTCAATTTAAGCTGTGGCCAAGTCACTCCGATGCATACGGGTAGCGACGCTGCCTCTTTAAGTGCTGTCAGATGACTTCAGTTGTTTCTTTCAAAAGTTCTGTGGGATGGTAGATCACACAGTGCACAGCACCAGTCTGTCCTTTCTTTTACCTTCCACTGGGGCCCAAGATTGTTCTGGTGTTTACTCCATTCAAATATCAGTGTATATTGAATGATTTCAGTTATACGGACAAAAACGTGGCAAAATAAACATGAGAAAGTGACACACACCCCCACCGTTGTAAAAGTGGGCTTTGGCTGGTAGTGGTGGCTCACGCCTGTAACCCCGGCACATTGGGAGGCCTAGGCAGGTGGATCACGAGGTCAGGAGTTCGAGACAAGCCTGGCCAACATGATGAAACCCCATTTCTACTAAAAATACAAAATTAGCCAGGCATGGTGGTGCACATCTGTAGTCCCAGCTACCTGGGAGGCTGAGGCAGGAGAATAGCTGGAACCTGGGAGGCGGAGGTTGCAGTGAACCAAGATCGGACCACTGCACTCCAGCCTGGGCAACAGAGCCAGACTCCATCTCAAAAAAAAATAAAAGTGGGCTCATCTAAATAGAGGGTATAAAGGCATTTAATTTTTAAAACAATGTATTTTGATGTTTTAAAAGTGTTTACAATGAGCACACAATACTTTTATTGTAAAAAAAATCAATTTAAAAAGTGCATCTCAAGTAGGCATCAGATTGATTTTCCTGAGAAAATCCTTGAGAAGGGCAAGGCCACCAGCTTCTCATCAGCACTGGGGCTGAGCTGATTCGTGGCTGTAGTTTCCCAAGTGTCCTCTTGTTACCAAAACACCAGGAGTCTGGTATCAGTCCTGCTGCTTGCCACACAGAAAGCCAATAAGAAGGCTTTAATGGGGAGCTGCAGCCAAGAAGGTGGGAGATGCATCTCAAATCCATCGCCCTGATCAACTAAAATTAGAGGTTTACAGAGCAGAAATGTAACTATATGCAGGAAAACAGGAACTAGGGAGAGTGAGGAAGAGGAGTTGGTCAGGAGGAAGCAGGTGGCCGGACAGGCAGCCATGACGGGGGAAGGGTCTGGCATCCCTTTGTCTAGATGCCACGATCTGGTGAGTCTCCATTCCTTCAGACTATCTGGGAGGACTGAAGGCCAATTTCCTGAGAAAGGAACTCAGATAAGACAGATGTAGCTTTCTCAAGTTTTAAGACTGGGAGGGCCAATTTCTGTGTTTATTCAAAAGAAACCATCGACATCCGTTCTATGGGACAATTGGGCAGGTTTCACTGTGGCACGTTATGCCCAATGATGCTCATAAAATCCCTGAGATGCAGGCCAGGGTGGGCGTGGACATCCCCCCTCCACAGGGCAGAATTCCAGGTGGAGAGGCTCGTGAGTGGGTGCGGGCTATGCACAAAGGAGAACCCAGCTCGCTCAGACCCCCTTCTCCTCAATGGCATCCATGCCAGCCTCTGTGGAACACCAGTCACTATGATGCAGGGGAGATTCTTTGCTTTGCTCAGGAAAGAATTCAAGAGCCAGCAGGTAGTGGAAGGAAGCAGCTTCGGGGAGGCAGTGGCAGTGCTGCAGGCTTACCCATAAGCAGTGAGCCACATGTGGGGGTGATTGGCAGCCATATTTATACCCACTTTTAGTGACATGCAAATGAAGGGGCAGGTTATTCAGAAATTGCTAGAAAATGGGCGGTAACTTCCAGTTGTTGCCACGGAAATGGGCCATGACTTCCGTGCATTGCCGTGCCATTGTAAACTGTCCTGGTGTTGGTGGGGGGTGTTTTGGCTGATGGGCAGTGAGGGTGGCCAGAGGGTGTCCTCCATGCTGCTTGCTGCTTTTGGCCTGTCTTCAGTCCAGTCCGGAGTATGACTCCTGCTGGCCTCCTACCTCATCTGGGCTAGGGCCCACCCTCATCCAGTATGCCCTTAACCTGATCACGTTGGCAAAGACCCTAGTACAAGGTCAGTTTCACAGAGGTTAGTTCTAGGACACACATATTCTGGGAGCTGCAATGCACCCCGCACCCACTGATCACCACTGAGATGTGTGGAGGGTGCTGTTTCCCCAGCAGAACTCCCCAGTATCCAGAATGCTGGCCTCATGAAGGCAGGGCAGGGGCGGCAGATGGGGCCAGCCCCAGCAGAGTCTGAGGCCACACCTGCCCGGGCATCTTCTTCATCATCTGTTCTACTTTCCGGTTCAGATTCTACAGTCACTTGGGAGAAGAGGGTGATGGGCTGTCCTGGAATTGGGGTGCTGGGGCCCTCCAGTTTGGTGGGGGACAGGTCGGGGGCCCAGGAGCAAAGCCCAGAAACTGCGGCAATGGGCAGCTGCCCTCTCCCCACAGGTCACAGTCGCCCTCTCCCCACAAGTCACTGTTGCCCTCTCCCCACAAGTCACTGTTGCCCTCTCCCCACAAGTCACCGTGGGCCTCGCTGCCCCAGTGCGTGTCCCTGCTGTGCAGATGAGGACGTGGGGTCCCAGTGGGACAAGCAGCTGCCAGGGCCACACAGTTGAGGTGGCCCTACCTGTCCTGCCCCCTGCAGCCACCTCCAGAAAGGGGGCCAGGCCTGTCCTGTCCAACCCCACACGGGGTCTCTGCTCACATCTCTGTGGCATGGGCTTGGGAAGGTCTTCAGGGGCCAAGGCTTCCTCTCCTCTAGGAACCCAGAGTGAACGCCAGGAAGGCAGTGCTGGATTCTATACCCACCTCTTGCCCCCACCCCACCCACCAATGCCAAGAACTTGCCACAGCCAGAGGCGCCTGGGGAAAGGAGCCCTGGAGGCTGCCTGGAAATCCCTGATGTCGTGGCTCCTGAGTCCTCCAGCATTTAGGAGGCTGTGCCGACTCCCAGGGAGGTGCTCCACATACCCCCCACTCCTGTCGGGGAGGACCCTCGGGCTGGCCGGGGTCGCATGGGGAGGGGAGAGTGCGTCAGGGCGGCCTTGGCCCAGGTGGGAGAGGCGGAGCCGGAATTTTCCACCACAACCCTCGTTACTGTGATGACCTGTGGCCCCTGACCTCTGCCCTGTCACCCCAGGGGAGAACTTGCCTCCACTTCACAGATAAGAGGTCCAGGGACAGCCCTGCCTCCACCTGGCTGGACTCCTGGCTTTGCACGGGCAGGCTGTCCACACAGGACTTGGTTTTACACCCAGTCCTGGGCATAGGTACCTGTGCCGAGCAGGGATGCAGCAGCAGGCTCAGCATGGGAGGGGTTGTTCCAGGGATGGGGTCACAGCATAGGCATGGGTGGCAGCCCTCGTGGCACACCAGACCTGGGTACAGCACCCAAACAGGTACCCCAGGACACAGCACCAGAACAGGTACCCCAGGACACGGCTTATCATCAGGAGCCACTGGGTGGCATCCGTTCTGCAGGACCCTCACCTGCCAGAACCAACTCCTGCCATTCAGGCCGTGACCTGGAGGGGGCAACTTGTGCCGGACACCCTCAAGGCACCACTGCATTACACATGCACAGGCCCCACGGCCCAGGGGTCCCGCCCTCCAGTTAAGGCAGTGGGTTTTACACCAATCCTCCCCTTTTTGGGACCCAGCTGCTGCCTGTTGAAGGACAAATGCCCTGATGGCCACCTGCAGCCTGGATGTCCCAATAGGCTGGTTTAGCCGGGGTTCAATTAAAATGGTGCATGGTGGGGACGTGTGACTGGCAGACCGCACAGCATCTCCCTACAGCACCTAAGGGCGACAGGCTCGCCTGCCTTAGTGAGACAGGCACCAGACCCAAAGAAATTGTTTGCATTATTTTATATCAGTTATAACAAAACAAGTTAAACTTTTAAAAGATACTCAGTTCCTGGCCTTGTGTGTCAGGTAGCAGGCCGGCTGGTTCCGCTGGTGACTTCATCTGGGGAACTAAGACAACCCCAGGTCAGTCCTGCCCAGGAGGGCAAGGCAGGCCAGTCCCGGGTCCTGACCCGGACTTCACGCCCCATCCTGCCAGCCCAGGCCCACCCCAGGGCCCAGAAAGGCGGCTGAGCTGAGCAGGTGGTGCCCTCAGCTCCCGTTTCACAGCTGCGAGAGGCCACTCCCAGGGCACTGCTGCTGCTGGCCTTGGCTGGAACGGCCTGGCCACGTGGCCAGGTGGCCCTTATCCCCTGGACTCCTGGGTGACAAAGGTCAGTTGCCTGCCCTGCAGCTTGCTGTGGTTCGTAGCTCCGAAGCTCCCAATAAGCTCTCGGCCTGAGGAAACACCCTCCCTTGGTGGTTGCAACAGCTTCTCCTGGTTACCTTGACAAAGGATGAGCAAACAACACCTTCCATTCTGGAACAAAGCACACACACCTCCTTGGCTTTCCAAGGGCTGCCCACCCACCCTCCGGGACCAGTCAGCCAACTCTGTGTCCAGATCTTCTATGCCCTCGCACATGCCATGCCAGGCACACAGAGCTGCATAAAGGGGGTCCCGCCCCAGGGAGGACAGGCAGTCAACAGATGATGCAACAGATGGGGTGAGTGGCCTGGTGGCAGCTGAGGACATTGGACAATTGGGATGACTCCCTGGGGAGTGAGGGGGAGCTGAGTAAAGACAGGAGCAAGCACTGCTGGCAGAGAGGGCAGCATATGCCAAGGCACAGGCGCATGGGTTTGACTGGAGCAGAGGGGAGTGTGCTTGGGGGTGGGCAGGAGGCAGAGCTGGGAAGGCCCCGTGAGCTGGCTGAGGACAGCTAAGACCACCTGGTGACCATCAGGCAGGCCATCCATGGCAAAGCTCCATATTTGAGGAATTTGGAAGTAATTAAACTTCCCCATCATCTAAAGTTGGCACCTGGTTCCAGGCCTCCTTTCAACCTAACATTTATAAGTAACTAGAATTTCTAGACATCTCCAGAATGCGTGGCTGATGAAAATCAATGTGCACCCCCTGCCATCACTAAGGCACCAGAATGTCTACAAATGTAGCATTTGTTGTGCAAATCACCCTTCAGCTCCCGCCGTGGGGTCCAGAAATGCTCCTAAGGAAAATCCCTGGTGGTGCCGAGTCCTCCGGCAGAGGCACCCACTGCACTTCTCTGCAGCGTTCTTTCTTCCTAATAAAACTTTCCTCTTCCAAACCCATACTGTCATTGGTAAGTTCTTACCAGCCCTCGAGTCGGCCCCTTCCCGAGGCTGGGGCTCCGACACCTCGCCAGGCACCTCGGTTGTGCGTACAGGACTTTACTGGGATTTCTCCCTTCTTTTCCCTCCCTGCTTCCCTTGATGGTCTGGTTCTTTACTCGGAAACTGAGGGCTCTGTCCAAGACCACTCTTCAGTGGGATCCTGAAGCCCTAGAGAAGAGATATCTTTCCATCACTGCCCTTAGGGGTGAGGAATTAGCCAGGGTTCTTTTCCGTTTTTGAACTGCCAGGGAACCAGCTTGAGTACTCTTTGGCAATTGAAGGTTTCTGGCCAAGGGCACTACCTGGTGTTACCCGAAGGCCAAGACAAAAGAGGGAATTTACTATTGCCCTTTGGGGTGGCAAGTCCACTTTCACTTGATGCCCTGTAAACCATGCCTTGGAAATGAGCAGCAGTGATCCCCACTCTGCGCAGACACATTCCACTGGTTGCGGACCCACATTTGGATTCCACTTCAAGTGGGAACCGCATCCCAAGTTATGGGTGAGTTCTCCTTCACCTTAGGTCTGAGCTGACCGCTCAAACACGGGCACACCTGGAGTGGTCGTCCAGGCAAGGGCAGGCCCTCCATTTGTGGTAGACGCCCCCGAATAGAGTGAGCCGAAGAGGTGAGGTCCAAGTCCCTCAGGGACACCTCGGGGATCTTGTAGTACCTGATCTGAACCCAACATGGGTCCATTTCATTCTTCAATTCCATCTGACTCGCCCTTGGATGGCATTCTTCAAAACTGGTCTCATTTTGACCCACAAACTTTTAAAAAGAAGCATATGGTTTTCTTTTGTAATATATCTGGGGTTCAATATATGCTCCCCAATAATTTATATTGGCCTCTGAATGGGACCCTGGATTGGAATATTATTTTACAGCTAGACTCGTTTTGCTGGAACCTCAGAAAGGATGCAGAGGTCCCATGTGTTCAAGTCTTTTTGGCTTTATCCCAAAACCCAAAATTACACAAAAATTGTCACATATGCTTCTAAGGAACTTCCTCCCTCCCTGATTCTGATGTCTTAGATGACCCTTCCTTTTGCCCATCACACTCTCTGCAGCCTGCTCCCACTTCACCTGCCCCCTTTCAGTCTGCTCCATCCCCCAATCAATCTCCCGCCCCCATACCCAGATACTCTATCCCCCTCACATACTCACACAGGAGTCACATATGCCACTAGCAAAGAGTCCTCAGAAGATCCCACAAGGGTTTTACCTCTCCACAAGGTGGCAAATGGAGATTTGGGAACAATTCAAGTTCATGTCCCTTTTCCAATGTCTGATCTTTCTCGAATCCACACTGGGTTCATTTAGCCAGGATCCCACTAAGTTCATTCAAGAATTTCGAGCTTTAATTCTTGCCTTTGATTTGACCTGGGAAGACACATTCGTGTATTAACTACTTGTTCCCATGAAGAAAAATCAAGCCTATGGTCTTTAGCTCAAGCTGGGGCACATAAAGCTCATGCTCATAATCCTAATGATAATAGAGCCGGGAAAAATCTGTCTCCAAAACAGAACCCACTGGCAATACCAGGCTGCCAATGTGGCCCAGACAGAGGCAGGGGCAGATGAGATTATAACTTACTTGTTGGAAGGAATGAAAAAGCTCTAATAAACCCCGTTAATTTTTCTAAATTACGAGAAATCACTCAGGAGCCATCTGAGAACCGCTGCCCTTTTCCAAGCTAGACTGGTGTAGGCCATGCATAAATATACCAATTTAGACCCCGGAACCCCTGAGGGCCAATCCTTTCTGGCCACACGTTTTATGTCAGCCTTCCCTAAGACATCAGACAAAAACTCCAAAATTAGAGCAAGGCCCACAAACTCCCTTTCCTACTTTACTAAATGCAGCCTTTAAGGTTTTCAGTAACCAGGAGGAAACATTAAAAATAAGAAAGGCTCAGTTGGAGGAGGAAAAATGGTGTGGTCAAGCTACTGACATGGCGACAGCATTGGCACATTCTTTTCATTTGCTATTAACCCCAAGGCTTGTCCCTATAACACTAACAGAACAGGGGCCTGTCATTATTTCAAGAATCCAGGACACTAGAGTATAGAATATCCCAAACCTCTGGGTTATAAGCTGCCCCCGGGACCCTGTCCTCATTGCAAACAAGAGGGTCATTGGAAGAGTGCCTTTTCCTTCTCTCCCCCATGACAGGGCATGGGGCACCTCTTCCTTCTGTGCCATCACAGCCACAACCTTGCCAACCTACCCAACAAGGGGGTCCTGCAGAACAAGGACAAGGATGAGGGCAAGGACGGGCACCTCTCACTCTCTCCCTGGGTGATGACCAAGCCTCTGAAAGTCATTCTCCAGATGACTGACAGGGCCGTGTGCCCCTAACTTCTCTATCTCTATGGAGGAGCCCTGAGGAAATCTGATTGAGGTTGAACAAGAGACAATGTTCCTCAGGGATACAAGGGCCAGTTATTCAGCTTTAAATATTTACTGTAGCCCAATGTTCCAGTCCCTCATTTTCCTCACAGGTGTGAATGGAAAACCCCAACGAGGCTGTTTCACACCACCACTCCCTTGTGAAATGGAAGGCTATTCCTTTACGCACTCCTTTTTAGTCCTGCCAAGCTGACCTGTTCCATTATTAGGGCATGACTTACTCACAAAATTACAAGCTAATTTATAGCTAAGGCTTCACCTTCTAGCTGTTTTAACTCACACATCACCAAAAGAGCTGCTACAATCTGTAGAACCTCACATTCTAAAACAAGTGCCATTTGAGGTTTGGAAAACTTCTATTCCTGGCCGTTCAATATCAGCCACTCCTGTCATCATTCAGCTTAAAAATTCCAATAAGTTCCCCAGAACCCCCCAATACCCCTCGAAACCAGAAGCATGAAAAGGGCTAAAACCTCTAATAACAAAAATGTTTAACCCGTGGATGAGTGTACCCATGCAACTCACCTTGTAACACCCCCCTTTTAGCTGTAAAGAAACCAAATGGCTCCGACCTTAGAGTCATTACTGAAGCTGTTATTCGTATTCATCCTATTGTCCCAAACCCTTACACCTTTTTTGGACAGATTCCCTCCACTACAGCTTGTTTTACAGTTCTTGATCTTAAGAATGTGTTTTTCTACATTCCTGTATGCTCAGATAGCCAATATTTGTTTGCTTTTGAATGGCAAGGCCCAGATACTCAAATAACTCAACAGTTAACTTGGACAGTTCTGCCCCAGGGATTCAGAGATAGCTCCCACCTTTTTAGACAGGCCCTAAAGACCTGTCCACACTGCAGCTTCTCCCAGATAGCAATCTACTCCAGTATGTGGATGACATATAATCTGTAGTCCTAGCAAAGCTGTTCCAGACCAAAATACTGTATTAGTACTAAACAAACGTGCTGATTATAGGTGCAAAGTATCTCCTTCTGAGGTACAAATATCCACACAGGGTGTTCAATTTTGGGGTCTTATCTTAACTCCCAGCACAAAGAGCCTCTCTAGCACTTGTAAAGATCTTATCTTAGGCCCGGCACAGTGGTTCACACCTGTAATCCCAGCACTTTGGGAGGCTGAGGCAGATGGATCACTTGAGGTCAGGAGTTCGAGACCAGCCTGGCCAACAAGGTGAAACCCCATTGCTACTAAAAATACAAAAAAAGTGAGCTGGGTGTGGTGACAGGTGCCTGTAGTCCCAGCTACTCAGGAGGCTAAGGCAGAAGAATTGTTTGAACCTGGCAGGCGGAGGTTGCAATGAGCCAAGTTCATGCCACTGCACTCTAGCCTGGGTGACAGAGTAAAACTCAGTCTAAAAAATAAACAAAATAAAATAAAATAAATAATAAATTAAAAAATAAAATACAAAATATAAGATCTTATCTTAAACGTGACAACTCCAGGAACTAAACAACAGCTTGGGTCCTTAGAGGGTACGAATATGAACTCCTCCCTTTGGATTAATAGCAAAACCTTTACATGAAACCCTCAAAGGAGCTGAGGGACAACCTCTAACATGGACTAATAATATGAAGCATGCTCTAAAGACTTTAAAACAGGCTTTAATCTCAGACCCAGCCTTAGCCTTACCAGATCTGACCAAGCCTTTCTTTTTGAATGTACATGAACGAAGGGGAATCACTTTGGGAGTTTTAGCCCAAGATCTGGGGCCCTCTAAGTTCCCTGTAGTGTATTTTTCAAAACCTTTACTTGGCATCCCAGGAATGGCGCCCCTGCTTAAAAGTCTTAGCAGTGGTGGCCCTGTTAGTCCAAGAAGCCTCAAAAATAACTCTAGGACAAACCTTAATGATTTTTATCCCCGCATCAGGTCTTGGATATTCTAAATTTTAAAGCCTTCTATTGGATTTCAGATAATAGAATTCATAAGTACCAATCACTTTTTTTGCAAACTCCTGAATTATCTATAAAACCTATGGCTGCTCTTGGACATTCCTGTGTAGAAACTATTGATCTTACGTGCAGTGCTAGGGCTGATCTAAAGGACACTGTGCATAAAATTCCTGATTCTACCTGGTGCACTGATGGTGGCAGGTTCATTTTAGAAGGAGAGTGTCAGGCTGTGCTATAGTTAGCCTAACTAAAGTCATAGAATCAGGTCCTCCACCCAGAGGAACCACCTTGGCTCAAAAAGCTGAACTAATAGCCCTTACCATAGCTCTCTAACTGGGGACTGGAATAAAGCTCAAGTGACTTACATCCTGACTCAATCTGTGTGTCACGTAACGCATGCCCATGAAGCCACTGGAAGCAAAGAGGATCTCTCACAGCCCAGAACACCGCCACTAACCATGCACCTCTCACAGCCCATAACACCCCCATTCAGCATGTCCCTGAAATTTCAACCTTGCTAGAAGACATACATCTCCTGATTGAAATAGCAAAATCCTTCACTGTCCGGCTCATCAAAAAGATAACTCAAATCCTGCCAGAGGGGATAATTATGCAGATAAACAAACTAAATCAACTGCTTGGCCACCCTCTTTCCTCACCCAATCCCACCAAAACCCCAGCACACCCCACAAAATTTACAAAAGGCACTAAAACAGGGTTTCACATTCATTCCTGAAGGATGGCTTCAAAACTCTGAAAATAAACTTCTCCTCCCTGAGGTTCCACAATGGAAAATCCTCTAAAATCTCCATCAAGCTAACCACCTGGGGGTGGAAACTTTACAAGCCTTAAGAGATCCTCTTTTTCAAGGGCCTAACCTAGCCTAGCCCCAACTCTATGGGACATTTCCCAATCCTGCCCAATTTGCTGTCAATCAAATCCTGAGGGTGCAATGAACCCCCTGCCCTCCTCCAACCTATTCAACGTAGAGGGCCTGTCCCAGGGGCGTACTGGCAAGCTGACTCTGCCCACATGCCCTCTCATAAGGGATTCAGATACCTTTTAGTCTTTATAGACACTTTCACAAGCTGGACTAAAGCCTTCCCACTCGAACAGAAAGAGCATCAGAAGTAACTACGGCTCTTTTAGAACACATTATTCCTCGATTTGGGGTCCCTCAATCCCTCCAATCAGACAATGGCCTGGCCTTTATTTCTTCTATTACTCCAGGAATCAGTGAGGCCCTCCAAATAAAATATCACTTACATGCTGCTTACCACCCACAGTCATCCAAGGGCCAAGCTAGCTTTGAAAACCCTTCTCACTAAGCTCTCTATAGAAACTCAACTGTTTTGGATAACTTTTCTTCCTATTGCCCTGTTAAGATCTAGAGTAATTCCCAAAGGTTTCAACCCACCTTAGCCCTTTTGAAATTATTTATGGATGCCCCTTTTTACAAACGGACTTATTACTTGATCCAGAGGCTCATTATCTGTCTCAATGTGATGCCTCCCTGGGCAAACTATCCAGGCCACTACTGAATACCAGGATAAATTTTGTCCAAAATCTGACCCCTCCTCATCAGAACTAAGACCTCCTGTTAACCTGGGGACTGGGTATATTTAAAAACTTTGCCTCCAGACAGAAAACCCCTTCCAGCCCTCTGGACTGGACCCTTTCAAGTCCTCATAGCCTCTCCCACAGCTGTTAACTGCAGGGATTCTCCCCTTGGGTCCACCTTTGCCACATAAAGTCTGTACTGCCGCCAGAACTCCAGCCTGCTTACACTTTGAGCCCTTGGAAGATCTATGATTTTTGTTTTGCAAACAACCAGGTGACACTAACCTCTCTTCAAAAGCAAAGGATACCACGTAAGCCTTTTGCTGTGTTTATCATTCACTTTCCTTTCCCTCCCTTGTCATTCATTTCCTTATGTACTCTAGAAGCGTTTTTAGGTCCTCCAATTTTCTGAGATTATCCTCAATTCACTTACTTTTTTTTTTTTTTTTTTTTTGAGACAGAGTTTTGCTCTTGTCACCCAGGCTATAGTGCAATGGTGCGATCTCGGCTCACTGCAACCGCCATCTCCCGGGTTCAAGTGATTCTCCCGCCTCAACCTCCTGAGTAGCTGGGATTACAGGCATGCACCACCATGCCCGGCTATTTTTTTTTTTTTTTTTTTTTTTTTGTATTTTTAGTAGAGACAGGGTTTCACCATGTTGGCCAGGCTGTTCTCACACTTCTGACCTCAGGTGATCCGCCCGTCTCAGCCTCCCAAAGTGCTGGAATTACAGGCATGAGCCACCACACCCAGCCAATTTACTGTCTCTTTATCCAATCCCCATTTCTCAAGACCCACATACAATTATTCAGCTTGCACTAGATTTTTATTTGCAGGGTGGTTTTTCTAATTATACTTGGAGCAACTTTTGTAACAGTCCTTGAATTAGAACAATGAGACTCCTTTTTTCTTTCTTTCATGTTTTTCTCTTTATCTCTCATATAAAAACTTCCCAATCCTCTTGGTTTGACAATATCATCTTCAGCATCTCACATGCTATTGTGAGAGGAGAAAATACTCTGTGTGGCTGGCTTTGCCGTCCACAACCTGCTACTCCAAGCCATGTAGATTCTTCTTCGTAAGCACACCCTGTCTCCAATCAAACTGTACTGTTGGGATTTCATTATTCTTCTCACCACTCCTTCCCACCCCGACCATTTCCTTCTGTGCTGGTAAATTGGAAACCACCTCCCTCTTCGTGCTATCATATTACTTCCCCCACCATCCACACTTACAATATCACTGAAACTTCCTTAACTTGTAATGTTATTTTGGGAGGTACACCTTGTTATAATGACACTCATGCAGCTAACTTTGACTCATTTGAGGCCTTCGCCTCCTACAATCAAAACTCTGACTCTGGCCAGGTGCGCTGGCTCACACCTGTAATCCTAACACTTTGGGAGGTAGAGGTGGGTGGATCACCTGAGGTCAGGAGTTCGAGACCAGTCTGACCAACATGGTGAAACCCTGTCTCTACTAAAAATACAAAAATTAGCAGGGCGTGGTGGCAGGTGCCTGTAATCCCAGCTACTCAGGAGGCTGAGGCAGGAGAATCGCTTGAACCCAGGAGCAGAGGTTGCAGTGAGCCAAGGTCACACCACTTCACTCCAGCCTGGGCAACTGAGTGAGACTCCATCTCAAAAAAAAAAAAAAAAAAAATCTGACTCTATCTCATCACTGCCAATTTATAAGCCGTTAAACTGGACCAGTATAGTGGGGCTCCCAGTATACAGCACCCCTGCACTCCTAATACCTTCATGTATGTTACTATAATGATGCAACCAGTGCAGGAAATAACCACCGTGCCACCTGGTTTACATCCTATGCCATGCACTGGCACCCGCCTGCTTTTAAACCTCCTCCATCAGTACATAAACATAGTCTTTCCCCCATATGAGTCCTCTTAAAACTGTCAAAAGGCCCATTTCCTTTTTTCCCAACATTTTAATTAAAATAATCATCCTGCCCCTCCTGGGCTCTTATGGCTTAGCAGCCCCACTAAAAACTATTTAAACCCTTTTCAAGCTTTGGCCCTATCCCACCTTGATCATTCTCTTCACTATGGTGATTGTAGCCTGGGAACAATAGCTCCCACCCAAATCACTGTCTTAAACATCACTTCTAATTCAGAATTCCCTTCTAGAAGGAAAAGGGCCCTGGGACTTACTGTGGCCGGAGTTGTGGGAACTATCACAACTCTTACCCCTTGGGGAGGTTTTACTTACCAGGAAATCACAAGTAAGAGAACCTACCGCCTCCCTTGAAATAGCAAAAGCTGGCACCCATCTATCAGCTCTACAAGTCATTAGACTCACAAGCAGGATTTTGGTGTCTGGTAACAGGTGAGTTCTGGATTACCTCCTAGCTGAACAAGGAGGGGTCTGTGCTGTCATCAACAGGACCCGTTGCACCTACATTTATGTGTCTGGAGAAGTGGAAACCGATGCCCAAGAAATCATCAAACAAGCCAAATGGCTACACACACTTTCCCAAAGCAACCAAGACTGGGCCAAAACTTTTACTGATTGGTTTTCAAAAAATCACTTGGCTTCCCCCATTCCTTAGACCTTTATCTTCTGTCATTTTTCTTTTAATATTTGGTCCCTGCCTTTTTAATGCTCTGATTGCTTTTCTATGTTCTACATGAGAACAATTCCACCTGCAGAAGGCTATGCATTCCCAACACTGGCCTGCAACTGCAGCTCGATTTACATGGGGCTTCTTGATGGAAATACCGGCCTGCAACTGCAGCTCCCATTTACGTGGGGCTTCTTGATGGAATCCCATCACGTGCCTCCGTGCACAAGTTTTCATGACCCTTTATTCCCTTCATGACCGAGAGCAAGAAAGGGAAAAACGTGACCTACCCCCCTGAACTCCCTTTCAGCAGCAAGTAGTCAGGCGCACTGGACACCCCTCTTCACTGTGCCGTTTCCCCTTTCTTGAGACCCCAACAGGAAGCAGGTGGACATGAGCATGGCAGAAAAGGAAGGGTCAAAGATTTCACCAAGATATTTGTCAGAGGGAAAATGAGGACAGCAAAGATCACCTGGAGACCATCAAGCAGGCCCCAGGTGGGGTGGGTGGAGGGGAGCCTCTTTATTTGAGAAATGTAGAATGAATTAGACTTCCCTATTATCTAAAGTTGGCACCTGGTTCCAGGCCTCTTTTCAACCTAAAACTTATACATAACTAGAATTTCTATACATCTCTGGAATGCAGCATGCTGAAACTCACTGTGCAACCCCTGCCTTGTGTGTGTCTGTATACCATGCAGGTTTGCTTGCTAAATTGAGCCTGTAAACCAAAAAGTACCTCAAACAGGTCTCAATTAATTTAGAAAGTTTTTGTTGCCAAGGCTAAGGATGCACCCGTGGTACAGCCTCAGGAGGGAGGACATCCTTGCCAAGCTCAAGGGTGCACCCCTGACCACAAGGGCCCAAGGTGGTCGGGGCACAGCTTGCTTTTATACATTTTAGGGAGATATGAGGCATCAATCAATACATGGGAGATTTACATTGGTTCCATCTGGAAGGGCGGGACAACTTGAATTGGGGGGCTTCCAGGTCATAGGTAGATTTAAACATATTTTGATTGGCAACTGACTGAAGAATTATTATCAGCAGAAAGGAGTGTCTGGGTTATGAAATAGGGGTTGCAGGGAGCAGATGATGCCTTCAGGTAGCGGGATTTAGAGAGAAAATAGATGGTAAATGCTTCCTATCAGACTTAAGGTCTATGTCGATGTTAATGCTGGGGGTTATGATGTGGCATGGCCTGAACGTCTTCCGGGTTAAAGTTTAGAGCACCCTGGCGGACAGGGAACCCCATTCAGATGGTTGCTGGGGGGCCTTCGAATTTTATTTTTGGTTTACAAGCCTTCCCATCAGCTGCGCCAGGGTCAGCAAACCACAGTCCATGGGCCCAATCTGGCCTGCCACCTGCTTTTTGTAAATAAAGTTTTATAGGAACACGCCCACACCTCTGGCAGCTGCTTTGCAAGCACGCAGCAGGGTTGAGTTGTTGCAACATAGACCACAGGGCCTGCCAAGCCTCAATTATCTGTGCTCCGACCCTTTAAGAAACACTTCTCTCACCCCTGAGCTAAGCAGAATAAGAGGGGCTGGACGTGCAGGACTCAGAGTGGGAGCGAGGAGGGCTGGGGTGAGGACAGCTTTGTCACACTCTGTTTTTCTGTCACTCAGCCCTGGGGGCTCCCTCTGCCTGAGGGCTTCGTCCCCTGCTGCCTGGCCGTGACCCGCAGCACAAGCACAGATAAGCCTCAGGGAACAAAAGGCAGGGCTGCCACGGAAGCCCATCCACCAATCCTCACCTCTCACCTCTGTGTCCGCCCTGCTGGGAAATATTCCAGGCTTTGGCCAAGGCCAGTGCAGCCCCAGGTTCCCGAGCGGCAGGTTGGGTGCGGACCATGGCCTCTCACAAGCTGCTGGTGACCCCCCCCAAGGCCCTGCTCAAGCCCCTCTCCATCCCCAACCAGCTCCTGCTGGGGCCTGGTCCTTCCAACCTGCCTCCTCGCATCATGGCAGCCGGGGGGCTGCAGATGATCGGGTCCATGAGCAAGGATATGTACCAGGTAGGAGTGGGGGTCACTCGGGGGGCCTGGGTCTCACCCATGTTCCCACCCACAGATCGTGGACGAGGGAAGGGGGTCACTGCCTCCTCACTTGGGGAGGCGGGGAGCCTGGGTCTCACCCTATACCACCCGCATGCAGATCATGGACGAGATCAAGGAAGGCATCCAGTACGTGTTCCAGACCAGGAACCCACTCACACTGGTCATCTCTGGCTCGGGACACTGTGCCCTGGAGGCCGCCCTGGTCAATGTGCTGGAGCCTGGGGACTCCTTCCTGGTTGGGGCCAATGGCATTTGGGGGCAGCGAGCCGTGGACATCGGGGAGCGCATAGGTAAGGGAGAGGCCCAGGTGGGGATGGCCCTGGATCCATCCTTCAAGGCCTCCCTGGCCTCCCTCTGTTTGAAGCTGGCAGCCCCCGTTCCTGGGTGAGCGCTTACCCACCTTGTGGCCCTGTGCGCACGAACCTCCTGCCAGCCCACTGCCTCCTCCAGGCGGTGTCGGGCACTCATGAGGCCTGACTCTGATAGGGCTGGGAGCAGCACAGGTGCCCCGATCCCCCCAGTCTCCTTGAGCTGTTTCTGGAGCATGTGCAGGACGGAACTACAGGGAAGCCTCTGGTCCCAGCACACACTCCTGAGAGCCCCGGCCGCTGTCCAGGGCCCCAGGCACCAGCTCTGCTTTGTGACAGGGTGGGGTTTCAGAAGCTGAAGCCTCCCCTCAAATCTCAGCAGCCTTCCTTCTGGAATCTTGATGTGATACACAAAATATGGAGGTATGGGCAGAGTATTCGCCTCCGGAGTACACTTTTCTGGGAGAGACACAGGAGCAGGAGTGTGCCCTGGGTTTAATGATTGATTGTGGCATTGAGGGACATCAGCTTGGTGAGCTCCACAATGGCCATGCTGGTTAATACGCGACCGCAACAGCCAAGAGGGTCCCAACCCCAAGTCCACAAACTTTTCAAGGGGACCCAGGGTCGGCAGAGGCCAGGACCCCAAGTGGACATCAGGGCACGCAGGCTCAGATGCCTGTGGTATATGGCTTCCCTTTTCCCCATTCTGTCCCCTTGGCCGCAGGTTCTTCCCCTCCCACAACCTGGCCCTGAACAGCACACAGGATAGGGCAGAGACAGGGAGGGGGTGAGGGCCTGATTCCTGGAGTCCCCAGCTCCAACAGAGGTCAAGGCTGCTGCCTCACTCACCCCTCATCCTTCAGTCTGTCATCCATCACACCTGTGGTGTGCCAGCCCTGGACCAGGTACACTCTTTGTGCCAGCCCTGGGCCAGGTGCAGCCCTGACTCCCGGGAGCTCACTCTCTGCTTGGGGAGGCACTGGTCAGTGTGGCCTGAGAAAGGGCATTTGAGCTGAGCTCTGTCAAGAGTGCCCCAGGAGCGTTGGCTCCAACAGCAGGGGGGTCAAGATGGCCCTGGCTCTACACACAGAGAGGCTCTCATTGGGCAGAGTCCACCCTCCTCTTCAGGCAGGCAGCCAGGGTGCCACGGTGGGTGGGGTCCAGCCCTCACAGGGCCCTGCTCAGCAGGGCCACGGGTGCCCAACACTGGCTTCTACAGTGTGTGCGGGACACTCACGGCCCACTCTGTCCTGCACCCAGGAGCCCGAGTGCACCCGATGACCAAGGACCCTGGAGGCCACTACACACTGCAGGAGGTGGAGGAGGTAGGGGACCCGGGGTGGGGGTCAGGGCCGGGAGGAGGTGGGAGTGGGCATGCTGGCTCAGGGGCTGCCTGGAATTGGCCAGCCAGCAGGGTGGGATCATGGCCGGGAGGCTGGTGGCTGACCCTCAGCCCATCCTAGCATCTGGTGAGCGGCCACAGGGGAGGGTTCCATTACCTGGGAATGGTGGGAAGACTGGTAAGGAGGCTTCTGTCTGGCAGGGAAACTGAGTCAGGAGCCTGGTCCTGTAGGCAGGGCCAGAGAGGCTGGAGGCAGGAGGCCGAGTTGGAGTCTAGGCTGCAGAACATGTCCCTGACACTCAGGATACCCCACCCTGTGGGCTGAAGTCAACCTCAGCCTACCCGGAGTGTGGGGACTCAGTCCATCTAGCAACAGCCCTCACAGGCCAGGCAACAGGCTGGGGGCACCCTCCTCCATCTCTGCACCAAAGTCCTGTTCTTGGAAAAGCCCTTGTCCCGGAGCGGAGATGCCCCAGCCTCCTCCTCCCATGCACACCATCAGGGAGGAGTAGAGGCAGGCCCAGCCCCTGCTACCTGGAGCTGTGCCACCCATGGGGGGTTTGTGGGGGTGTTCTGGCCCCTGCCCCTCTGAGCTCCACCCACAGCCGTCCCTGCTTCCTCAGGGCCTGGCCCAGCACAAGCCAGTGCTGCTGTTCTTAACCCACGGGGAGTCGTCCACCGGCGTGCTGCAGCCCCTTGATGGCTTCGGGGAACTCTGCCACAGGTGAGCCTGGCCCCAGGGCGGTGGACTGGAGCACAGCTCAGAGCCAGGCTATGGGGAGGGGTGGGCACTGGTCCCTCTGGTCCTTCTGCCCCTGGTCCCCACCCCAGCCTCTGTCACATGGTATGGGGTGCAGGCACCTCCCAGGTCCTCTTTGCTCTGGGCTGAGTCTAAAGACAACCCCAGGTCCCAGGGCAGGCTCAGGTGCTCCCTGGCCGAGCGCCCCCATAGTGCCCACTGACCTCTGTCCCCAGGGCTGAAGAGGGCTTGGTGCAGACTTCCATATCTTG